>NC_000010.11:94234004-94537034 GCF_000001405.40 Homo sapiens | reverse complement strand
TATTTTTAAAGAGCAGGGCTTTCTCTGGAGTGGTTAGTTTCCCTGAAATCCTGGATTTCATTTTAGTTTTTACATGTTGTAAAGCAGTGATGTTCTAGTTAATGAGGTTTTATTAGAGTTGAGAATTCATATTTTAGACAATGCTTGTCAAACAGCAAAATAATACGATTCCATACAAAAATAACATTTTTTTCCTCTCAGAAGACTGTTTTCTGACACTATCAATTAGTCATGACAAATTTTAATTTTAATGTAACTTACTGTCCAATGCTACCTTACACTTTTTTGACTCTATTTTATACTAGTCCCTGCTGTCTGAACACACTCTTGGAATATAAAATAATTTTATCTTACCCAAACAAAAACATAAAATTAAAAATAAAAATAAATCATATGACATTATGAAGTAAGATAAATTATTTCATGATTATCTGCTTTAGAATTATACCCTTCAGTAGTGTAGACTCTAAAGAGTTGACTGGCCTAGGTCAAAATAACATTAGTTCCTAAGCTGCAAGGAACGCTATTATCTTGAAGTCAGAGATTTTGAAAATGTCAATGTCATTTTGCAAATGCTACCTAATTTTATAAAGTCAAACAAATATACTCAAAGGTCACATATGCAAAAGACATCAGCAAAAGCTGACTATACAAAACTATGCGAGTTACTGGAGTCTTCTAACAGCATTTTTTTTTCTAACAGCATTTAAATAAGGCATTGTAGACCTGGACTAAAGGAACATTAAGTAAGAAATATATATATTGAGTAGACAAACAAATGAAACACCATATTAAATTTCACATTATTTTGAGTATTTTAGGAAAAGTTTTTTTTTAATTGAAAATATACTGTAACAACAACAACAAAAACTGCCATATACTGACCATGTGAATTATCACATATTTCCTACATACTGGGCTCAAGAGAAGATACAGTACAATATTTTAGCTGCCAGTACTGTCAGTCTAAAAAGACTGAAGGCTTAGTGCATTCCTTGGAAGACAAATTTGGCAAACAAAAACAAAGATTATTTCCTTTGTTTCCTTGAGATGCAGTTAAATAAAACAGATATCCCCAAAGTAATGAAGACTCATTTCAAGTAATTACTCTGCTTACCAGTTTTATTTACACAGTAATTGTTATGAGTGGTTTTTAGTGAATTCTTTGTATTTACATTTTATATACACATTTATACTTGAAAGGTAAAGAAACTGTACAATAATAAAAAAATAAGAAAAACAAATACAGTAACTTAGGTCCAACTGAGGAAACAAATACATGAAAGTATGATTAAATTTAGTCAGGTAGTATAACCTGAATGAGATTACTGCCAGATGTTATATTCCCTCTATCAAGGATACCAATACCAAGGAAGTAGTTACTGGAGTTAAAAGGTCATTCTAAAACCTGCTAAGACCATGGCCACTCCTTCAATATTTTATTATATTACCAGTCTCCAATAAGTAAGTCCCTATAATAGCAATTACCTTTTGAGGGTTCTACTAGTAGTCCTTAGACTAGAATGACCCATGGGGTAAAAATATATGGACACCCTAGGGCCCCATACTCCTAAAGAGGCAGTCACTACACTAACAAGGATCGCAGGCTTGTTAGTTTGAAAACTATATACACTAACAGAAATAGTGTGCTTAAGTGTTGTTTCAAACTAAACTGCAACATAAAAACACACTGTAAATCTAACCAAACAGCATGTTATATAGCCATCACTCATAACACTCAAGTGATTTAGGTTCAAATTTAAACATAATAGGACAATAGCAATATGTCATTAGAGATCAGAGATCTCTGTCAATCAGATATAGCCTTGCCCCCACCTAAAGATGTGTTCGCTGCCTCATGTATGTCTCTAGTAGCAGTTCCGAAAGCCAATGCATTCACTCTTGGAAAGACAATGTCAATTGTTCTGACATTGCTGTTGACTACATTTAACTAATTCTATGATATGGTACTAGAGCTCAGGAAATACATCAAGCCAGGTCACTCTGTTCAGACCTCCCAAGGGAAACATGTTCCCTGGACAGCACCTGACTGGGAAAAGACTGTTAATGTTGCTATAAAATGCAAAATAGTAAAAGCAGCATTTTCCCCAATTTACTTTTCAGTGAGAAAGCCAAGCAGAAACCCAATGCAGCACATTGTGAAGAGTTTCAATGCTCTATTTTCAGCAGTTAAGCCAGGCATACCACCTCCTTCATCTGACCTGGATCCTGCTCTGGACTTCAAGGAAACACACACCTGATTAGCAGTTCAAGAACTCGACATAAAAATAATTCATGCTATGTTTCAATTGGAGGGTCATGACACTGTTGGGCCCACAGGCAAAGCATTCATAAGTCAATTTAATTTAAGTTCATATCTACCTTTTTGAAAATGACTCCCTATGTTACAATGAAAGAATTCATCAAATAATGATTCAATCATGCAGCACTACTTCCTAGAGTTGGCAGGGAAATCATGCATTTCTTGGCGGTTGAGAGAAGGCTGATCCAAAAACACAGTGAAGAGATGTTCCCATTCCTCAAAGTATTTCACCTCCATGGGCATGATGATTTAAAACCTGCTAAGTTCCCGAACCTATGCAAAGTGGCCAATGTGAGGAAGCAGAAGTTGGATAACTCATTCAGAGGCTACCAATTTTCCAAAGAGTCACTATCTAGACTAGCGGATAGTGAGGTAGACGAGGGCAGTATCAAGACCTTCCTTGAAGAAAGCAATGATGAGTAAAGAAGATGAGGATGGGTTATAGGCAGCATTTAGTGTACCATGTGAAGAGATTAAGATGGCACTGACACATAAAAGAATCAATAACAAGACTAATCTCCTTACCCAGCTTCTTCAGGCAACTGAATCAAGAGATAGGATGTAGACTTAGAAAAAAAATTAACTTTACCTTTTTCTTTTATTCTTATTTCCACTGATTAGGAAAAATTATGCATAGAGTTTTACAAGTCACAGATTTAGCTACATATTAGATTTCAAATTTCAAACTGGAGTTAAACAGTGGAAGAATTGTAACTAAAAAATATGAAGTCTTGCCAAGTAGCATGCTGTTTAAGAACTCTCAGGATTCATTACTTTTTACTCTTATCACTGAGAAACATCATATATGTTTTTGGACTTACTCTCAAAGTCAAGTCTTCAATCCACTGAAGTGCAAAGCACTTTCCTTCTACCAGTTATTTATAGTTTTCTTAATGTCAAATTATTAGATGAATAATTTGTTAGACTAGAACCAGAATGGCTAAAATTCTCTGAGTGATAGGAATTCCTTAAGGAAGACAAAAAATTTCCCTTAAAAAACAAATGGACACCATACTATGGAAAAACATCTAAACAAACAATAAACAATCTCCCACCAACATTTCCAGTTCCTAGGTAACTCGAATTTGCCCCAACTTGTGAATGAAGATAAATGACATCTTCAGTGACTTAAATAATTTACAACCAAATCTGTTCATTACTGGTCTATAATATCTTCAAAAGGTCAGAACTGGAAACAATGTCTGTACTATAGTACTTTGGAGGTTAACAGTAGTATTTAACAATCCTACTCTAGCCTCCAGAATATCTTTGTGGTAACTGTTACAAAAGAAAAGATGTAAAAATTTGAAGTATCTTCAAAGCTATTTTAAAAATTTATTGCATTTTGTTTACTCCAAATTGTGGAATATAAACTCACCACTTAAACTTTTTCCTTTGAAAAATGACTCTACCTACAAAATAATAGTTTATTAATACTGTCAATAAGTTACTTATTTCATTTACTTCAGCCATAAAATGTAAAATCAGCAGTTTTCCACCTCTTGATTCTTTTAGGTATCTCCAACATTTTCTTCCACGCCTTTTACATAGGAAACAAAAAACCTTTATCCAAAAACCACTTTTTCTATGTCAGTTAGTCTGTCAATTTTGAAGACTAGCTTTTCAAAGCAGGACTACTGTTCTTGTCTCCTTCTTTAATATCCTTCATTACAGATGCAAAGACCTGAAAATTATATAAAATAAAGATTAATCCTCAAAAACTACCACCCAGATTAAAGAGATTTAAATAACTATAGTTCATAAACATGAAAAAGCTTTATTATACTTAACACTGTCCCCGAAAGTGTGTCATTCTCAAATCCCCTTTATTTTTTTCTAATCATGAAATATGATTAGATTCCAATTTTTACCAATTGCCAACTATTCTGAAATTACTATTTGGTAACATAACATTTTCTGAACCAATAAGACTGTGAATTTAATAATGCCAATTGTTTATATCATTCATGGATTGAGTGATACTGCTATCCTTTTATGTCACTTAACTTAGATTGCCAATGCTTTTACTTTCCTAACAAGACTAAGCATCTAAAAGCCAGGACCATACATTATATATTCTTTCAACTACAAACCCTAGTACACAGTAGGTATTTAATATAATAAAATTGTTGTCTATTTGAAATACCAAAATAATAACTACTCTGGCAAATAAATGACTACTGTGGGTTGTACTTCACTAAATTGATAATACTGGACTTAAATAAAATAAAGCCCAGTCAAGTGCAGTGGCTCATGCCTGTAATCACAGCACTTTGGGAGGCTGAGGCGGGCAGATCACAAGGTCAGGAGATCGAGACCATCCTGGCTAACATGGTGAAACCCCGTCTCTACTAAAAATACAAAAAATTAGCTGGGCGTGGTGGCATGTGCCTGTAATCCCAGCTACTCGGGAGACTGCAGCAAAAGAATTGCTTGAACCCGGGAGACGGTGGTTGTAGTGAGCCAAGATCACACCACTGCACTCCAGCCTGGGCGACAGAGTGAGACTCCGTCTCAAAATAAAATAAAATAGGCCAGGCGCGGTGACTGACGCCTGTAATCCCAACACTTTGGGAGGCCAAGACGAGTGGATCACAAGGTCAGGAGATTGAGACAATCCTGGCTAACACAGTGAAACCCCATCTCTACTAAAAATACAAAAAATTAGCCGGGCGTGGTGGCGGGCACCTGTAGTCCCAGCTACTTGGGAGGCTGAGGCAGGAGAATGGTGTGAACCCAGGAGGTGGAGCTTGCAGTGAGCCGAGATCACACCACTGCACTCCAGCCTGGGTGACAATAAAATAACATAACATAACATAACATAACATAACATAACATAACATAACATATAAAATAAAATAACATAAAATAAAATAACATAAAATAAAATAACATAAAATAAAATAACATAAAATAAAATAACATAAAATAAAATAACATAAAATAAAATAAAATAAAATAACATAAAATAACATAACATAAAATAACATAAAATAACATAAAATAACATAACATAAAATAACATAAAATAAAATAAAATAAAATAAAATAAAATAAAATAAAATAAAATAAGCCCTATGTTTGGATAGCTGCAAAGTGGGCAATTTGATTTAAACTCTTGCTTCTTAGAAGTCAAAAATTATTTTTAAAAGACATATTTTTAAGTACTAACTTTTAAGAAATACCTAACTTTTTTACAATAAGTCAACTGCTTTAACACATCTATTAAAGATAAGAAAATGTCACTCTACCTGAGTCCATTTTTTGGTGCTATTCTGCATCTGAATGGCTGCAATACAACTGAACAGCTTTTCCGATGTGATATCTTCTGGCAATTTAGTTAGAAACTGTGCTATATGAATAAAGTCCATCTGCAGGAGAATATCTTCATATAATCGGAGGATTCCTAATCCAGTCCTAAATAAAAATTCTTCCCCATCTCTGCAAAATACATCCCAGACTCGACAGGCCAGATCAAGTGGTAGTGATTTGCTATATAGTGTGAAGATCCTAAAATTAGAGGGAAAAATGGTCACTGAAATTTTTCATTCATTGACTCATTTACTCAGTAAGCATCTCTATAAAAAAAGAACAGTGTTTAATTAGGGATAAGAAGGCAAATAACATATGGCTTTCCCATCCTGGCCAACACGGTGAAACCCCGTCTCTACTAAAAATACAAAAATTAGCTGGGCATGGTGGCACACACCTACAGTCCCAGCTACATGGGAGGCTGAGGCAGGAGAATCGCTCGAACCCAGGAGGCGGAGGTTGCAGCGAGCTGAGATCGTGCCACTGCACTCCAGCCTGGTGATAGAGTGAGACTCTGTCTCAGAAAAAAAAAAAAAAAAAAAAAAGGCTTCCTCCCTCAAACTTGAGTAGTGGGAAATTAAATAATAAATAACAAAATTATGTGAATTTACAACCTTATGTAGAGGAAAGGCCTAATATATACTAGAGTGGTAGAACAGTCTGGTAGTTAAGGGTATGAGCTATGAAACCAGAATGCCTGAATTTGAATCCTGAATTTGCCACTTATTAGTTGTGTTACCTTGAGCAGGATAGTTGTCTTTACTGTGCCTCAGTTTCTTCATTAGTAAACTATAAGAAAACTACCTACCTCTCAGGATTGTTTTAAAAATTATAGTAGTTAATAAACGTAAAAGTGTTTACATCAGCGTTTGGCATGTAAGAAATGCTAAATAAAAATTATTATTATTGTATGAAGAACTCAAATATCATCTTTTAGTAACCTAATATAAACTCAAAGTCTGACTTCTCTCTTTTCTCTTCCCCTTGCACAAACATCCATTGTTTTGTTTTGTCTTTTTCCTCCACCCAGCTTTATTT
This sequence comes from Homo sapiens, assembly GCF_000001405.40. Lineage (NCBI taxonomy): Eukaryota > Metazoa > Chordata > Mammalia > Primates > Hominidae > Homo > Homo sapiens. Next base: position 94,530,361 of record NC_000010.11, on the reverse strand, counting down.
ACTACTTCTTTTGAAGCATGTATACCTTCCAATAGAATCACCAAAATGGTTTTTCCCAACCTTTCTGACAATGTCTGACCACGTAATTCTTTATCCAGTGGTTCTCTGGGAGCCATTCTGGTTGGGGGAAGTGGGGAGAGTAAGTATTACAGGACTTGTCTTGAAGTTGCCTTGGCAAAGAAAGTATACAATTGTTTACACTGATTGTGTGTTTATTTGAGGTAGTGCTGATGGGGTTTGAGGAAGGGAACTAAAAGCTTCCTCGCCAAAATAATTTTTAAAAAAATCCTTTTGCACTGCCACTTATTCATTCCTATCCCACAAAAATGTCTCTGGGATTTGTATATAATAAACTCAACAGAGACATGAAACAAAAGTCCATCCCTATCTCTTAAATTACAAACACGTATTTAATCATATGACAAAAACCACTTTTGGTAGTATAAAACTCCCTGTTCAAAATGAGGAGTGCCTAGGCTCAGGTTCTAGTATACAGTACTTACTCTTTATTAGTTCTCTCCTGTCCCCCACATCAATTGTGATCCTGCTATCCCCCATGCTCACACTTCTCAAGACTGACAATGGAGGACTTTTTTTTCCTTCTTAATGGAATTAGTATTTAAACTTGGATCTCAGTCCCATAATATTAAAAAACCCTTCTCCCATTTTCTTGGGTCCTTCCCTGAGTAACTCTAATGCTCTTGGGGGACGGGAAGAGAATACATTGAAAAATAATTTTTTTTTTAATGGAGTTTTGCTCTTGTTGCTCAGGCTGGAGTGCAATGGCAAAATCTCACCTCACCGCAACCTCCACCTCCGGGGTTCAAGCGATTCTCCTGCCTCAGCCTCCCGAGTAGCTGTGACTACAGGTATGGACCACCACGCCCGGCTAATTTTGTATTTTTAGTAGAGACGGCGTTTCTCCATGTTGGTCAGGCTGGTCTCGAATTCCCAACCTCAGGTGATCTGCCTGCCTCGGACTCCCAAAGTGCTGGGATTACAGGCATGAGCCACTGTGCCCAGCCAATAACTTAATTTTTAAAAAAGCCTAAATCAGTCGGGTCTGGTGGCTCATGCCTGTAATCTCAGCCTTTGGGAGGCCAATGTGGGAGGATCGCTTGCATCCAGGAGTTCAAGGCCAGCCTGGGCAACATAGTGAGACCCCATCTCTATAAAATAGCAAAAATTAGTTGGGTGTAGTGGTTTGCCTGTAGCCCCAGATACTCGAGAGGCTGAGGTGGGCAGACTGCTTAAGCCTGGGATTTTGAGGCTGCAGTGAGCTGTGATCACGCCACTGCACTCAGCCTGGGTGACAGAGTGGGAGCCTGTCTCAAAAAAATTAAAAAAAAAAATCCTGAACCAAAGAAGACCTGAGAAGACACATTTGACCAATGCCATTATTTATTTTTCTACATTAAAGCTTAATACCATTTACGTGAAACCCACTGGTTGTGAATTGTTAAGAATTAAAGTTTAAATATGTCATCTGTACTCTTCCCCCTCCTCAAATTATCATGTGAATTCTTTTTTTTTTTTTTTGGAGACACAGTCTTGCTCTATTTCCCAGGTTAGAGTGAAGTGGCAGGATCTCGGCTCACTGCAACCTCTGCCTCCCGGGTTCAAGAGATTCTCATGCCTCAGCCTCCCGAGTAGCTGGGATTACAGGTGCCTGCCACCACACCTGGCTAATTTTTGTATTTTTAGTAGAGACAAGGTTTCACCATATTGTCCAGGCTGGTCTTGAACTCCTGACCTCAGACGATCCACCCGCCTCGGCCTCCCAAAGTGCTGGGATTACAGGTATGAGCCTCTGCACCCATGTGTATTCTTAACAACAACCTGTCTTAAGATCAACTGCTCCATCTCTTTGGCAAAATTCACCCACCATTCTATAATCTACTGGGTATTGCTTCAAAGGCAAACTCTCCAAGTTAAAACAAAAGATTTTCAACAGAAAACATGATAAAAGACATTAGTGCCTAAATAAGGCATCATTCTTCTATCAGAAAACTGGATACATTAATAATAGGTACAAAAATAATAAGGAGTAAACTTAGGAGTAAATTTAACCAAGGAGGTGAAAGACCTCTACAAGGAAAACACTGATGAAAGAAACTGAAGAGGATACAAACAAATGGAAAGACATCCCATGTTCATAGATTGGAAGAATTAATATTGTTCAAATGACAATACTACCCAATATAATCTATAGATTCCATAAAATCCCTATCAAAATACCAATGACACTCTTCACAGAAATAAAAAAACCATCCTAAAATTTATATAAAACCTCAAAAGACTTCAAACAACAAAAGTAATCTTGAGAAAAGAAGAAAAAAAAAAGCTGGAGGCATTAGACTACCAGATCTCAAAATACACTACAAAGCCATAGTAACCCAAACAGAATAGTACTGGCATAAAAACAGATACATAGAAAAATGGCACAGAATAGAGAACCCAGAAGTTAATCCACATTATCTATAGCCAACTGATTTTTGACAAAGATGCCAAGAACACTAATTCAGGAAAGGACAGTCTCTTCAATAAATGGTGCTGGGGGAAAAACTGGATATGCATATGAAAATTAAACAAAACAAAACTAGACCCCCACTTCTCACCCTATACAAAAGTCAACTGAAGATGGATCAAAGACCTAAATGTAAGACACAAAACTATAAAACTATCAGAAGAAAACATAGGGGAAATGCTTCAGGACATTAGTCTTGGAAAAAATGTTATTAGTAAGGTCTCAGAAGTATAGGCACCAAAACCAAAAATAAACAAATTCCCATTTTTAGATTATATCAAACTAAAAAGCTTCTGCACACCAAATAAAGCAATCAATAGCATAAAAAAAAAAACCCCACAGAATGGGAAAAAATATCTGCAAACTATTCATCTGACAGGAAATTAATAGGCAAAATCTATGAGGAACTTAAATATCTCAACAGCAAAAGAAAAAAAAAAAACAAACGCCAGGCACCATGGCTCATGCCTGTAATCCCAGCATTTTGGGAAGCTGAGACGGTGGATCACTTGAGGTCAGGAGTTCCAGACCAGCCTGGCCAACATGGTGAGACCCCGTCTCTACTAAAAATACAAAAATTAGCCAGGTCTGGTGCACACCTGTAGTCCCAGCTACTCGAGTGGCTGAGGCACGAGAATCACTTGAACCGTGAAGGTGGAGGTTGCAATGAGCCAAGATCACGCCACTGCACTCCAGCCTGGGCAACAGAGTGCAGAGAATGACTCCGTCACACACACACACACACACACACAATCAATCCAGCTAAAAAATGGGCAAATGATCTGAACAGACATTGCTCAAAAGAAGACACACAAATGACCAACAGATATATTTTAAAATGCTCAACATAATTAAGCATCAGGGAAATGCAAATCAAAAGCATAATGAGGTATCCTCTTACCCCAGTTAGGATAGCTATTATCAAAAAGACAAAAAATAACAAATGCTGGCAAGGATGCAAAGAAAAGGGAACTCTTATACACTGTTGTTGTGAATGTAAAGTACAGCCACTATGGAGAACAGTATGGCGATTCCTCAGAAAACTACAAATAGAACGACCATATGATCCAGCAATGACACTACTGGGTATATACCCAAAGGAATTGAAATCAGTATGTTTAAGATAGGTCTACACTCCCATGTTTACTGCAGCACTATTCACAATAGCCAAGATATGGAATCAACCTGAGTATCCAACAACAGATGAATGGATAAAGAAAATGTGGTACATACACACAATGGAATGCTACTAAGCCACAAAAAAGAATGAAATCCTGTCATTTGTGGCAACATGGATAGAACCAGAGGACATTATGTTAAGTGAAATACTGCATGTTCTCATTCATATGCAGAAGCTAAAAAATGCTAGTCACTCTCTTTTTCTTTCTTTTTTTTTTTTTTTCTCAGAGACAGGGTCTGGTTCTGTTGCTCAGGCTGGAATATAGTGGTACAATATCAGCTCACTTGAGCCTCCTAGGCTCAAGCCATCCTCCCACCTCAGCCTCCCAAGTAGCTGGGACTACAGGTGATGCCACCATGTACCATACAGCTAATTTTTGTATTTTTTGTAGAGATGGGGTTTCGCCATCTTGCCTAGGCTGGTCTCAAACTCTGAGCTCAAGCAGTCAGCCTGCTGCAGCCTCCCAAAGTGCTAGGATTATGAGCATGAGCCATCGCACTGGCCAGCTGATCTCATAAAAGTAAAAAGTAGAACAGAGGATACTAGAGGCTGGGAAGGGTGGAGAGAAGGAAGAGATAGGCTGAAATTTGTTAAAATATACAAAATTACAGCCACATAGGAGGAATAAGTTCTAGTGTTCTATAGCACTGTAGGGTAACTATAGTTAACATATGGTTTCAAATAGGACAACTATACTGAATGTTCCTAACACAAAGAAATGATAAATGTTTGAGATGATGGATATGCTAATTACCCTGATCTCATCACTATACATTATATGTACAGAAACATCACTATGTACCCCATGGATATGTACAATTATTATGTGTCAACTAAAAAAAATATTTTAAAACTTCAAAAGAGTGAAAAGAAAAAGAAATCTTAATTCCATTAAACCACATAGCTTAAGAAATTAACTTTTAGAAAATGTAATATACATTGTTACATTGTTGCAATTACGGTTTTTTTGTTTAGCTTTTTTTTTTTTTTTTTTTGAGACGGAGTCTTGCTCTGTAGCCCAGGCTGGAGTGCAGTGGCGTGATCCCGGCTCACTGCAACCTTGGCCTCCTGGGTTCAAGCGATTCTCGTGCCTCAGCCTCCTGACTTACTGCAACCTTGGCCTCCTGGGTTCAAGCAATTCTCGTGCCTCAGCCTCCCGAGTGGCTGGGACTACAGGCACAGGCCACCACATCCGGCGTATTTTTAGTAGAAACAGGGTTTCACCATGTTGGCCAGGCTGGTCTGGAACTCCTGAGCTCAGGTGATTTGCCCACCTCGGCTTCCCAAAGTGCTAGGATTACAGGCATGAGCCACCATGCCCAGCCATTATATTTTCTTTAAAAAATGTTTATTTATATTGTATAATACTTGAACAGCAATGATTCGACCTTCACTATGACATTCTACTTCTGCATCTCAATTTCTTCAGCTCTAAAATGATGAATTTGGATTACTTCCAGTTCTAAAATCCCACCTCTCTTACAACTAAAAAAACCCTAAATATTCCTCTTCAGTAAAATCAGTGTTGGTCATGTTGTAGTTAACTTTATAAAGAATATGGTTTCTGGAACTGGACTGCTGAGGTTTTAGTTTCTATTCTGCCATTTATTAACTGTGAAATATTAGGTATGGTACTCAAGCCTATCAAAATTTCAGTATCAATTATCCAGGCATGGTGACGCATACCTGTAATCCCAACTACTCAGGAGGCTGAGGTGGGAGGAATGCTTGAGCCCAGGAGTTCCAGGTGGGAGGAGCTGTGATTGCGCCACTGCACTCCAACCCGGGCAACAGAACTAGACTGTCTCAAAAAATAAAAAATAAAAAAAAAATTTTTTAATGAACGAAAAAATAAAAAACAAAATTTCAGGTTCCCCATCAGTATGTGGTAAAAATTACAGTACATATCTTTTTTTTTTTTTTTTTAATGGAGTCTCGCTCTGTCTAGAGTGCTGTGGCGCGATCTCGACTCACTGCAACCTCCAACTCCCTGGTTCAAGGGATTCTCCAACCTCAGCCTCCCAAGTAGCTGGGACTACAGGCATGCACCACCATGCCTGGCTAATTTTTCTATTTTTAGTAGAAATCGGGTTTCACCATGTTGGCCAGGATGGTCTCGATCTCCTGACCTCGTGATCCGCCTGCCTCGGCCTCCCAAAGTACTGGGATTACAGGCGTGAGCCATCATGCCCTGGTTTACAGTACATATCTTATGTGGTTGTTCTGATTAAACAGAAAAAAAGTATGTGTGGTAGAAACTGGCTGTTTACCAAACCATTTCTTTTTCTTTCTGGGCAAACAGCTAAACCACATTTTGCATCTTCACTTGCAGTTAGTTGTGGCCACATGACTGAGTCCTGGCCAGTGGAATGTGAGAGGAGGAGATGCGTAATACCTCTAGGCTTAGCTTCCCAAAATCTCCCCTTGTGAGTCTCCTTGTTCTCTCCCCTTCTGTGAAAACCCTGAAAATGCCTTGTTAAAGACGGTGGAAGTAAAAAATGGAAGGAACGTTGGTGCCTGAATTACAGGTTGTAGGAGAGCTGTATGCCTATTAGGAACACCATTAATATCATTAGTCTTAATATGACAAACAAAAAGTCTAAAAAACTTTGAACTTTAAACACAAGTAATAAAATGGTGATCCTGTCTGCAGTATACATGATTTGGCAACATACATAATTTTTTTTTAATAGGATCTCGTTCTGTCACCCAGGCTGGAGGACAGTGGTGCAATCATAGCTCACTGTAACCTTAAACTCCTGTGCTCAAGCAATCCTCCCACCTCAGCCTCCTGAGTAGCTGGGACTACAGGAATGCACGACTATGTCTGGCCAATTTTTTTATTTTTATTTTTTGTAGAAATGGGGTCTTGCTGTGGTGCCCAGGCTGGTCTCAAACTCCTGGCCTCCAGCAATCCTCCCGCCTTGGCCTCCCAAAGTGCTGGGACTACAGGCGTCAGCCACTGCACTTGGCCTTTTTTTTTAAGCTAGAGAAAATCTAGGAAATAAAATTGTGTGTGGAACAGTAAAAAGCTGAGCTATTCATATGTGAAACTTGGAGAAAGTATATCGTATTTACATTTATTACATTTTTAAAAAAAATTTCAGACAATATGTAAGAAGGGAGATCAAATTAAAAAATTCAAATTGGTGTCATCTTGGGGAAAAAAAGCTTGATAAAACCTTGAAATAAAAAGAAACAATATGAAGCCCTTAGTAAAGAAACACTATTATAACTATCATAAGCCCTTGTGTGTTAATAATAAAATAAATAGCAACTAACTCTGAGAGCTTAGTATGTGCTAGGCATTGAATGAGATAATCCACGTAAAACACCCTCGCTACAACTCAAGATAAAGATAATATTATTCCCAATTTATAGACAAAAAACTGAAACACAAACTGAGAGATTCTGATTTCAACCCAGAGTCTATGCTCTTTTTTTTTTTTTTTTTTTTTTTTTGAGATAGAGTTTCGCTCTGTTGTCCAGGCTGCAGTGCTGGGGTGTGATCTCGGTTCACTGCAACATCTGCCTCTCAGGTTCCAACAATTGTCCTGCTGCAGCCTACAGCGACTACACCCAGCTAAGTTCTTTTTTTTTTTTTTTTTTTTGAGCTGGAGTCTCGATCTGTCACCAGGCTGGAGTGCAGTATCGCAATCTTGGCTCACTGCAACCTCCCGCCTCCTGGGTTCAAGCGATTCTCCTGCCTCAGCCTCCCAAGTAGCTGGGATTACAGGTGCATGCCACTATACCTGGCTAATTTTTGTACTTTTAGTAGAGACAGGGTTTCACCATGTTAGTCAGGCTGGTTTCGAACTCCTGACCTCGTGATCCACCCACCAAAGTGCTAAGATTACAGGCATGAGCCACCGTGCCTGGCCAAGACTAAGTTTTTGTATATTTAGTAGAGACGGGGTTTCGCCATGTGGGACAGGCTGGTCTTGAACTCCTGACCTCAGGTGATCCGCCCACCTCGGCCTCCCAAAGTGCTCGGATTACAGACATGAGCCACCACACCCAGCCGAGTCCATGCTCTTAATCAAATGCGTCCCCACAAAAATTTGGAAGTTTCTAAATTTGTAAAAGAAGGCTCTTTATATGTAAAATCCTGCACATGAGATTTACTCTAGTTCCTAAAACACACAAAAAGTTATACTTTATTTCCTTTTCATTATTATATATTACGTATGTTATGACTTACCAGTCTATCAAGTATATATCTGGTGTAAGACTGTAAGATTTGAAGTGAAGAAATAATTTGGAAAGATTTTCTTCAAAGAATACTTCAAATGTTGCAAAATATTTCAACATCTAAAGATTAAAAAATCAATAAAATTATGAAAGTATATAGTCTAGAAATAAAGAAATTAAACGCTTAAACACTAACAGGAAATCGTGCTCATTAAGAATCTCATCTTTTTCTGAGTCTTCTCAGCAAACATTCATTAATAAACTATAATATAATGATAAGTTTATATTAGATTAGATTGTTTTGGCCTTCTAATTATTGTTTTTCACTCTAAGAGGGCATTCAAACTACAGAAACAATGGAAAACATGATCCATTCATACCATGCTGTGATCCACACGAAAAAAGGCCAACTGGCATGGCTTATTCAGGAGATTGGCAAATGCGATAAAGGCATCTGCCTCTTCCAAATTGAGAATGAGTACTGCTGCAATGAAGGACATCCCTTGGACCTTCAAAGGGAGAAAAATTTAGTCAAAATGGACTTACAATAATAAATCTATATAGTTTATTTTATTGTACTCCTGAAAAATTACAGTGACATTACAAAGTAGAATTAACCAAGATTTCTTTTTTCCTTCCCAGCAAAGGTAAATACAGAGAGCCCCTAATGATTACGAAATCTCCCTAATTTCTTGTTCATATGGTGTGGTTTTTCAACATTAGGGAGAATTTTTGAAAAACAAAAAAGTATCAGATTTTACTGCTACAAAAGGCTATCTCAGCGTATTACCTAGTTTTCATTTCCTCTCAGTCTGAATTCTTTCAAAATAGAGTACAGAATCACAAAATTTAATAAAAATCAGGTGATTATTTTCATTGTTATAACACATCTGAGTAAAAAATGAAGGACTCAGAATAAAAGAGATCTATCAGAAGTGCTGCTGAAATACCAAGAAAGGAGACGTTGTGGGGGTTGAGCCTGGAGTCCTGGAAAAGCAAGAGACAGAAATAGGAAAAAACCTAAAATGGAAAAGAAGCATGAACTAAGACACAAAAATGGGAACAATAGGACCAGCTCAGCTGGAGTAAGGAAAGGCATTTAGAGAAGGTAGGATGTGTTTATGTTGTGAAAGACCTTGAGTAAAAGGCTAAGCTGTATAGATGTTTGCTTCTTGCTTGTAAGTTATTGGCAGCTATCATATACTTCTTCTCCTGTTTTTTTTTTGTTTTTTTTTTTTTTTTGGTTTCTTTTTTTTGAAGCAGGGTCTCACTCAAGTCACCTAGGCTGGAATGCAGTGGCATATCATCTCACTGCAACCTCTGCCTCCCAGCTCCAGCTATCCTCCTGCCTCAGCCTCCTGAGTAGCTGAGACTATGGGTGTGTACCACCACGCCTGTCCAGCCCATACATTTGTTTAATTAAAAAAAAAAGTTATCACTTACTTCTAGAAGAGATTTGTATAATGGACTTACACAGTGAGACCATTAAGAATAACTGCAATGGGCCAGGCGCAGTGGCTCACGCCTGTAATCCCAACACTTTGGGAGGCCGAGGCGGGCGGATCACCTGAGGTCAGGAGTTCAAGACCAGCCTGGCTAACATGGTGAAACCCTGTCTCTACTAAAAATACAAAAAATTAACCGGGCGTGGTGGCAGGTGCCTGTAGTCCTAGCTACTCAGGAGGCTGAGGCAGGAGAATGGCGTGAACCTGGGAGGCGGAGCTTGCAGTAAGCCAAGATTGCGCCACTGCACTCCAGACTGGGTGACAGAGCGAGACTCGGTCTCAAAAAAAAAAGAACACCTGCAATGATAACTCTGTCTCTTGTTCCCAGCCAAGTGTTTTGAAAGGGATGCCTACAATCACTATCTCTATTTTCTCAGCTCCCTTTTCTTTTATTTTTTTATTTTTTTGAGATGGAGTTTCACCCTTTTAGCCCAGGCTGGAGTGCAATGGTGTGATCTCAGCTCACTGCAACCTCCGCCTCCCGGATTCAAGCGATTCTCCTGCCTCAGCCTCCCGAGTAGCTGGGATTACAGGCATGTGCCACCACCCCGGCTAATTTTGTATTTTTAGTAGAGACGGGGTTTCTCCATGTTGGTCAGGCTGGTCTTGAACTCCCGACCTCAGGTGATCCACCCACCTCGGCCTCCCAAAGTGCTGGGATTACAGGCGTGAGCCACTGCACCCGGCTCTCAGCTCCCTTTTCACCTTTAACACACTTCAGTATGTATTCCCACTCCATTACCATACTATTTTGAGATTTCTCTTGCCAGTATGACCAATGATACTTATTGAAAAACCCAGAGGGTGCTATCTCTCTTAACAGCATTCCCTTAGCTTCTGCAATCCAATTATTTCTTTGTTCTCATCTTATTTCTCTGTCTTCTTCTGAGTACTTTTTGCAGATTCTACAGTAATTGCCTATTTGATTTTCTAGAACTTAAGTTCCATGAAGACAGGGACTGTAGTAGGCATAATAATTGCCCACCAAAGATGTCCAAGTCCTTATTAATAACCAGAAGCTATGAATATGTTGCTGGACATGGTAAAAGGGACTCTACAGATATGATTAAGTCAAGGATCTTGAGATAGGGAGCTTATCCTGAATTATCTGGGTGGGCCTGAAGTAATCATCATGAGGTTCCTTATAAGTGAAAGAAGAAGGCAGGTTAGTCAGAGAGAGATTTGAAGATGCTACACTGCTGGCTTTGAAGATGGAGCTATAGGCCCATGAGCTAAGGAATGTAGGCAGCCTCTAGAAGGTGGAAAAAGCAAGGAAATGTATTCTCCCCTAGAACTTCCTGAGGAAGCACAACCCTGCCAATACTTTGACTTAAACCCAGTGAAGTCTATTTCAGACTTCTGACCTCCAGAATTGTCAAACAGTAACTTTGTGTTGTTGTTGTATGTGTGTTTGTTTAAATTTTGTTTTTGTAGAGACAGAGTTTTCCTATGTTGCCCAGGCTGGTCTCAAACTCCTGACCTCAAGTAATCTTCCCACCTCAGCCTCCCAAAGTGCTGGGATTACAGGCATGAGCCACTGCGCCTCGCCTAATTTGTGGTGTTTAAAGCCACTAAGTTTGTGGTAGTTTGTTACAGTATCCATAGGGAACTAGCACAGAGACCACACCATGTTTGTTTGTTCATAGTTGTATTCTTAGTACCACAATATTTGCTGAATGAATACAAGGGGCAAATTATTAACCATCTGTAATAGAATGGTAGCAAAGTAAATAGAAGGAATTAAAATTACATTTAATTGTACCTAAGATGGTGTTTAAGTAACATTATTTTACATACTGCTAAAAAAGAAAAAATGCTGCCAATTAAGCAATGGCATAATACCTTATCACTTGGAATATTTATTTACTTAATTAATTTTTTTGGAGACAGAGTTTAGCTCTTATCGTCCAGGCTGGAGTGCAGTGGCACGATATTGGCTCACCGCAACCTTCCCCTCCCAGGTTAAAGTGATTCTCCTGCCTCAACCTCCCGAACAGCTGGGAATAGAGGTGCCTGCCACCACGCCTGGCTAATTTTTGTATTTTTAATAGTGACGGGGTTTTACCATGTTGGCCTGACTGGTCTCAAACTCCTGACTTCAGGTGATCCGCCTGCCTTGACCTCCTAAGGTGCTGGGATTACAGGCGTGAGCCACCGTGTCCAGCCCGGAATATTATGCATATTTTTAAAACTATTTATAGCTCATTCAGATTTATTATATATCACTCTTGTGCATATATGAAAAGAAAATAAGAAAAAGTTATTTCTATAATTTCTTCAGAGTCCAATTCTTCTAAATATTTTGCATTATTTATTGACTCATGGTGTGATGCACTAAAAAAGATACATTGTTTATGTAGTATTGCTGACAAAACTGTCTAACCTGAATCTAATCATGAAAAAATAATCAAATTCAAGTTGAGGGTCGTTCCGCAAACAGCTAGACTTAACTTTTGAAAAGTGACATTGTTACGACACATACAAAAGGCTGAGGAACTGTTCTGTTTTAAAGGAAACTAAAAAGAACAACTAAATACCACACATGACCCTGACTGGTTCTCTACTAAAAATACAAAAATTAGCCAGGCATGGTGGCATGTGCCTGTAATCCCAGTTACTCAGGAGGCTGAGGCAGGAGAACTGCTTGAACCCAGAGGGCGGAGGTTGCAGTGAGCTGAGATTGTGCCACTGCACTCCAGCCTGGGTGACAGAGCGAGACTCTATTTCAAAAAAAAAGAAAAAGAAAAGAAAAAAAAGAATGCATAGTCCTTGAGGGAGAGTCCTAGGAGAAAAAAGAGAACAGCAATTGCAGTACAGAGCTCCATCACGCAGGCTGGAGTGCAGTGGCGGGATCTCGGCTCACTACAACATCCGTCTCCTGAGTTCAAGCAATTCTCCTTGCCTCAGCCTCCCGAGTAGCTCGAATTACAGGCCTATGCCACCACACCTGGCTAATTTTTGTATTTTTAGTAGAGACGGGATTTCGCCACGTTGGCCAGGCTGGTCTCGAACTACTGACCTCAGGTGATCCACCTGCCTCGGCCTCCCAAAATGCTGGGATTACAGGCATTAGCCACCGCACCCAGCCTGTGGTTCTTTTAAATAAGTATAACTGAAATGTGAACCAAGATTACCAAATTTTCTCAAGAATAAAATCTACAGATAAAACTTTCGTGAGTTATTTATAGATTCAGCATATGTTATTCATTAACATAGTTAAAAACGTATTTTGTCAAATCATGACATGAAATAGGTATTCCAATATAGTCTACACTATTTTTAACTTATAAAGTAAGTGTGATTTGACTGACTGGTTTGTCAGTGAGCCTTGATACCACCAGTTAAGTTATATGGTGGTCACTTTACATAAATTCAGTGACCTAACAGAGCTCATTTCAGCAGCAAATATACAGTGACCTAATAAGTCTGCAGCCAGGGTAAAAAAAAATATTTAAAACATATTCTAAAAAATCATTATCATAAGTGTAATAAAAGTAACAGTATTTTAATTTTCCCCAATTTTTCTCAGTATACCAGGTTAAACAAGTGCCTTTAAGTGAGGATTTTTGTTTGTTTGTTTTGAGACAGAGTCTCGCTCTGTCACCCACGCTGGAGTGCAGTGGCACAACCTCAGCTCACTGCAACCTCTGCCTCCTGGATTCAAGCAATTCTCGTGGCTCAGCCTCCTGAGTAGCTGGGATTACAGGCATGCGCCTCCACACCCATGTAATTTTTGTATTTTTAGTAGAGACAGGATTTTGGCATGTTGGCAAGGCTGGTCTCAAACTCCTGGCCTCAAGTGATCCGCCTGCCTCAGTGTCCCAAAGTGCTAGGGTTATAGGCATGAGCCACCGCACGCAGCCTGAAGATATAATTTTAATATATTTTTTTTCTTTTTTTAAAGTCTAGTGTAGGCTGGGTGCAGTGGCTCATACATAAACCCAGCACTTTGGGAGGCTGAGGTGGAAGGATCACTTGAGCCCAGGAGTTCAAGATCAGCCTGGGCAACATAGTGAAACCTTGTCTCAAAACAAAAAACACAAAACACAAAATAAAATTTAGCCTAAAATGTCAGTAATAGATATTTTGACTAGTCTCAATAAAGGCTTTTGGGATACTTTATAGAAATTGAGAAAGTGAACAATTCTAATGATTGGTAACAAAATGTTTTTGCATCTCAAGTAGTTAACAGTCTTCTGTATTCAATAAAGCTAAAGGAGAATCTAATTGAGTTACTGAGATAATTAAACCATCATTCTCAGCAAACTGTTCGCAAGAACAAAAAACCAAACACTGCATGTTCTCACTCATAGGTGGGAACTGAACAATGAGAACACTTGGACACAGGAAGGGGAACATCACACACGGGGGCCTGTCATGGGGTGGGGGGAGGGGGGAGGGATAGCATTAGGAGATATACCTAATGTAAATGACGAGTTAATGGGTGCAGCACACCAACATGGCACATGTATACATATGTAACAAACCTGCACGTTGTGCACATGTACCCTAGAACTTAGTATAATTTTAAAAAAAACAAAAAAAGTTGATTGAAAATTTATATATGCCCAACCAAAAAAATAAATTTGTTTTGTTTTTTTCATTTATGTAGTTTCTCTAATAGATTTGTTTTGATCAGTTATACTAATAATTGTAATAACACAAATTAGAAAAAACGTTTAATATTTAGAATATTATGTATATCAGAAATAAAGCTAATTTTTAATTAATTTATATATTTGTAGCAGAAGTATAATGAGATTACTAAAAGACTTTTGGGCAGAAAAGTGTTACATTAGAATAAAATTCTGTGAGAGAAATGAAATAAAATACAGTAGTCCTCCACTTTCCCCAGTTTTGCTTTCTGAAGTTTCAGTTTCCTACGGTCAACAGTGGTCTGAAAATATTAAATGGCAAGTTCCAGAAACAAACAAGTCATAAGTTTTAAATTGCATGCTGTTCTAAATAGGGTGGTAAAATCTGGAGTGGTCCTGCTCCTTCCTGCCAAGGAGGGGAATCATCCCTCTATCCAGTGTAACCATGTATATGCTACCCACCTGCCTAGTAGCCATCTCGGTTATAAGATCAACTGTTGTGGTATTGTAGAGCTTGTGTTTGAGTAATGCTTCTTTCACCTAAATTGTTAGAATAGTGTTATAATTGTTCTACTTTATTATTAGTTATTGCTGTTTATGTCTTATTGTGCCTAATTAATAAATTTTATCATAGGTATGTATGTACAGAAAAAACATAGTATATATAGGATTCTGCACTATCTGCAGTTTCAGGACAAGTACAAAACCCTACATAGGCCGGGCAGGGTGGCTCACGCCTGTAATCCCAGCACTTTGGGAGGCCGAGGCGGGTGGATCGCCTGAGGTCAGGAGTTCGAGACTAGCCTGGTCAACACAGTGAAACCCCGTCTCTACTAAAAATACAAAAAATCAGCTGGGCATGGTGGCGGGCGCCTGTAATCCCAGCTACTTGGGAGGCTGAGGCAGGAGAATTGCTTGAACCCAGAAGGTGGAGGGTGCAGTGAGCCAAGATCATGCCATTGCACTCCAGCCTGGGCAACAAGAGCGAAACCCCGTCTCAAAAACAAAAACAAAACAAAACAAAAAAACCAAACCTATATATTCCACTTGGTGTCTTGGAATATATCCCCTGAGGATAAGCGGGGACTGCTTTATATGGCTATTACCAAAAAGACAAAACATAAGTGTTGGTGAGGTTGTTGGAAAAAAAAACTTGCGGCCGGGCGCGGTGGCTCACGCCTGTAATCCCAGCACTTTGGGAGGCCGAGGCGGGCGGATCACGAGGTCAGGAGATCGAGACCATCCCGGCTAAAACGGTGAAACCCCGTCTCTACTAAAAATACAAAAAATTAGCCGGGCGTAGTGGCGGGCGCCTGTAGTCCCAGCTACTTGGGAGGCTGAGGCAGGAGAATGGCGTGAACCCGGGAGGCGGAGCTTGCAGTGAGCCGAGATCCCGCCACTGCACTCCAGCCTGGGCGACAGAGTGAGACTCCGTCTCAAAAAAAAAAAAAAAAAAGAAAAAAAAAACTTGCACACTGTTTATAGGAATGTAAATTAGTACAGCTATTATAGAAAACTGTATGGAAGTTCTTCAAAAAAAACTAAAAATAGAATTACTATATGGTCCAGCAATCTCACTTCTGGCTATTACCCAAAAGACTTGAAATCGGTATGTCAAAAAGATACCTGCACTCCCATGTTCATTACAGCACTACTCAAAATAGCCAAGTTAAGGAATCAACATAAGTGTCCATCAACAGATGAATGGGATGAGAGAGTGTGTGTATGTATACAAAAGAATACTGTTCAGCCTTAACAAAGGAAGAAATTATGTCGTTTGGGAAAACATGGATGGAACTGGAGAACATTATGCTAAGTGAAATAAGGCAAAAAACAGAAAAGCAAATATTGCATGTTCTCACTTAAATGTGTAATCTAAAACCACTGAACTCATAGAAGCAAAGAGTAGAATAGTGGTTACCAGAGGCTTGGGGGTGGGGAAGACGATAATCAAAGAGTACAAAAAGCTCCAGTTAGAAAGGAGGAGTAACTTTAATTTTTTTGAGACAGGGTCTCACTCTATCGCCCAGGCACCATTTCGGCTTACTACAGCTTCAAGAGCCTGAACTCTAGCGATCTTTCCACCTCAGCCTCTTGAGTAGCTGGGACTACAGGTGCACACCACCACACCTGGCTAATTTTTTATTATTTGCAGAGATGAGGTCTCACTGTGTTGCTCAGGCTGGTCTTAAAACTCCTGGGCTCAAGCGATCTTCCCACCTTGGCCTCCCAAATGCTGGGATTACATGCCTGGGATTACATGCCTGGGATTACAGGCATGAGCCACCATGCCTGGCCTGTTTTTTTTTTTTTGTTTTTTTTTTGAGATTTATTACACAACATGGCAAATACAACTAATAACTGAGTTCTGTACATTTCACAGTCACTCAGAGAGTAAATCTCAAATTACTCTCATTACAAAAAATGTCAGATATTTCAGATGTTGGGCAGGTTAATTACTTTGTTTTAATTATACAACGTTATATTTAAAAAAATCATAATATCAGCCAGGCACAGTAGGTCACACTTGTAATCCCAGCACTATGGGAGACCAATGCAGGCGGGTCACTTGAGCCAGGAGTTCAAGATAAGCCTGGGAAACAGTGCCCTGTCTTAACACAAAATACAGAAAATTAGCCAAGCATGGTGGCTTGTGCCTGCAGTCCCAGCTACCTGGGAGGCTGAGATGGAAGAATCACCAGGGACCAGGGGACCAGGAAGTCGAGGCTATAGTAAGTCATGATCACGCCATTGTACTCTAGCCTGGGTGACAGAGTGAGACCCTGTCTCAAAAAAATAAAAATAAAAAAAGAAATACAAGTTCAGAGAAAAAGCAAAAATGTAAAATATTAATGAAGAGCTTGTTAATATATTTTTCTTTAAATGGACTATGATATATGTAAATTTATTACAGTATTTAAACTCCACTACAGACTTTTTTTTGAGACAGGGTCTTGCTGTGTTGTGCAGGCTGGAATGCAGTGGTCCAATCCTAGCTCACTGCTGTCTGGGAGTCCTGGGCTCAAGCGATCTTCCTGCCTCAACCTCCCAAAGTGCTGGGATTTACAGGTATGAGACACTGTGCCCAGCCTGGGGACACTTTTTTTTTTTTTTGTGAGACAGAGTTTTGCTCTTGTTGCCCAGGCTGGAGTGCAGTGGCACGATCTTGGCTCACTGCAACCTCCGCCTCCCAGATTCAAGCGATTCTCCTGCCTCAGCCTCCTGAGTAGCTGGGATAACAGGCGCGTGCCACCATGCCCAGCTAATTTTTGTATTTTCAGTAGAGACGAGGTTTCACCATGTTGGTCAGGCTGGTCTCGAACTCCTGAATATGGAATCTGCCCGCCTAGGCCTCCCAAAGTGCTGGGATTACAGGCGTGAGCCACCACGCCCGGCATGCCTGGGGACATTTTTAGAAAACTATAAGATGTCAACATTTAACCAGTGCTAAAAAATTAAATTATTTACAAGTAAACTTACGATGAAAAACTTTAAACTTCAACTTTAACATGTGAAGGGGATACAAGGTGTTCTTACAATTCATTCACAGAATACCTGAGTAAGAGAGTTTAAAGACTCTTTGCTCAAATCTAACTTTCTCTATAAGGACTATCTTACGATCTTTTCAAATACTACAACCTGCCCCACCCTAAATCTAGCACTTTCCCCCTTTATCATCTCACACTTTTCTACAGCACTTATCTTTTAATATAACATGATTTACTTATTTGTTTGTTGTTTATTGTCTGTTTCTTTCTTCTAAACTGTAAGCATCATAAGGACAGAAATCATTTTGTTCATTGAGGTATTTCAAGTGCCTAGAACAATGCCTGACATATAGTCATAAGAGCACAATAAATATTTGTTGAGTAAACAAACATAGAAATGAACATGCAACAGAACAAAGTAACTTGTACCAGACAGCCACCCTATAGAGAGGTCTAACATTCTTCTATTTTAAGGCAAAGGTGAGAAGATGAAAGTTCTATAACTTCTAGTTAAAAATGGCAATTGAACATCACATCTTTCTTTGTTCTCCTGCAAAATCCAACTAAAAATACAGTAAAGAAAAAATAAATATTAACCCACAAGGACTACAAGAATGAAAAATTATACAGTAGATAGTTAATAGTATTTTAGAAATTGTAAATTAAATAAGTGTAGAATGTTAAAACTAAAATATCTACAGAGGAGGAAGCCAATAATCAGCAAGCCAATTCAGCTGTAAAACCCTGAAGGCTCAGAAGCTGAAGTTGTCAGGTACCTGTGAAATGGAGAAAGAGAGCTAAAAATAGGATTGGGTGAAAGTCTGTATAAGGAGCAAATCCCCTCCCCTATCCTTTAGGGACAGGTACCTATCCTTCCCTTAACCTGGTAGAACATAGGAGGTTTACTCTCTAGAGGCACAGTCATGGAAAAGAGGGTTAGGAAGAGGGGGACAAGGCATCACACTGATATCAGGGCATGAGATAAAAGTTTATAAATTGCATGGTGAAATCTCCCGCAGCTCCCCCAGAAAGCTGGCAGCCTCAAGTACATATAAGCTCTTGGCAAGAGATAGAAAGATTCTTCACTGGGTAAATTGATAAGCCTAAGAAAAACAGACATAGAAATACAGACATTTGGGAGCTAATACAACATAGGATATTTTGATAAAGAGTGTAGATAAAATGCTTATATTCAAAAAACAGATGGAAACAAATACTTACATAACCAACATCAGGCCTGTAGCATGTGTATGCCCCTAAAATACTATGCAAGACATCATGATATGGACCACCCTTAGGAGAGAAAAATGAAATTTGAAACTGTACAAATAATTTTCTCTAAGTTAATTTTCATATAACATGTTAATAAACTGTAGCATTTCCTAAATGACTAGTTTTAGCATATTTAATAAAAAATATTATAAATGTACTCTGCCAAGATGTTTTCCAAATTATGAATAATAAATATTTAATACTGCAGATGGGTGCGGTGGCTCATGCCTATAATCCCAGCACTTTAGGAGGTCGAGATGGGCAGGTCATTTGAGGCCAGGAGTTTGAGACCAGCTTGGCTAACATGGTGAAACCCCATCTCTACTACAAATACAAAAATTAGCTGGGCATGGTGTCATACGCCTGTAATTCCAGCTACTCGGGTGGCTGAGGCACAAGAATCGCTTGAACTCAGGAGGCAGTGGTTGCACTGAGCCAGGACTGTGCCACTGCACTCCAGCCTGGGCAACAGAGTGAGAATCTCTCAAAAAAAAAAAAAAAAAAAAAAGAAATATTTACTACTAAATAACAACAACAACAAAAAGCCAAATAAACTTACTTGATGGATACAAGCTATATAATTTGTCAACAGTTTTAAAATCTTCTAGATTTGGTATAAGGGTATGATGAATACACACTGTTTCATTTTATGTAATACACCATCAGCAGAAAAAAAACCATCAAGCTAAACTAAACTGTGTTAATAATTTTAATCTTAATGGTAAAAATTTTTATCTCATTTTATTTTTATCAATCTAAAGATAGAAGAATTCCATGTATAAAGACTTGAATCAGCTGGGTGTGGTGGCACATGCCTGTAATCCCATAATCCCAGCTATGCAGGAGGCTGATGCAGGAGGATTGCTTGAGCCTAGGAGTTTGAGTCCAGCCTGGGCAACACAGCAAGACCTGATCTCAAATTTAAAAAGAAATAAAAATAAAGACATGAGTCAAAGATAAAGTATATATAATGTAGTCATTTCTCTTTTCATAAGGTATAAGCAACTTCATAATAGCCTATGTACAAAGAAAACCATTTCTTCCTATTTTAATGATAATTCTGAAAATTTTTAAGTTTTGTGAAAAGTTCTTTATACTTTAACAATTTACTAGGCCAAAATATTAAGAATTCATATATCTTACAAAATAAAAAGCAAAATAAATTCACTGTAATAAAATTCATCAAGTGCCTACTACATAAAAGGTATTAAATGCTATGCTAACTATAATGTATTTCGGTCAGTGGAATAAAATAATAGAAATTCCTTTATAATTTTATAACTAGTTTTACACTTTTTATACAGGGTCCCCAATTTCTATAGTTTTGCCTTTTTTAAAGTAATAGCTATTCATTTAAAGAATCTGTTGCCTTGGATATTGATAGATTTTTTTTAAGTAATTACAAGCTGGTTAGAAACCCTCACCTTCTGAAAGATGTAGAGAGATGGAAATGTACGGGATATGTCCAACTTAATTAATTCCAGACTGGCCTCTCGATCAGCAACAGATACACCTGCATTTACCAAGCAGATACAATTTAAATGATCACTTGGCTCTAACAAGTCCAATTTTATAAATACAGAATGATCACACAGCATGTGTTATTTAAGTTAAAAGCTGAATAATCAAGAAATTATAAGAAATGTCACATAGCTTTTGTTAGAACTTGTTATTCTCTTGTACAAAGAAAATAGCTATACATTTATCAGAAAGTTATATGGTAAAGGATTTCTAATTCCAGTTTTTACAGAAGATATGGGCAGACCATCATTTCCATGGTAACAACTAGGAAAAAAATTTACAAATATCACATTTAAAAAATCATCAGAGAGCTATGGACACAGAGAGATCAATAGGATTTAAATTCCAGAAAAGTAAGAGTCTTTCCTTGGTGAGTAGACACCAGTGTCCATTTTTCTTCCTAGGGGTATCTGCCAGGTCTAGGTATGGGCTTAGGATCGAGCTCGCCGAAGACAAAGTCACCCTAGTTGGAGGAAGAGAAACCAGAAGAGCTACACATGGCCAAATAAAATTGATGTGATAGACAAGAATCTGGAGGAGCCCTGAATGTGTATCTGGTTTTCCCTATGGGACTTTTCTGAATGCAGAAGGCTGGGCTAGAAATGCAGAATAAAATCATCCAAAGTCACAAGGTCTTGAGAGGGCATATCATTGGAGGGAGATTACCTGTAGTCAAAATAGAACACTTTGGTCCGGGTGTGGTGGCTCATGCCTGTAATCCTAGCACTTTGGGAGGCCAAGATGGATCACCTGAGGTCAGGAGTTCGAGACCAGCCTGACCAACACGGTGAAACCCTGTCTCTACTAAAAATTAGCCGGGCATGGTGGAGCGCACCTGTAATCCCAGCTACTCAGGGGACTGAGGCAGGAGAATTGCTTGAACCTGGGAGGCAGAGATTGCAGTGAGCCAAGATCTTGCCACTGCACTCCAGCCTGGGCGACAGGGTGAGCATCTCAAAAAAAAAAAAAAAAAAACACTTTTTCCCATCAAGAAATTTGAAACTCAAGATAAACTAAGTCTATCTAAACCTACAACCTTGCCCCAACCTAGATCAATTAATGGTTGAATTGAGGTGATAAGCCCTTAATCGAACTGCCTAACAGGAAAGAGCAGCTTACTCTGCAGGGGAAACCTCAGCTTTGGTTTCTACATTCTTTTTATATACAATGTCTGGCATACAATTTAAACATTTAAGATATACAAAGAAGCAGAAAATGTGACTTACAACCACTTTAAAGGGGAAACAAGGGGAAAAACAGCCGACAGAGGCAGACCTGCAGATGATGCAGTATTGGAATTAACAGGCAATGACACTATCTGTTATAAATATGTTAAAGAAAATATCTGGCTGATATGCGCTAGAGAAAAAAATAATAATAAATTTTAAAAAGAAAATAAGAGGAAAAGATGGCGGAAGGAACATGGGATGGGAAGATGAATTTCAACAGAGAAACAGAATGTATAAAAAGAACCAAGTGAACATTCTACAATTACAAAGCACATCTGAAATTAAAAGCCCATTACACAGATTTAGATTTAATAGCAGACTAGATAAACCAGAAGAAAGGATTAGTGAATTTGATGACGGATCAATAAAAATCAATGAAACTGAAGCAGAGAAAGAGAGAGAGAGAGAGAGAGAAAAAGAATTGGCCAGGCACAGTGGTTCATGCCTGCAATCCCAGCACTTTGGAAGGCCAAGGCAGGATTGCTTGAGGCCAGGAGTTTGAGACTAGCCAGGGAAACATAGAGAGACCCCATCCCTATATGATGAATTAAAATTTTTTTCAATTATATAAAATTATATCTATCCCCCACCAAAAAAAGAAAAAAAAAAGAGAGAGTATAAGAGGCTTGTGAAACACTGTTAAATGGTCTACTATACATGTAATTGGAGTCCAGAAGGAAAACAGGCAAGAAAGGGCAGAAGCAATATTTAAAAAGACAATGACCAAAAAGTTAAATGACACATGCAAATTATACATATCCAGGAAATAAGAAAACAGTAATTTATGTAGACACTGCTTCTGACTAGAACTCTTCATTACATTCAATTAATTTCTACTAAAGTGCAATTTTCACCATTTATTCTTTTTCTTTGGAGATGAAGTCTGTTACCCAGGCTGGAGTGCAATGGCGTGATCTCAGCTCACTGTAACCTCTGCCTCCCAGGTTCAAGACATTCTCCCTGCCTCAGCCTCCCAAGTAGCTGGGATTGCATGCACCTGCCACCACGCCCGGCTAATTTTTGTTTTTTTAGTAGAGATGGGGTTTCGCCATGTTGTCCAGGCTGGTTTCAAACTCCTGACCTCAGGTGATCCACCTGCCTTGGCCCCCCAAAGTGCCAGGATTACAGGTGTGAGCCATCCGCCCAGCCTCACCATTTATTATTGAAAAAATATTTCAGAAGTGAATACTTATAATTTTAATTCTCATAATTTCAATGCTTCATAAAAATGAGTCAAAAATGATGAAATAGCTGCTGTCTGCCAGTATAAACTTCTTTACCTTTTACATACTTTTAGTTCTCCACAAATAGCTGACATAGCTAAGAGGTCTTAGGATGATACTTACATGAACTTTTCTGTAAATCAAGTCTTTTTTCTAGCCTTGTTTACTGAAAGGGTTAAGATTAAATAAGATGATATATGTAAAGCGATTACTACAGCTTCTGATACATGCTCAGTATCTGAATTTTCATCCTAAAATTCTTATTTAAAAAAAGAAATCACACCTTCTGTATCATTCTCTGAACTTGTTTCACTGAAACTTTTCCACCGTTCTTTTGCTCTTGAGAGGAAGATTTCATAAAGTTCTGGGGGTTGGGGGGAGAACAAAAATGTATGAATAATAGGAAAGAAATATATTTGCAAATTTTAATTTTTACTCTTTACCTATTACAGGTCAGGTCTCTCTGATGTAGCAAGCATCAAAAAAGTGGCAAATCTAAGTACTTGATTCTACCAAAACTATTCATTATATACTCAGAAAGAAAGTAAATAAAATTACTGCAGAGTAATCATCCATACAGAATGTACATATGAGGCAGAAAGAGATGCTTCTGCTAAGAAGTATCATTGTGGAACAGCAGAAAAAAATGATTTTTGGAGTCAATCAGACCTAGATTCAAATTCTGGCTCTGCCATTTACTATCTGAGGGACTTCAAGAAAGTTATTTAGCTACCCTGGAACTCAGCTTTCTTTACCTGTAAACCAGAGAAAAACAACACCTACTCATAGGGTTACTGATGATTAAATAATATATGTAAAGCTCCTGGCACCTCATAGCACTTCAACAGATGCTCGATCTTGCTTTCTATCACTACTGAAACTGGTTTCTCCATTATGATATTGCTATCTAAAGCTACTTATATTTCACACAGACTTGGTGTGTGTCACCAACAAACAAAATCTCTACCCCTATCTTTTTAATTTAAGTGCCTAGTCACGGCACTCCCATATGCAGGGTCTCATAAAAACTTCAGGACAGGAAAGATTTCAAAAGTTTTCTCAATTCCCAAATTTTTTTGGTCTTTATTTTGTAACTAACTATTGCAGATATTTGAAACTACATAAAAATAGGACATTTCAGGGACAGAAGAATAGAAAAAATACGTCTTGCCCAAACACCAAAGTTTATATATTGTCCAAAATAAGTTTTTTGCTTCAATTAATTCTTTTTAAAATTTTATTCATTTTTAAAGGTAATACAAGAACATGGTTTTAAAAAATTTCAAAAAGTAGGCCGGGCATGGTGGCTCATGCCTGTAATCCCAGCACTTTGGGAGGCCGAGGCGGGTGGATCACCTGAGGTCAGGAGTTTGAGACCAGTCTGGCCAACATGGTGAAACCTTGTCTCTACTAAAAATACAAAAAATTTAGCTGGGCATGGTGGTGCATGCCTGTAATCCCAGATACTTGGGAGGCTGAGGCAGGAGAATCACTTGAGCCCGGGAGGCAGAGGTTGCTGTGAGCAGAGATCGCACCACTGCACTCCAGTCTGGGCAACAAAGCGAGACTCCGTTTAAAAAAAAAAAAAATTTCAAAAAGTACAAAATAGTGTAGAGAGAAAAATAAATTTCCTTTCCTCAGATGCAAGTGTGGTTATCAGAGCTCTAATTCTTCCAAGAATGAAAATATGCATGCACAAGCATATACATAAATATATAATCCTTTTTAAAAAAATTAAAGTGGCAACATGTTTCATGCACTGGTCTGTATCTTACTTTGTTATATTAGAGGTTGTTCCACGTTAGTAGATATAGATTTGCTTTTGTTTCTTTTAAACAACTGCATAATTTTCCAAAGTAATGACTATACCATAACGAGTATTCTTATATTGCCAAGAAGCATATCATTATCAAATATCTGAGTAGATATATTTCAAACAGACTCTTACTATTCTAATCTTTTCTCCCTTCTATTTACTTTTCATCATTACTAATGGTTTGGAAAGAAGAAATTAAAAAAAAAAACTTAGAATTCCTATTCTTCTTCTTCTTATTTTTTGAGACAGGGTCTTTCTCTGTTGCCCAGACTGGAATGCAGTGGTGTGACCTCAGCTCATTGCAACCTCCCCCTCCCGGGTTCAAGCAATTCTCAGCCTTCTGAGTAGCTGGGATTACTGGCATGCACCAACACATCCAGTTAATTTTTTGTATTTTCAGTAGAGTCATGGTTTCACCATGTTGGCCAGGCTGGTCTTGAACTCCTGGCCTCATGTGATCCACCTGCCTCGGCCTCCCAAAGTGCTAGGATTACAGGCGTAAGCCACCACACCAGGCAAAATTCCTATTATTTATGCCTGGCTCCATCAGTGATTTCATAGAAGAGATGAATATAAGGTTAAAATTTATACATATAATTATTTGGGGGTTATTAGGTATAAAATTGTAAGTTTTTTTAAAAAATTCAAACTGGTTCTAAGACAGTCAGCTTCAATATTATACCCAAATTTTAAAACTATCTAAAAAAAAGGGGGCTCACCAGACAAACCCATCAGTTTTATAAGTCATAAAATTGATCTAATAATAAAAATGTGGTAATGATTTCAAAACATCAAAGGACATCTCTCCAGTAAGATTCACAGTTAAGAAGACCTGCATCTCAGTTCACTTTGATGCTTAGGTCCTCATGTCACACTTACTTTGCTTTGAATCTGCAAAGGGAGAGTTTGAAGCAGGCTTAAAGATGATACTTTGGACTTGAACAGAGAATACTTTGATTTCAGTGTATATTTTGCTTTCTGATTTTGTGACAATTATGATATTATCCATACTCTCAGCAAAATGCACTTTCACTATTGTTTTATATTATCACAAATAACTGTTAGAACACTCCTTTCATATTCTTACCCCTATTTTACAGGTGAAGAAAAACTAAGATTTCTAGATGTTAAGTAATATGCCCAAGGTCACAAACCTAATATATTATGGTGGAACCAAGATTTGAACCATATTTGACTGACTTTAGAGCCCTTACTCTTAGCTACTATTCTCTAATGATTATAAATTTCATGACTAAAACAAGTCAAATTACTAAAGCCATTCAAAAGTAAACAAGATTAACAAAAATAAATGTAATTCAATCCAATTTTAGCATCTTTTCCGCACTAATAAAAAAGGAGAGAATAAACACACATTCCATTCTTGAATACATAAATGTTTAGTGAAGAAAATCGAAAATTATGTTGGAAATAAATGACTCAGTTATGTTACAAAACTATAAATTTCAAGCTAAAAACGAACCTTTTGATTATAGTATCACAAAACGTTAACACCAATTTAACCAATATTTTAATGTCTAAGTTATCAAGATAAATCAGATTCTAAAGCCAGTTATCAATAAAAATTGCAAACATAACTTCATATAACCATCAATACCTCATTACCTGTTTGCAAAATTGATTCTTAAGACTTTAAACAATTACAGTATGTTCAAAAATTCTTATTATTTAGAAAATCTAACTGAAAGTTCTGACTATAATTTAAAAACATTCAATCTGTTCCAAACTCAGAAAGCAAAAGTAATCTCTGTGTATATTTGGAGAGAACAGTTAAGTCATATAAAATCTAACTTTTTCTAAGTTAAATAAAAACTTAATTCTTCCTTTAAATTCTATTCTAAAAGTTTTTAAGTTCTTTGAAAATAACATGTTGGCTGGGCACAGTGGCTCATGCCTGTAAGCCCAGCACTTTGGGAGGCCGAGGTGGGCCTATCACTGGAGGTCAAGAGTTCGAGACCAGCCTGGCCAACATGGCAAAACCCCATCTCTACTAAAAATACAAAAATTAGTCAGTGTGGTGGCAGGCCCCTGTAATCTCAGCTACTTGGGAGGCTGAGGCAGGGACAACTGCTTGAACCCAGGAGGCAGGGGCTGCAGTGAGCTGAGAGAGCACCACTGCACTCCAGCCTCAGCGACAGAGCAAGACTCCATCTCAAAAATAAATACATAAAAATAAATAAATAAATAAAATAATATGTTTATTACAGGAGACTTGTGAAAATCAAATTTTAAAATCATACATAATCATAATATCCAAAGTTGGCATTGCTTTTCAGACAAAGGGTAAACATTTAATTTTTGTTATAATTCTGTCCAATTATATATAATGCTGATTGCTGCAATGAACATTTTTGTAGAAAAGCTTTTGCATCCAATCCTGGCTATTTCCTCAGAGTAAATTCTTAGAACTGAAATAAACAGTCAAAGGTTATTTGTTTGAGACCTTTGGTAAATATTTATGAATGATTTTCAGTCATCCTCGTATGGGTAATTCTCATTCATTTTAATCTCTTTTGAGGGATGAAAAACAGTACTTGGATGTTAACATATATGTCTTTTTTATAGAATGGCAGGAAAAAATATATGTCTTTGATTTGGCTATCTCAAGGAAAACAGTTAAATAAATTATAGTACAGCCAAATTGTGGAATACAATGTAGCTGTAGTACATATGAGACAGACTTGTATGTACTAACATGGAAGATGTTCAAGATAGATTATAGTGTGAAGAAAGAAAGCCACAGAATAACCTTATGGCATAAATTGTGGGTGAAAAAATAAAAAAGAAAAGCTTTAAAATTGATCATATGTAGATGCACACTTTATGTACATAGAAAAAAGACCAGAAAGAATATACACCAAATTGCTAACAGTGTTTACAGTAGGATCAAGAATAGCAGTTCAGGTGGAAGAGCAGACACTTGTACCTTCTCATTACTTTAACTTTTTCCAATAAATATAAAAAGAAAAATTTTAGAAGTAACAGTGACAATATATTATTTCTAGTATTAAAGTCCTTAAGTCTTTATGTGGTGCCATTGTCTAGCATTAACATTATCATTTAGACCAATTTAGCACATTTTATTATTAACTATTTATTTATTTAGAGACAGGGTCTCACTCTGTCGCCCAGGCTGGAGTGCAGTGGCACAATCACAGCTCATTGCACCTCCTGAGCTCAAGCGATCCTCCCACCTCACCCTCTCGAGTGGTGTGACCACATGCGGGCTGCCTGGCTAATTTTGAGATTTTTTTTGTAGAGACGGGGTCTCGCTATGTTGCCCAGGCTGGTCCCAAACTCCTGGGCTCAAGAGACCTATCCGCCTCAGCCTCCTGAAGTGCTGGGATTACAGACATGAGCCACCATGCCTGGCCTATAAACTATTTTACTTTCCTCTATTTGATATTATTCTAATTTTATCTAATTTTAAAAATTTATTTATTTATTTATTCTATTTTATTTTTGAGATGGAGTTTCGCTCTTGTTGCCCAGGCTGGAGTGCAATGACGCAATCTCGGCTCACTGCAACCTTCGCCTCCTGGGTTCAAGCGATTCTCCTGCCTCAGCCTCCCGAGTAGCTGGGATTACAGACATGCGCCACCACGCCCAGCTAATTTTGTATTTTTAGTAGAGACGGGGTTTCTCCATGTTGGTCAGACTGGTCTCAAATTCCCGACCTCAGTTGATCCACCCGCGTTGGCCTCCCAAAGTGCTGGGATTACAGGCGTGAGCCACCGCGCCTGGCCAAATTATTTATTTATTAATTTAGAGACAGAGTCGTGCTCTGTAGCCCTGTTTGGAGTGCTGCGGCACAATCATAGCTCACTGTAACCTTAAACTCCTGGGCTCAAGCAATCCTCCCATCTAAACCTCCCAAGTAGCTAGGACTACAGGCATGAGCCACCATGTCCAGCTTAATTTTTTAAAAACTCATCAAAACTACTCTGCAAGCCAGGCACGGTGGCTTACACCTGTAATCCCAGCACTTTGGGAGGCTGAGGCAAGTGGATCACTTGAGGCCAGGAGTTTGAGACCAGCCTGGCCAGCATGGCAAAACCCCATCTCTACTAAAAATACAAAAAATTAGCCAGGCGTGGTGGTACACACCTGTAGTCCCAGCTACTCAGGAGGCTGAGGCAGGAGGATCGCTTGAACCCGGGAGGCGGAGGTTACAGTGAGCCGAGACTGCGCCACTGCACTCCAGCACAGCAACAGAGCGAGACTCCATCTCAAAAACAAAAACAAAAAAACTACTCTACATTTTGCTCCTATCCACCAAAGTTTAAGAAACTTAAGAAAATAATATAACTCTTTGAAAGTCTTATTTCTTCTTCTGTTCTTTAAAGGTTTTTTTTTTCTTTTTTTGAGACAGAGTCTCGCTCTGTAGCCCAGGCTGGAGTGCAGTGGCTTGATCTCAGCTCACCGCAACCTCTGCCTCCCGGGTTCAAGCAATTCTCCTGCCTCAGCCTCCCAGCACACGCTGCCACGTCTGACTAATTTTTCGTATTTTAGTAGAGAAGGGGTTTCACCGTGTTGCCCAGGCTGGTCTCGAAATCCTGAGCTCAGGCAATCCACCTGCCTTGGCCTCCCAAAGTGCTGGGATTACACGCATGAGCCACCATGCCCGGCTAAAGTTTTTTCTTTATGCAGCTAATCAAGTTATAAACTTTAAAATTATTTTATTTATTTATTTATTTATTCATTCATTCATTCATTCATTCATTTATTCATTCATTCATTTGAGATAGAGTCTCGCTCTTTTGCCCAGGCTGGAGTGCACAGGCGCGATCTCGGCTCACTGCAGCCTCTGCCTCCTGGGTTCAAGTGATTCTTCCACCTCAGCCTCCCAAGTAGCTGGGATTACAGGCATGTGTCACCATGCCCAGCTAATTTTTGTATTTTTACTAGAGACAGGGTTTCGCTATGTTGGCTGGGCTGGTCTTGAACTCCTGACTTCAGGTGATCCACTTGCCTTGGCCTCCCAAAGTGCTGGGATTACAGGCATGAGCCACTGCGCCCGGCCTAAACTTTTCAAATTAAAAAAAAAATCCCAAAATGACTGGTTTAGGTAAAGAAGGAGGAAAAGAAACTTTTAGCCTTCCTCCAGTATTTATGTTTTCTGTATAAAAGTGAAGCCTTTTCATAATTGACTATTTTCTTTTTTCTTGTATATACATATTATCCACTGCCAAGTAGAATCCCAGAAGTTTTTGATATTTGAATGCCAAGAAGATTATTGATAGTTGTGAACTAAAGGGAAAACCATAAATCTTTATATAAAATGTAATAACTTATTAAATCATAACAGGTTTAATAACCTGCTTCATAACAGGGGGATGAAGCATGCTTTTAAAATGACATTATATATGATAAAGGCCATTTATTTTAATGGTCACTCTACTAATCTGCTATGTAACTCTGTAGATGGCTATTTGTACATGTGGGAATAACTGAACGTAGAATACAAACCAGGAGTGATATTTAGTTCATTTCCTACAGCTAGACTCCAAACTTTCCCACGGACACTAGGGGGCAATCCCTGCCACCACAATTCTCGAACTCTTCTTGTACTACGCCTAGAATTAAAGGAGGAGAAAAAAGGAGAAAGTTACTTTTTATACCAAAAATACTAGTTGCATGATGGATTATCTTTAGTCTATGGCCAAGTGATCAAATCATTTTTAGGACTATAGAGAATTAAGTATGTAATGCATTCTTTTCTTTGCGTTCATGCTTGCAGGCAACAACAGCCTACAAGATGTATAGGATCCCAAAGGGGCAACAGTAATCTAAAGGGAACTGCGTTTTATAAATGTCAATGAGAGAATCAGAAATATGCAGTCAATTATTTAAAAAACAGGATAAAAGGGACATAAAAATGTATCACCAATTCAGCACCAAAAACAAAACAACCAAGAATCTACAGTGGGAAGGCCCTAGTTTTTGAGAAGCAGTAAAGTCTGCTAAAAAAAACTGTCGGCTTTAAAGTCAGATAGATCTGAGATCCAATCTAGTTTAACCATTAATTAAATGTATAACCTTGGGCAAATCACTTAACCTCTCTGACCTTGAGTTTCCTTATAAGATAAATGGGAGTAAAAATACATACACCTTATAAAAGTTCTAAGACTCAAATGCAATTACTTATGTAAAGTGCCTCAGATAATATGTCACACTGTGCCAATATTCAACAAATTCCCAATGTACAAACTACAGTAGGCATTGCAGAAGATATCCCCAACCCTCCAGTCGAGAGGGAAGATAAGGCATATTTTAAAATGTTATGTAAAAAGGCAATAAGAAAGAAATTCTGTCATTTGCAACAACACAGATGAACCTGTAGGATATTGTGCCACGTGAAATAAACCAGGCACAGAAAAATCAACACATAACCTCACTTATATGTGGAATCCAAAAAAGTCAATCTCATAAAAGTAGGGGGTAGAATGGTGGTTATGGCCGGGGAGCGGGGAGTAAAGTGAATGGAGAAAGGTGAGATGTTGATCAAAGGGTACAAACTTCCGTTAGAAGAAATAAGTGTTAGTGACCTATTACATAGAATGGTGACTATAATAAATAATAATGAACTGTATGTTTCAAAATTGCTAAATGAGCAGATTTTAAATGTTTTACCACAAAATACTGAGAAATACGTGAGCTGATGGATGTGTTAATTAGCTTGATTTAATCATTCCATAATGTAAACATATACCAAAACAACACATTGCACCAGGCAGGTGGCTCACACCTGTAATCCTAGCACTTTGAGAGGCCAAGGCAGGCAGATTGCTTGAACCCAAAAGTTCGAGACCAGCCTGGGCAACACAGTGAGACCCCATATCTATAAAAAAATACAAAACTTAGCTGGACGTGTTAGCACATACCTGTAGTCCCAGCTACTCAGGAGGCTGAGGCAGGAGGATCACCTGAGCCCAGGGAGGTCGGGGTTGCGGTGAGCCTTGATCTCGCCACTACACCCCAGCCTGGGCAACAGAGTGAGACCTCGTCTTGAAAAAAAAAAACCCTCAAAAAACACATCACGGTAGGGTGCAGTGGCTCACACCTATAATTCCAGCACTTTGGGAAGTCAAGGCAGGCTGATCACTTGAGGCCAGGAGTTTGAGACTAGCCTGGCCAATATGGTGAAGCCCTGTTTCTACTAAATATACAAAACAATTAGCCGGGTATGGTGGCAGATGCCTGTAGTCCCTGCTACTAGGGAGACTAAGGCATAAGAATCGTCTGAATCCAGGAGGTAGAGGTTGCAGTGAGCTGAGATCGCGCCACTGCACTCCAGCCTGGGTGACAGAGGGAGACTCTGTCTCAAAACAAAACAAAAACAAAAACAAAAAAACAAATCACCCTGTACCATATAAATATATACAATTATTATTTATCATTAAAAAGATGCTGGCAAAATAACTTAAAAATGAATAAATAAATGCAAAGGCAAGATAAGTATATTAGTCTCAAAGTATGATGATGGGACATTTACATAAGGGAAAGATCATACATATTTCCTTGATTATGAGATAAACACTTTAAAAATCATTTTAACAATAAGTGCATCTTCTAATACATTTATATATTTAATATTCTCTTTCCAAATAACTGCTATTACATCAATAGTGCGTCTTACAATTGATGGTATGTTAGCATTAAGAAAATACAGTAACTAGGCCGGGCACGGTGGCTCACGCCTGTAATCTCAGCACTTGGGGAGGCCGAGGCAGGCAGATCACAAGGTCAGGAGATCGAGACCATCCTGTGAATGGTGAAACCCCGTCTCTACTAAAAATACAAAAAATTAGCAGGGCATGGTGGCGAGTGCCTGTAGTCCCAGCTACTCGGGAGGCTGAGGTGGGAGAATGGCATGAACCCGGGAGGCGGAGCTTGCAGTGAGCCGAGATTGTGCCACTGCACTCTAGCCTGGGCAACAGAGCGAGACTCCGTCTCAGAAAAAAAAAAAAAAAAAGAAAACACAGTAACCAAAGACATTAAAAGTTTCATAAATCAATTAGCATTTCAGTTGGGTCCCAAAGGATAGGTAAGATTTAGCAGACACCACGGTGAAACCCCATCTCCACTAAAAATACAAAAAAAAAAAAAATTAGCCAGGCGCGGTGGCAGGCGCCTGTAGTCCCAGCTACTCGGGAGGCTGAGGCCAGAGAATGGTGTGAACCCGGGAGGCGGAGCTTGCAGTGAGCGGAGACCACGCCACTGCACTCCAGCCTGGGTGACAGAGCGAGACTCCGTCTCAAAAAAAAAAAAAAAAAAAAAAGATTTAGCAGACACAGAGGATGGTCAGTAAGGGAAGTAGGTGGTAGACACTGAGGGATTTACAAAAGCAAAGGCACAGATGCAAATATGGAAATTTTCAGGCATTAATTAATAGTATAATTTAGCCAAAGCATAAAATATATGCTGGAAATAATAAAAATACAGAATCAGAAACATGAGATCTCAGCGCACCAGCATGGCACATGTATACATATGTAACTAACCTGCACATTGTGCACATGTACCCTAAAACTTAAAGTATAATAATAATAAATTAAAAAAAAAAAAAGAAACATGAGATCTTCGGAGACAAATGGGAATTTAGGAAAAGTCTGCTTACTTACATTACTTCCCAATTGGGCAGTATTTCATTGATCCAAATTACCATTGCACTTGCAATATTTTCTTCCTGCTTAAATCGTTCTTTCATGATTCTTTTTCTTTTATGTGCTTCCTTAATTTCTGTTTTAAACGAGTAAAAATTATTTCAATACAAATAAGCTAGATCAAAATCCTTTTCTCCATTTACCTAAACTCTACAAAATAGACTTTCTCAAAAAGAATATTATCATAAGAGGAAGGAAGGAAATAAGGGAGGGAGGGACAGGGAAAGAAAGGGAGGGAAAAAGTGAAAGTAAATGAACTTGATTAACATAATTTTCTATTCTTTGTTTTCTCTTTTTTTAGAGATGGGTCTCGCCACGTTGCTCAGGTGGCCTTGAACTCCTGGACTTAAATAAATCCTCATATCTCAACTTCCTGAACAGCTTGGACTACACATGTGTGCCACCATGCCCAGTTATTAACATAATTTTAAAATAACATCTCCTGTTCTACTATAAAAGTAAGTGGAATAAAAGGTCAGAAAAATAATTTAAGTAGATTACTTTATCACATATTTCTATTTACACTAAATCTATGAAGTCAAATTTCTTATGAATTAACTATATAAAAAACAAACAACTGTGGGCAACTAACCAATACCCATTTTTCCTACAAGGGTTTATAAATTTTCTGACATAACTCACATGACATTCCAAAATGATTTTGTCAGTAGCATTATTAGTATATTAACTCTTTTTAATATGGTGTTTCACTTTACTAGTTTGAAATTTTAAAATGTCCCCCAAAACACATATATTAACAGTACATCTCTTAGATTCTGAGGCAAAAGTTAGAGGAAGAAAATATCTCTCTGAAAATCAAAGGTGACAATTTCAGAAGAAGAGATGTCTCAAATACAGACGAAAGTGAGTCATAAATCAAAACTTTATGTAATTTTAGAACCAGTGAGGATGTCAGAGACCAGCTAGCCAAACTGTTTTCAAATTGTTTTTTCAGATATGCCTCAGACCATCTTGAGGGGCAAGCAGAAGGCCAAGTAAACAATCTCTACTTTCTTTCTTCTTTTTTTGAAACAGAGTCTCGCTCTGTTGCCCAGGCTGCAGTGCAGTGGTGCGATCTCTGCTCACTGCAACCTCTACCTCCCGGGATCAAGCAATTCTCCTGCCTCAGCCTCTCCAGTAGCTGGCATTACAGGGTCACACCACCATGCCCAGCTAATTTTTTGTATTTTTAGTAGAGACAGAGATTCACCATGCTGGCCAGGCTGGTCTCAAACACCTGACCTCACGATCTGCCTGCCTTAGCCTCCCAAAGTGCTGGGGTTATAGGCGTGAGCTACCGCATCTGGCCGACAATCTCTACTTTCTTTTATTTGTTTTATGTATTCATATTCTATATAAGATTTCTTGGGAGAATGTTCCACTGCTTTACCAACAACAAAAAAAAAATGATGAAAGAGAAGCTTCAAAGCCCTGATTAAGCTGACCTGCCTCTCACATGTTACGCATGAGAAAACTAACATCAGGCCTGTTCAGAGTATCACACCAAGGTAGTATCAAACAAGGTTAAAGCTGTGGCCTTCTGATTCCTCAGTTCAATATTATCCCTATCATACCATGCTTTTAAGATCATCCAGTACCAATAGTTATCTTACATAGTAATCATATAGTAAAAATTTTAAAATTAATAAAAACTTAACTGGAGCCAGGCACAGTGGTTCATGCCTATAATCTCAACGCTCTTGGGAGGCCCAGGTGGGAGAATTGCTTGAGGCCAGGAGTTTGAGACCAGCCTGGGCAACATAGAGATACATCATCTCTACAAAATAACTTCTAAAAAATGAGCTGGGGCTGGGCATGGTGGCTCACGCCTGTAATTCCAGCACTTTGGGTGGCCAAGGCAGGTGGATCACTTGAGGTCAAGAGTTCGAGACCAGCCTGGCCAACATGGCAAAACCCCGTCTCCATTAAAAATACAAAAATTAGCTGGGCCTGGTGGCGGGCACCTATAATCCCCGCCACTCTGGAGGCTGAGGTAGGAGAATCACTTGAACCCAGGCAGCGGAGGTCACAGTGAGCCGAGATTGCGCCACTGCACTCCAGCCTGGGTGACAGAGTGAGATTTTGTCTCAAAAAAAAAAAAAAGAGCTGGGTGTGGTGGCATGCACCTGCAATCCCAGCTACCAGGGAAGCTGAGGCAGGAGGATTGCTTGAGCCCAGGAATTCGAGGCTGCAGTGAGCTATAATTGTACCACTGCACTCTGGCCTAGGTAACAAGTGCGACCCCGTCTCTAAAATAAATAAATACATAATAAAAAATAAAAACTTAGGCTGGATGTGGTGGCTCACACCTGAAATCCCAGCACTTTGGGAGGCCGAGGTGGGTGGATCACTTGAGGTCAGGAGTTTAAGACTAGCCTGGCCTATATGGCGAAACCTGTCTCCACAAAAAAATACAAAAATTAACTGGGCGTGGTGGTGCACGCCTATGGTCCCAGCTACTTGGGAGGCTGAGGTGAGAGGATCTCCTGAGCCTGGGAGATTGAGGCTGCAGTGAGCCAAGTTCGCATCACTGCACTCTAGCCTGGGTGACAGAGCAAGACCCTGTCTCAAAAAAATAAAAATAAGTAATAAATAGATAAATACTTAATTGGATATGTCAGAAATATTTCGAATTCTGTATAGTAAAATACACTCAACTAATGTTTAAATACCTTCTAGAACAATATAACTAGCCTTATATATCCTATGTTTACTTAACATTAAAGAAGTAACTTCAATTCCAAAATAGCACCATAAAGCAGAACTGTATACTATTATAACAGTCCATTAACTTAAGTCAAAGGAAAAAATATCAGTTGTTAATAAGGTGTTAGATGTTAAGTCTAAAAATGTATACAGCTGTGTAATATCTTCTAAAAATGTATGTTTATCCTGAAATAACAACTGTCAGGAAATAAACACCATTAAATTATCCTGATATTATTTTTTTGGTTGGAAAAGAGAATGAATGAATACGTAAATTTATACACACAAGAGTATACTTTTATGCACCTAACCAAATGACACAATTGGGCCTCTAGAGAGACTCTGTAAGTCACAAAAAAATTTTGAGTTTCAAATCATATTCTCACAGCCATATAGAAAGTTAAAATTATTAAATTATAAAATAATTAGAAATTAATTATAAAATATAAAAATGGTAAAAAGTGAAATTCATTAATAGATTCATGAATTATTATCTTTATTTATAAACTAAGATAGTAGAAGTCCAAGTTTTATGACTGTAATTTCAAGATTCCTCCTATTCTGTAAAAGTACATGCAGAAAAACTATGATCCTGGTATGTCATTTTATTCCTCCTTTAGAACAAACTTAATTATAAAAATAGTAGAGAAAAATAAAAGCATGGGCAACATGGTAAAACCTCATCTCTACAAACAATACAAAAAACTAGCCAAGCATGGTGGCACGTGCCTGTGGTCCCAGCTACTTGGGAGGCTGAGAGGTAAAAGGACTGCTTGAGCCTGGAAGGTCAGGCTACAGTGAGCTGTGACTGCATCACTGCATACCAGGCTGGGCAACAGAGCAAGACTCAAAAAAGAAACGAAAAAAGAAATAAAAAAAAGAATTCAGTATCATCTTGAAGACAGACTTGATGAATTTTACCATCCATCTTCTTATTAAAATCAGAAAATTATACCATTTGGAGTTAAATTTTATACCTCGTTTTTTAGCCTCAGCCACCATCTCATCGTATTCTTGTCGGTGACGTAAAGCTTCTTCCACAGATTTGGCAGGAAGATTTCTGGAAAAAAAAATTACTTAAGTCAAGACAATTTTTAAAAGATTAACTTTCAACTTACTAACTTATTTGTTTTTACACCCAGATGCAAAGAATTTCTAAACTAACCTCATTTCATACATTAAGGAAGTGAAAGGCTGAAAAGAACTGTGCATTTTAGAACAGAATCAGAATCCAGGTTGTTAATATGTGGTGTGTGTGTGTGTGTGTGTGTGTAGTTCTATGTCATGTGTATATAAGTTGGTATATATTTAAACATTTCAGATTAAAAAAATAGAGATGGGGTCTCACTATGTTGCTCAGGCTAGTCTCAAACTCCTGGGTTGAAGCAATCCTCCTGACTCAGCCTCCCAAAGTGCTGGGATTACAGGTGTGAGCCACTGAGCCCAGTCCATTTCAGATTTCAGTCAATATTTTTAGGTTATTTGTTAAACTCACTTACTAGAGTTTTCTTTAGTCAACTTTTTTCAGATATAATTTTCATATAATAAAATGAATAAACATATTTTAAGAATAGTTTGATGAGTCTTGACAAATGTATATACCTGTGCAGCTAACTAACCAATCAAGATATAGAACATTCCCATCATTCCACTAAGTTTCCTTGTGGTACCCCTCACAAAATTCTTTCTTTGATTTCTATCACTACAGATTAATTTGTTTCCTCTTCAAGAATTTTATAGACTCTTGTGTCTGGCTTTTTTTGTTTTAATTTACATTGAAGGACTAATGTCTGGCTTCTTTTGCTCAGCACAGTTTTGAAAATCATTCATGTTGTTGTATTAGTAATGTATTCCTTTTAATTGCTGAGTAGTATTCCATTTATCCATGTGGGTGGACACTTGGATTGTTTCCAGATTGAGGCCATTATTAATAAAACTACTGTAAAAATTAACATCAAGTTTTTGTGTAGACATTTGCTTTCATTTCCCTTAGTTAAACAAAAGTCTTGGGTTATATAGTAAGTGTGGATATACCTTTACAATAAACTGTCAAACTGCTTTCCACTAATTAGAGTTTTAAGACAACATTTTAACTAAAAAACTGGATCATCCATCATTTGCATACATAGTAGTCCCCCCTTATCCTTAGGAGTTATGTTCCAAGACCTCCAGTGGATGCCTGAAACCTCAGACAGTAACAAACCCTATATATACCAGGTTTTTTCCTATACATACATAACTATGATAAAGTTTAATTTAATTGAGATTAAGTTAACCCAGCACAATATGTTGCCATCAATTGGAACACATTTTTGTTCATATCTTCCACCCATAAATTTAATGTCTTTTCAATCATAACTGAACACCGTGCTCTATGGTAGTAACTTTTGCAATTTAAGGTGCAACAGTAACACTAGCATAAATTTCTTTTTCATTCTTCACAATTTCATGGATAGGAAACTGATTCTTACCACAGATCTTAGCAACTTCAGCATATGATTTTTTTTTCTTATTAATTTGAGAACTTTCACCTTTTTGCTTAAAGGAGGAACTTTACAGCTTCTCTTTGGCATATCTGAATTGTCAGCACCACTACTCTTAAGCTTTGGGGGCATTACTAATAAAATAAGGGTTCTTTGAACACAGGCGCTGTGGTATCACCAACAGTCGATCTGACAACCAAGAAGGTTACTAACTGAACTACCAGATGGGTAGTGTATATAGTGCAGATAAACTGAACTCATGTCCCTAGCAGGATGGAGCAGGACAGTGAGATTTCATCATGCTACTCAGAATGGCACGCAATTTAAAAATTAAAAGTTATTTCTGGAATTTTCCACTTAATGTTTTCAAACCACAGCTGAGTACAGGTAACTGAAATTGCCTTAAGCAAAACCGCCAATAAGGGGTAACTACTACACCGTATTTTGGTTTATCAAATCAATGGCTTCACAGAGTCAGTGATTTAGATATAAAAAATGCAAAAAGAAATACACTGGTATATTATCACTTATCCAAATATAATCATAATAGTGTCCAGTTTTAGGAGTCAGTCTTTTCTTTTCAACAGGCTAGTGTGGAAAAAGGTATGTGACAAATTTTCAAATTATAAATTCTACCTCCTCTTCTCAAATTAGTCAGTTGATCTGGTAGGTTGTAGGAGGGAGGAATAAAAGTTAAGACCTCTGCTTCAGGCCATAATGGAATAAAAGAAACCAGGTTTACCCTTTCCCCTTAAATCATTAGAAAATGGACAAAATATATTAAACTATAGTTTCCAGACAACAGACACTGGGCAGCACAAGAAAGTGATCTTTAAGAGAAAAGAAATAAGCAAGGTAACCCTACAAGTACCTGACATTTCCAGGTCTCAGTGGTCCATCAATCCTAAGGTGAGGAGAAAGTTTAGAGTTGGAGAGTCCAAGACAGCTAAAAGTTACAAACCAGAAAACCAGAAAAGAAGGGAGCTGCAGAGAGTCCTCTCAAGGTTTTGGCTGAGTACTGATCTGTGCATGTGTGTGATTAACTACAGCCAGAGAAAGAACCACCAGAGAAAAAAAAAATAGGACATTCTTAAAGTTCACACAAGACCAGCCAGAGTGGAAAGGCCTCCTGATAGATAAGAGTACTAGGTAGAGTGCTTAGAAGAATAATGCCTCAGTAGTGAGGACAAATTACTCCTAAACTAAAAGCTATTCTGGAACCACTCCAACAAAGATTAGGTCAAAAAGATCAAACCATTTCCAAAAAACTGCAAACCAGACTAAAGCCAAAAAGTATCTAAAAGAACACACAAAAAAGTCCAGCATCCACCTATGTAAACCACAATGTCTGACATTCAATAAAAACAGAGATGTGAAGCAGAAAAATATAATGCATAATGAGAAGAAAAATTAATCAACAGTCACAATATAAAAATGTCACAGATAATAGGATTATAACACAAGGATGATAAAATAGCTGTTATAAATATACTATAGGCATACCTTACTATACTGTGATTTGCTTTATTACATTTTGCAAATATTGCATTTTTTACATATTGAAGGTTTGTAGCAACCCTAATGTCAAGCAAGTCTATGGGTGCCATTTTTCTAACAATGTGCTCATTGTGTGTCTCTGTATCACATTACAGTAATTCTTGCAATATTTCTTTTTTTTTTTCTTTTGAAACAGAGTTTCACTCTTGTCACCTAGGCTGGAGTGCAAAGGCGCAATCTTGGCTCATTGTAACCTCCACCTCCCAGTTGGTTTCAAGCAATTCTCCTGCGTCAGCCTCTTAAGTAACTGGGGTTACAGATGCCTGCCATCATGCCTGGCTACATTTTTTGGTAATTTTAGTAGAGATGGAGTTTCACCATGTTAGTCAGGCTGGTCTCAAACTCCTGACCTCAGGTGATCTGCCTGCCCCGGCCTCCCAAAGTTCTGGGATTACAGGGGTGAGCCACCGCACCCAGCCAATTCTTGCAATATTTCAAACTATTTCATTATCATTGTATCTGTTATGGTGATCTGTGATAGGTGATTTTTGTTGTTACTATTCTCATTGTTTTGGGACACCACACACAGTGCTAATATAAGATGGCAAATTTGTGTGCCAAGGCAAACATGTGTGTCTTACTGCTCCACAGACTGACCATTCCCATCTCTCTCTATCTCTTCAGGCATCCCTATTTCTTGGGATACAACATTGAAATTAGGCCAATTAATAACTCTACAATGACATCTAAGTGAAAAGAAGAGTCCCATATCTCTCAATTTAAAATCAAAAGCCAGAAATAAATGAGTAAGCTTAATGAGGAAGGCATGCCAAAAGCCAAGATAGGGGGGTGAAGAAAGATGGCAGAATAGAAGCCTGCACCAGTTGTCCACCCTGCAGGAACACCAAATTTTAACTATCTGCACACAAATAAGCACCTTCATGAGAACCACAAATCAGGTGAGCAATCACAGTACCTAGTTTTAACTTCATATCGCTGAAAGAGGCATTGCAGAGGGTAGGAAAGACAGTCTTAAATTGCCAACACCACCCCTCCCCCAACCCCTGGCAGTGGCTTCTTGGCTAGGAGACAGAACCCATGCACTCAGGGGAGGAACAACACAGTGACTGAGGAACTTTGCATTGAACTTAATGCTGCCCTAGCACATGGAAAGCAAAATCATGCTGAACTCAGCCAGCACCTGCCCATGGAGGGAGCATTTTGAACAGCACTAGCCAGAGGGGAAGCGCCCATCCCAGCAGCTGAAACTTGAGTTTCGGCAAGCCTCGCAATCACAGGTTAAAGTGCTCTGGGATCCTAAGTGAACTTGAAAGACAGTCTAGGACACAAGGACTGCAATTCTTAGGCAGGTCCTGATGCTATGCTGGGCTTAGAGCCGGTGGACTGGGGCAGTAGATGACAC
This sequence comes from Homo sapiens, assembly GCF_000001405.40. Lineage (NCBI taxonomy): Eukaryota > Metazoa > Chordata > Mammalia > Primates > Hominidae > Homo > Homo sapiens. The sequence continues at coordinate 94,489,021 of NC_000010.11, read as the reverse complement.
AGTGAGACACCAGACAGGACATTTGGGGGAGTGCTTACGCCACTCCCCTCTCAATCCCAGGTAGTGAAGCTTGCAGCAACTAAAGTAACTCCTTTCTTCTTCCACTTGAGGAGAGGAGAAAGAAGGGTAAAGAGGACTTTGTATTGCATCTTAGATACCAGCTCAGCCACAGTAGGATAGGGCACCAGGCAGTGGTGAGGCCCCCATCTCAGGTCCTAGCTCCTGGATGACATTTCTAGAGACACCCTAGAATAGAAGTGAACCTGCTGCCTTGAAAGAAAGAATCCAGCCCTGGCAGGATTCATCACATGCTGACTAAAGACCCCTTGGAGGCCGGACCGGTAGCTCACACCTGTAATCCCAGCACTTTGGAAGGTGGAAGCGGGCAAATCACTTGAGGTCAGGAGTTCAAGACCAGCCTGGCCAACATGGTAAAACCCCATCTCTACCAAAAATACAAAAAATTAGCCGGGTGTGGTGGCATGTGCCTGTAAGCCCAGCTACTCGGGAGGCTGAGGCAGGAGAATTGCTTGAACCCAGGAGGCGGAGGTTGCAGTGAGCCAAGATCGCACCACTGCACTCCAGCCTGGGCTACAGTGCAAGACTGCATCTCAAAAAAAAAAAAAAAAAAAAAAGACCCCTTGGGCCCTGAATAACAAACAGCAATACCCAGTGGTGCAATCTCAGCTCACTGCAGCCTCCGCCTCCCATGTTGAAGCGATTCTCCTGCCTCAGTCTCCCAAGTAGCTGAGATTACAGGCACGTGCCACCATACCCGGCTAATTTTTGTATTGTTTTAGTAGGGACAGGGTTTCACCATGTTGGCCAGGCTAGCCTGGAACTCCTGACCTCAAGTGATTCACCTGCCTCAGCCTTCCAAAGTGCTGGGATTACAGTCGTAAGCCACTGTGCCCAGCCTACTCTTAAGTAGAAAGATTAAAAGATGAACCAATAAAAAATAATACCTGAAACAGCTTTTCAAGACATAGGCAGTAAAATAAGACATAAAGACTAACAACAAGTCAGCCATTATGGTGGCTCCCATCTATAATCCCAGCACTTTGGGAGGCCATGGCAGAATTGCTCATGCCCAAGAGTTCAAGATCAGCCTGGGCAACACAGCAAGACTTCATCCTTACTAAAAAAACAAAAAAAAAACCAGCTGGGTATGGTGGCATGCACCTGTAGTCCCAGCTACTCGGGAGTCTGAGGTGGGTGGATCAACTGATCGCAGGAGATAGAGGCCACAGTCAGCGATGACTGTACCACTGCACTCCAGCTGGGGTGACAGAGCAAGACCTTGTCTCAAAAAAAAAAAAAAAAAAAAGAGAAACAACAGAAGTTAAAAAAAAGAAACAACAAAAAGTTTTTTTAAAAAAGTGAAACAACAAAAAAGCAGGAGGATGAGGTTGAAGTGTAAAGTTTTTATTAGTTTTCTTTTTGCTAGTTTGTTTGCTTATGCAATCAATGTTGTCATCAGTTTAAAATAATGGGTTATAAGGTAGTATTTGCAAGCCACATGGTAACCTCAAATAAAAAAAATATGACAACACAAAATAAAAAGCAAGAAATTAAATCATACCACCAAAAAAAAAATCACTTTCACTAAAAGAAAGACTGGAAGGAACGAAAGAAGAGAAGACCACATAACAAACAGAAAACAAATAACAAAATGGCAAGAGTAAGTTCTTACTTACCAATAACACTGAATGTAAATGGACTAAACTCTCCAATCAAAAAAGATACAGTAACTGAATAGATTTAAAAAAAAAAAAAAAAGACCCAATGATATGATGCCTCCAAGAAACACCCTTCACCTATAAAGACATATATAGACTGAAAAGAAAGGTAGAGAAAAAGATATTCCATGCCAATGGACACCAAAAAGGAGAAAGAGTCGCTATATTTATGTCAGACATAATAGACTTCAAGACAAAAACTGTAAAAAGAGACAAAGAAGGTCATTATATAATGATAAAGGGGTCAATTCAGCAAGAGGATATAACAATTGTAAATCTATATGCACCCAACACTGGAGCACCCATGTATATAAAGCAAATATTATTAGAGCTAAAGAGAAAGATGCACCTCAATACGATAATAGAGACTTCAACACACCACTCTCAGCACTCAGCATATCTTCCAGATAGAAAATCAACAAAGAAACATTGGACTTAATTTGCTCTATAGAACAAACAGACCTAATAGAATATTAACAAAATACTTCATCCAATGGCTGAATATGCATTCTTCTCCTCAGCACATGGATCATTTTCAAGGATAGACCACATGTTGCTTCCTTAGTTAAAAACAAACCAAGTCTTAAAACATTCAAAAAAATGAGATAATATCAAGCATCTTCTCCAATCACAATGGAATAAAACTAGAAATCAATAACAAGAGGAATTTTGTAAACTATACAAACACATGCAAATTAAACAATATCCTCCTGAATGACCAGTGGGTCAATGAAGGAATTAGGAAGGAAATTTAAAAATATTTTGAAACAAATGTTAATGGAAATAAAACATACCAAAACCTACGAGATACAGCAAAAGCAACACTAAAAGGGAAATTTATAGCTATAGGTGCCTACATCAAAAAAGAAGAAAAACTTCAAATAAGCAACCTAAAAATGCATCTTAAGGAACTAAAAAAGCTAGAGCAAACCAAATCCAAAATTAGTGAAAGAAAAGAAACCCAAAAATTAGCTGGGCATGGTGGCATGTGCCTTTAGTCCCAGCTACTCAGGAGGCTGAGGTGGGAAGATGGCCTAAGCCTAGGAGGTCAAGGCTGCAGTAAGTCATATTCATGCCAATGTACTCCAGCCTGGGTGACAAAGTGAGACCATGTTCAACAATAACAAAAAAAAAAAAAAAAAAGAAGAAGAAGAAGAAAAAAGAAAAAGAGCACAAATAAATGAAATTGAAAGAAAACAATACAAAAGATCAACAAAACAAAAAGTTGGTTTTTTTGAAAAGAAAAACAAAATTGAGAAACCTTTAGCCAGACTAAGAAAAAAAGAAGACTCAAATAAGTAAAATCAGAGATGAAAAAGGAGACATTATAACTGATACCACACAAATTCAAAGGATCGTTTGTGGTTGCTATGAGCAACTGTGTGCCGATAAATTGGAAAATCTAGAGAAAATGGATAAATTCCTAGACACATACAACCTACCAAGATTGAACCATGAAGAAATACAAAACCTGAACAGACCAATAGCAAGTCACAATGGAACAAAACATTTAATTACAGAGTTGTAATTAAAAGTCTACCAGTAAAGAAAAGCCCAAGACCTGATGACTTCACTGCTGAATTCTACCAAACATTTAAAGAAGAATTGAACTGACAACAATCCTACTCAAATTACTGCAAAAAATAGAGGAGGGAATTCTTATGAACTCATTGTATGAGGCCAGTATTACCTTGATACTCAAACAAGACAAAGACACACTAAAAAAAAAAAAAAAAAAGGAAAACTACAGGCCAATATCCCTGAGAAACATGGATGCAAAAATCCTCAACAAAATACTAGCAAACTGAATTCAACAATACATTGAAAAGATAATTCATCATGACCAAGTGAGCCTTATCCCTGGAATGTAAGTATATTTCAATGTATGCAAATCAATCAGTGTGATACATCACCTCAACAGAAAGACAAAAACCATATAATTTCAACTGACACTGAGAAAACATTTGATAAAACTCAACATCCCTTCATAATAAAAGCCCTAAAACACTGGGGACAGAAGGAACATACCTCAAAATAATAAAAGCCATATACAACAGACTTGCAGTATCATATTTAATGGGAAAAAACTGAAGCGTTTCTTCTAAAATCTGAACAAAACAAGGCTGCAGATTTTCACCACTGTTATTCAACATAGTACTGCAAGTCCTAGCTAGAGCAATCAGACAAGAGAAGGAAATAAAGGGTATCCAAATTGTAAAGGAAGAAATCAAATTATCCTTGCAGATGAGATAATCTTATATTTGCAAAAGTCCAAAGACTCTGCCAAAAAACTATTAAAAATGATAAACAAATTCAGTAAAGTTGCAGGATAAAAAATCAACAGACAAAAATCAGTAACATTTCTACATGCCAACACTGAACAATCTAAAAAATAAAAAAGTAATCCCATTTATAATAGCCACAAATAAAATTAAATACCTAGGAATTAACCAAAGAAGTAAAAGGTCTTCTTTTACTTAAAACAATAACAACTGTAAAAACACTGATAAAAGAAATTGAAGAGGACACCAAAAAATGGAAAAATATTCCATGTTCATGGATTGGAAGAATCAACATTGTTAAAATGTCCATAATACCCTAAGCAATCTACACATTCAATGCAAACCCTATCAAAATACCAATGATATTCTTCACAGAAATAGAAAAAACAATCCTAAAATTTATATGCAACCAAAAAAGTCCAAGAATAGCCAAAGCTATTTTGAGCAAAAAGAACAAAACTGGCCAGGCGTGGTGGCTCACGCCTGTAATCCCAGCACTTTGGGAGGCTGAGGTGGGTGGATCACCTGAGGCTGGGAGTTCAAGACCACCCTGACCAACATGGAGAAACCCCGTCTCTACTAAAAATACAAAATTAGCTGGGTGTGGTGGCCTGTAATCCCAGCTGCTGGGAGGCTGAGGCAGGAGAATCGCTTGAACCCAGGAGGTGGAGGTTGCGGTGAGCCGGAGATCATGCCACTGCATTCCAGCCTGAGCAACAAGAGCGAAACTCCACCTCAAAAAAAAAAAAAAACAAAAGAAACAAAAAACAAAACTGGATAAATCACATTATCTGACTTCAAATTATACTACAGAGCTACAGTAACCAAAACAGCATGGTACTGGGATAAAAATAGACACATAAACCAATGGAACAGAACAGAGAACCCAGAAACAAATCCATATATCTACTGATAATCTGTCATTTTTGACAAAGGTGCCAAGAATACACATTTGAGAAAAAACAGTCTCTTCAATAAATGATACTGGGAAATTTGGATTATCATGTGCAGAAGAATAAAACTAGACCCCTATCTCTCACCACGTACAAAAATCAAATCAAAATACATTAAAGACTTAACTGTAAGATCTCAAACTATGAAACTACCAGAAGAAAACACTGGGGAAACTCTCCAGGACACTGGACTGGGCAAAGATTTCTTGATTAATACCTCACAAGCACAGGCAACCATAGCATAAATGAACAAATGAGATCACATCAAGTTAAAAATGTTTTGCACAGCAAGACAAACAAACAAACAAAAAAAAACAAAAACAAAACCAATAAACAGAATGGGAGAAAATATGTGCAAACTACCTGTCTGACAAGGGATTAATATAATAACTAGAATATATAAGGAGCTCAAGCTTATATATCCACAGGGATAAAGCTAATAATCCAATTTAAAAATAGGTAAAATATTTGAATAGACATTTCTCAAAAGAAGACATACAAATGGCAAACAGCCATATTCAAAGGTGCTCAACATCACTGATCAGAGAAATGCAAATCAAAATTACAATGAAATATCATCTCAACCTAGTTAAAATGACTTTTATCAAACAGACAGGCAATATCAAATGCTGAAGAGGACATGGGGAAAAGGGAACTGTTGTACACTGTTGGTGGTAATGGAAATTAGTACAACCACTATGGTGAACAGTTTGGAGGTTCCTAAAAAAACTAAAAATAGAGCTACCATATGATCCAGCAATCCCACTGCTAGGTATATACCCAAAAGAAAGGCAATCAGAACATCAAAGAAATATCTGCACTCCCATGTTTATTGCTGCACTATTCACAGTAGCCAAGATTTGGAAGCAACCTGTGTCCATCAACAGATGAGTGGGTAAAGAAAATGTGGTTCAAGGGAGGTGGAGGCTGCAGTGAGCCAAGATCGTGCCACTGTACTCCAGCCTGGAAGACACAGTGAGACTCTGACTCAAAAAAAAAAAAAAAAAAGAAGAAGAATATGTGGTTCATATAGACAATGGAGTATTATTCATCCACAAAAAGGAATGAGAGCCTGTCATTTGCAACAATATGGATGGAAATGGAAATCATGATGTTAAGTAAATAGCCAGGCACAGAAAAATATCACATGTTCTCACTTATTTGTAGAGCTAAAAAGTAAAACAATTGAAATCACAGAGATAGAGAGTAGAAACATGGTTACCTAAGGCTGGGAAGGACAGTAGTGGGGCAGGGAGAAAGTGGGGATGGTTAATAGATTTTAAAAAATAGAAAGAATGGGCCAGGCACCGTGGCTCATGCCTGTAATCCTAGCACTTTGGGAGGCTGAGGCGGGCGGATCACCTGAGGTCGGGAGTTCACAACCAGCCTGACCAACATGGAAAAATCCCATCTCTACTAAAAATACAAAATCAGCCAGACATGGTGGTGCATGCCTATAATCCCAGCTACTCGGGAGGCTGAGGCAGGAGAATTGCTTGAACCTGGGAGGCAGAGATCGCAGTAAGCCATGATCGCGTCATTATACCCCAGCCTGGGCAATAAGAGCAAAACTCCGTCTCAAAAAAAAAAACCCAGAATGAATAAGACCTAGTATTTGATAGTACAACAGGGTGACTATAGTCAATAATAATGTAATTGTACATTTAAAAATAACCCTGTAGCCATAAAAAAGAACAAGATCATGTCCTTTGCGGGAACAAAAGCGGGAACCATTGATGGAGCCAGAGGCTATTATCTTCCACAAACTAATGCAGGAACAGAAAACCAAATACCACATGTTCTCACTCACAAGTGAGAGCTAAATGATGAGAACTTCTGAACACAAAGAAGGAACAACGGACACTGGGGTCTACTTTAAGGGTGGAGGGTGGGAGGAGGGAGAGGAGCAGAAAAGGTAACGATTGGATACTGGGCTTAATTCCTGGGTGATAAAATAATCTGTACAACAAACCCCCATGACATGAGTTTACCTATGTAATAAACCTTCAGATGTACCCTGGAACCTAACATAAAATTTGGAAAACAAAAAGAAAAACGAGAAAATAAAAATAACTAAAAGATTATAATTGGATTGTTTATTACACAAAGAATAAATGCTCAAGGGGATGGACACCTCATTTACGATGATGTGATTATTATGCACTTGCATGCCTGTATCAAAGTATCTCATTTATCCCATAAATATATTTATCTACTACGTACCCACACAGAATAAAAATGAAATTTAAAAAAAAAAGCCAAGATAGGCCAAAACTTGGCCTCTTCAGCCAGTTAGGCAAGTGGAGAATGTAATGGTAAAGTTCTTGAAGGAAATTAAAAGTGCTAATCAATGAACACATAAATGATAAGAAAGCAAAACAGCCTTATTGCTGAGAAAGTGTGAGTGGTCTAGATAAAAGACCAAACCAGCCATAACATTTGCATAAGCCAAAGTCCACTCCATAGCAAGGCCCTAACTCTCTTCAATTCTATGAAGGGTGAGAAGTGAAGAAGTTACAGAAGAAAAGCTGGAATCTAGCAGAGATTAGTTAATGAAGTTTAAGGAAAAAAGCTGTTTATACACATAGAAGTAAAAGATGAAGCAGCAAGTGCTGATGGGGAAGCTGCAGCAAGTTATCCAGAAGATACACTAAGATCACTCATGAAGGTGGCTACTCTAAACAACAGATTTTCAATGTAGACAAAACAGCCTTCTACTGGAAAAAGATGCCATCTAGTATTTTCTAAGCAAGACAGAAGTCAATGCCTGCTTCAAAGGACAGGCTGACTCTCTTCTTAGGGGCCAATGTAACTAGTGACTTTAAGTTGAAGCCAATGCTCATGGACCATTCTGAAAATCCTAGGGCCCTTAAGAATCATTCTAAATCTACTCTACCTGTGCTCAATAAAGCCTGGATGACAGGACATGTTTACAGCACGGTTAAATGAATATTTTAAGACTATTGATGAGTCCCACTGCTCACAAAAAAAAAAAAAAAAAAGATTCCTTTCAAAGCAACACTGCTTATTAACGATGCACCTAGTTACCAAAGAGCTCTGATGGAGATGTACAAAAAGATGAATGTTGTTTTCATGCCTGCCATCACAACATTCATTCTGCAACCTGTGGATCAAGAAGTAATTTTGACTTTCAAGTCTTTTTTTTTTTTTGAGACAAGGTCTGGCTCTGTTGCCCAGGCTGGAGTGCAGTGGCGTGATCATGGCTCACTACAACCTCTGCCTCTCAGACTCAAGCAATCCTCCCACCTCAGCCTCCCAAGTAGCTGGGAATACAGTAGTGTGCCACCACACCTGGCTAATTTTATATATATATATAAACATATATATATATTTTTTTTGTAGAGACAAGGTTTTGCTGTGTTGCCCAGGCTGGTCTTGAACTGCAGTCACTGAACTGGGAAACCTAAATGCAAAGGGAATAATTGAATCCTGGGGTGGCAGGGACCAAGTGGCAGCACTCAATCATTAAAGCAAGGCGAGCAGAATTACCATAATGAACAGCAGAGTCAAAGCCGCAATCAGAATAGTATGACTTGCACACACCTATTGTGTTGGCTAGTTGATATGGTGTTCTTAGAAGTGAAAAAAAGAAGCCTACTACATTCTTACTTGATCTATATAAGCAGAAAAGTGCTAGGTCAAGAGAACAAAAGTCTACCCTGAATCATGAAGACTAATGGCCCCTCAATCACTCCCCAGACTTGAGCCAGTTTACAGACCCAGAATCCTTTGAATGAGGAAGATGATGGGTCCCCTTGAGAGGACTCCAGTACACCACCAAAAATTTATACTATTAATCTTTCTCCCAGCCTTCCCCAAAGGGGCTTACAGCCTTTTACCAGGGTAACTATTCATTAGGTAAAAGAAAACAATCAGATCGTTCAGGGACTACTGGATATCGGCTCTGATCTGACACTAATTGCAAGAGACCCAAAATGTTACCATAGTCCCGAGTCAAAGTAGAGGTATGTAGAGGTCAGGCGATTAGTGGAGTTTTAGCTCAAGTCTTTCTTACTGTGGGCCCAGTGGGTCCCCAAGCCCGTTCTGCGGTTAGCATAAGGTCACCATGAAAATGAAGTTTTTTCTCAATATGGTGAAAGATATCAACCCTTGTCTTTGATGCATGGAGCCACCATACTAGCACTGAACTACTTAATTTGGGCTACTTACATACTTAAATTCTTGCATATTTAGGCTACTATTTGGGGAGTCTCTTATGTGTAGCTGAATGTAATTGCTTAATCATATACCAATAAATCAATGATGGTGCTCTAAAGGTCAAGAGCCATCACAAACTCCAACCACATTTAAAATCCATGGAGTTTAGTCCTCACATCCAGATCCATTGAATCTTATAATTCCTAGTATTGCCTACACATACTAACTACCTTAAATCTTGCAAATCGATTCTGTCCAAAGCTGCTTTCTACCTATGTCATAGCACCAACTATTAACTCCAAAATCCTAGCCTTAAGTCTCTCTTATTTCCTTTTACAAGCTATTCTGCTTGCCTCTCTGGATTTCTGCAAAAGAATAATGGATTTAACTGTTCCTAAATTTCAGAAAAAGTACTTCCTAGAATTACAAAGAATTGTGAAGATAAAAGCAATGATGGATTCCATATAGTTCCATATAAAATAATTACAATATCCCTTTTCATTATGTTAATACTTAAAAAAAACTTTATTTACTGTAAAGAAGATAAGACCACAGGAAAAAATAGAAGCTAAATATAGTTTTCAGGTAAAGAGTGATATTGTACTCTGGGTAATATTATTTTTTTCTTTTGCTTCTACATCCCAGAGCAATACACACCTTTCTGGAATTATTAATCTTTTGAACCTGTATTCCCTTCTTTTGCTTTTCTAGTCCTTTTAACAACCTTGCAATGAATTCCTCTATTAAAGTTCCTCTGTTTGAAATTACTACATTGATTTGTTTTTCTGACTGGACTCTGAGCCCTTAAGATACAGAAAATTGATTGATAGCTGTATTTCATTTACCTTTAGAAATTTTCATTTTATCATTGGAGAAACAGCTTAATTGAAATCACATTTCCACTTTTTTTTTTTGAGACAGAGTCTCGCTTTGTCACCAGACTGGAGTGCAGTGCACAATCTCCGCTCACTGCAACCTCCACCTTCCGTGTTCAAGCGATTCTCCTGCCTCAGCCTCCTGAGCAGGTGCTATGACATAGGTAGAAAGCAGCTTTGGACAGAATCGATTTGCAAGATTTAAGGTAGTTAGTATGTGTAGGCAATACTAGGAATTGTAAGATTCAATGGATCTGGATGTGAGGACTAAACTCCATGGATTTTAAATGTGGTTGGAGTTTGTGATGGCTCTTGACCTTTAGAGCACCATCATTGATTTATTGGTATATGATTAAGCAATTACATTCAGCTACACATAAGAGACTCCCCAAATAGCAGCTGGGACTACAGGTGCACACCACCATGGCCAGCTAATTTTCATATTTTAGTAGGGATGGGGTTTCATCATGCTGGCCAGGATGGTCTCAATCTTTTGACCTCATGGTCTGCCCCTGCCTCTGCCTCCCAAAGTGCTGGGATTACAGGACTGAGCCACCACGCCTGGCCTACATTTCCAGTTTAACTACAAATCCCGCCTTTAAGATTTCTAACCACCTACTGGCTTCCACCAAATAGGCCTGATCCTTCTCTTCACATAAGATGAAATGCTGCTGGTGTGAAGCTTAATCCCTTTTGCATTTGCAATCTCTGTCATCTTATTTTATTTTTTCTGAGACAGGGTTTCACTCTGTCACCCAGGCTGGAGTGCAGTGGCACAATCAGAGCTCACTGTAACCTCAAACTCCTGGGCTCAAGAAATCCTCCCAAGTAGGCTAGGACTACAGGTATGTGCCACCACACCCTGGCTTATTTTTGGTAGAGACAGGGTCTCACTATTTTGCACAGGCTGGTCTTGAACTCCTGGCCTCAAGCGATCCTCCTGCTTCAGCCTCCCAAAGTCCTGGGATTATAGATGTGAGCCACCATGCCTAGCTCCTCTGTTTCTTTTCTACAAGTCATGGCAAATGATTTGCTGGGCACAGTTTAGGAGATCTAGTCTTCTATTTAACAAGGTGAAATTTGCAGATCTAAATAGACCTCTTCTCTGCACAACCTCACATCCCACATCTAGACCTCCCACATGGTCTAGACCCCACTGCTCACCTCCTGCTGTGCAGCCCAGTTCCTAACCAGAATCAATCTGGGGCCTGGGGTTTGGGGAACCCTGCTGTAGAATAATTTCTATCTTCTTCCAGATGCCACCTCATAGTCGAAGTAGTGGCATTACCAGTAGATAAGACACAAAAGCAGAACAGGCCTCTTGAATCTGCCTGCATCCATAAACAGAAGAAACCTAAGATTACTCAGACCTCTGTTCTAGCTTCTTGGGCTATAACTAGATAGATGTTAGCTGGCCCAAGTCTGCTAGAAGAGTATTCTGAGGGAGATAAAGTACAAAGTTCCACTTTAGTACTCAGGTTGTACCCAGGTATTCCCATGTACAGTTTTCTTCCCCTCAGCTGGTTTTATACTCAATAAAATTGAAGGTTTCATTCTCTTCTGTTCTCCATTATCTATTTTTCAATTGGTTGAAGTAGAAGAAGAAATAAGTGATTAAACACCCTCATACTCCAATACCATGAAGACACTTTGTTGGTTTGTTTTAGTTACATAAATGTAAGTCATACAAATAACGTCCCCCCACCAAAAAGGCCCCTTCAAATTTAAAAAGGTGAACAAAATTGTTAATTAACCACAGCATCTCAGTGTTGGGTGGAACACTAGAGACCAAATTCAGTCTCTATACTACAAAGGAGCAAACACACAGAAACAGAATAAAAGCTATAACATATATTATAATTAATATAACTATAGATAGTTCAAAAGAGTGAAAATAAAAGTACTTTTTTCAGCTGTTTATATATTTTTGTACACTGAGTTCTTTTCATAATGTTATTGTACCTACCATGTTATTTCAAGACAATTCCATTGAACATTATTTCAAGGAATTGTTTGTGTGTAACAAGAAAGGTACAAGAGAAGTAGATACAACGGAAGGCTGAAGAAATCACCAAAGACTTGATAGAAAAGATAAAGCCTAATCCTTAAGGATTGAGTAAGTAAGAAGTAGAAATAAGATAAAAGCCTTCCAAGAGAGGGGAATAACATGAGCAAAGGCATGGAGGTAGAACCTAAAGAGGCAGATATGATATGAAATAGAGTATGGTGTAAAGAAAGATTTGTCCCCAACACCGTCTAGAATAGAACTTTTTGAGTGATATTTTCATAAACGCTTTCTGGGAAGAAATTAACATTCCCGGTAAAAAGCATAATCCATTTCGGATAAATTCTATCAAGCTTAAGCAAGCTCTTCTGGGAACTTATCTACGTACTCAGCTGACAGCTGCAAAGTCTAAAGATCTTTAACAAGTTATTCTTTTCTTGTTTATCTAACCACTCTTGTTTTCCTATAAATGTCTCCACCAAGAAAGGAATCTTTGAATTGGCCTGGTTCATTTTCATCCCTGGCAGCAAGTCTGAAATAAAATTTCACATGTTCTCATAACTAAGTTTCTAAAACGCTTTTTTTAAACAATGAAAAGACAATTATAAACATATTCATCAAATCCTAAAAGAGGAGCATTGGGACCACAATTCTTTAGTATGAGGGAATGTAACCAGAATAAAAGAATAATGTACTTAATAAGTCCAGCTTTTTTTCTCTTGCAATGTCCAAAAAATATTCTATGCTCTTCTATTTGGCTCCAGACTATTTTATTATGCTCATCAGGAAAATGGGTAGAAAAAGGTCCAGATCAGGAAAATGGCAAGAAAGGCTAGGAAGTTTTACATTTAAAAAAAAAAAGAGAGAGAGAGAAAGAATTCTTTAGCCAGGTGCGGTGGTGTGCGCGTGTAGTCCTGGCTACTCAGGAGGCTGAAGTGGCAGGATTGTCTGAGGCCAGGAGTTCGAGGCTGCAGTAAGCTATGATTGTGCCACTGCACTCCAGCCTGGATGTCAGAGCAAGACTCTGCCTCTACAAATTAAATTAAATTAAAAAGAAAGAGAGGGACAGAGAGACAATCCTAGTAAAAAAAAAGAATTGATCCAGAGAACCCAAGGAGGAGAAAAAGAGCTAAGAACCAAGTGGTCTTGCTTTAGGATGTGTTTTGTTTAATAATAAATCAGACAATGTTCTGATGTACAGCAGGAAAAGAACAATTTAAGATGTTTTGCTGAGCATTAAGAATGTACTCTTAGGCTGGGCATGGTGGCTAACACCTGTAATCCCAGCACTTTGGGAGGCTGAGATGGGTGGACCACTTGAGGTCAAGAATTCAAGACCAGCCTGGCCAACATGGCGAAACCCTGTCTCTACTAAAAATGCACACAAAAAATTAGCCAGGTATGTTGGTGCATGTCTGTAATCCCAGCTACTCAGGAGGCTGTGCCAAGAGAATGGTTTGAACCCAGGAAGTGGAAGCTGTAGTGAGCTGAGATCGCACCATTACACTCCAGCCTGGGTGACTGAGCAAAACTCTGTCTCAAAAATAAAAAATTAAAAATAAATAAAACAAAACAAACAAACATAAATAAATAAGAAATGTATTCTTAATAATAATAGTAGGCTCCCAGCCAGGTCAGCTCACTCCTCTCTTGGGAGTGTACTCTTACTTCCTTAATAAAACTTTTGTTACCTAAGTAGTTACATAGTACAAAAGGCAAAGACAAGCACATCTTAAATACATACTAAATGTCAAGAAAGGAAGAATAACTGCCCTATCATGTTAAGATGGAGGAGCAGAGAGTTGAAATAGAAACAGACATAAAGAGCCAATACTTTATTATGTTTCGTATATTAACTCACAGAGACCTCTAGAAAATATGCGTAAGTCTTAGACAACAACAATATACTCTCTACTAGGGCCAGCAGTGCATGCCTACAATCCTGGAAGGGGAGACTGAGGCAGGAGGATCACTTGAGTTTGAGAACAGCCTGGGCAACATAGCAAGACCCTGTCTCTAAACAAACCAAAAACCCAAGAAAAATATATTCTCCCCAAATAGTTTTAGGATAGACAACAGGGATTAAATTTTGTAAAAATTAAATCCTTTCTCAATATCTTTCTCGCTATCTTTTAAAATAGTGAACAAAATTAAATTTAACTTTAAAATATAAACAATGTCACTGATTATCACTAAAATACTTACGATGGTCGATCCTCAAGAATCAAGGCAGTGGTAGAAAGCGGCTCAAATTCAAAATTCTTGCGTCTTGAAGACTGAGGTGGTGGTTTACAGGTCCTCCCCGTTCGTGCTTCATATTCCTAGAGTAAATTAAAACATACCTTATGCAGAAACTGCTCCAACATAGTTTGTACTATTAAATCTGTATCATTAAAAATATTATGCTATAATGAGGGATACATACAATTCAAAAAATAATTTGGTAAAAATATCAAGCAGACAAAAAATAAAAGTTTTTTTTTTGGAGGTGGAGGGGAGCTGGGAGCAGTGGCTCATGCCTATAATTCCAGCACTTGGGAGGCCGAGGTGGCAGGATTACTTGAGCTCACGAATTCAAGACCAGCCTGGGCAAGGGTCAACACCTCACCTCTACTAAAAACAAAACATAAAAAAAGTTGTTTTTTTTTTTGTTTTCCTGAAGCAACCTAAACTATAAATATATATTACATACAAAGTATCAAAATGTAAGAGAAGGAAAGACAGAAGTACACTAGATTAATTAAAGTTTTAGGAAGACATTCTTAATTGCCTTCTATGATATCAGCTATCCAGGCCATCTTTGAATAATCTACAACTAGATAAGCCTACTTCCTAAACTTTCAGTTAGATCAGTGATTAAAATGTTGAGACAAGATATAGATAATGCCACTGTATTGCTCTGAAGATCCCTCTCAAGGGTGACATTCAACCTCTAATGAAATGATAGTTTTGGATTTCAATCTAGTATTACAAATAGATCTACTTACTCTAAATTTAAACAACAGTTTGCTAACACATCTTATTCAAAAATATAGCCACAGACTGTCAAACATTTCACTAAAATTAAGAAACTTACTATAGTATTCTTCTAATTCATCCAACCTGATAATTCTAATTAAAATAAATTAATTTAATATATGGTAAACACATTTAAATTTATCCATTCAAGTATTCTTTCATAAATGTTCCCAAACTTCTGAAATTTATTTATAGAAATTTGCCAAAGATCAATACCAAATTTACCAGCTTGCAAGCTTCAGTACCCACATTTTTTCCTTTCTAAAAAATCAAGCTAGCATCTGATCATCTCCAGGCACTAGTTATATTTTTCATTACATTCTCAAATATTACTCAATGATTTCACGAACTATGCAAGTCCACTGGTGGCTATAGAAGACACTGATTTATATGAAGAAAATAAAATGCACTTAAAGTGGTCAGATATTTCACTTTTTAGTTGCTTAACTACAATTGCCTGTAATTCTTTTAATACTATTGTTACATCTTTTCCAACTCAAAGCCTATTTCTCCTTACTCAATTGGGCAATCATAAAATGAGACCTGATAGTTCCATACCTCTTAAAAATTTGATAATCTTTTTTTTTTCTTTTTCTTCTTTTTTTTTTTTGAGATGGAGTTATGCTCTTGTTGCCCAGGCTGGAGTGCAGTGGCATGGTCTCGGCTCACTGCAACCTCCGCCTCCCGGGTTCAAGCGATTCTCCCACCTCAGCCTCCCGAGTAGCTGGGATTACAGGCATCAGCCACCACGGCTGGCTATTTTTTTTTTTTTGTATTTTTAGTAGAGACAGGGTTTCTCCATGTTGGTCAGGCTGGTTTCAAACTCCTGAACTTGTGACCCGCCCACCTGAAACTCCCAAAGTGCTAGGATTACAGGCGTGAGCCACCGTGCCCGGCCTTGATTATCTTCTTGAAGCTTAACCTTAATTGAGATATTACTTTTAAAAAACAACTTATTTGGTCTTACAAACTTCAGCTTACCTTGTGGTTCCAGCCACTGTTTATAAAGTTTCATATTCATCTTTAGTTCTGCATCTTCCCTTCCATCTACTATATCTATGCTCTGCTTATCTGAGAGCTCCCTTGCATCACCACATTGGGTTTTTAGAAACTTCTCCTCTATCAAATTATTTAGGATTGTGTGCACTTATGTTTATTAACTGTCATCTCAAAGAACCATACAGCCGTTCATAATCAAAAACAATAATGTCACTCATTTCTTTTTGTCTTTTCCAATTTTCTTTCCTAATATCTAGAATATATAATCATGCTCAATGTTTCTTTTCTTCATTACAAACTCCAATGTAATAAATCCCTTTTCTGCTCATGTTTTTCTTACTAAAAATTATAGAAAAATAATAAATTTGTTATAATTTAAATGGTGTTTTATTTTCCTACAAGGTAACCTGGTTTCACTGCCAAACAGAATACCATGAATATTATCCAATAAAACATTTTCCATGCAAACAAAGGCCAAGCACATAGACAGCAAAATCAAACTTTCAAACCAATATATTAATAACAACTAACATTGACTGACACTGTGTAACCATGCACTGTTAGAGCCCTCCCAGTGGAGAAAAACTGAGGCACAAAGATGTATACTCATTTGCTGAAGGTCATTACCAGCAGGCAGTTTGGCTCCATAGCCTGCCTTTTAACAATCTATTATCTTGCTATATTAACAGGCAGTAAAGTAGCTATGTATGACATAAAAAAATTTTTTTTTGTAGAGATGGGATCTCCTTAGGGTTGCCAAGGCTGTTCTTGAACTCCTGGGCTCAAGCAATCCTCTCGCCCTGTCTCCCAAAGTGTCAGGATTATGGGTATGGGCCACTGTGCCTGGCTGATGAAAATTTAAAAGAATGAGATTCATAAAATCATTCAGTGAAAGGCTCATCGGGGTAGATCAGACTGACAATGCCTGAATCCCCAATCCACTTAAATATCACAAAAGGAGACCCCCAGACAGAATATTTCTTGTATGATGCAATATGAAGTATACACTACCATTCTTGAAATATTCTTGCCAAAAGAAAAATCAAAGTTAAATATAATTAAGCCTATAGAATTGTGTTCTCCAATATTGTGGCCAAAGTTAGTAATAACCAAATAAGCTAATACATATTTAAATATGCATAAAATTATCAAGGAAGTATTAAGAGGTTCTCCTCCGGAGAGTGAGACTAGAAATGAAGGGCTTTTGGTTCACCTTATGAAACCAGTGTTGATTGGCTTTGTAAACAACAAAAAATAAAGTATATCTTATGAGAGATCACTCATGGCCATGGTGGATGATGGACAAAGATCTTACTAAGAGGTGGGATCGGAACTGGAGCAAAAATGATGGGTACTGATAGGCAGAAAGAATTAAAAGAACAAGTCAGCAGGAGCAAACAAAGGCATGGATCAGGGAAACACATTAATCTCACTGAATAGGAAAAATGATGAGAAATAAGATTAGAAAGGTGTGGGTTAAATTACAGGGCCTTTCACTGGCTAAAATATTTGGACTTAATCATGAACAAAATGGGAAACCACTGAAAGTTTGGATAAAGCCAAGTTTGATGAAAGCTGTCCTTTATAAAACGTGAACTAAGTATACATTTAATATATAAAGCAACTCAAAATGAAGCAGCTAGAATATAATTTATGTATCTACGAGAGGAATGAGCTTTTTTTTTTTTTTTTTGGAGATACAGAGTCTCACTCTATTGCCCAGGCTGGAGTGCAGTGGCACAATCTCAGCTCTCTGCAACCTCCACCTCCAGGGTTCAAGCCATTCTCCTGCCTTGGCCTCCTGAGTAGCTGAGATTACAGGCATGTGCCACCATGCCCGGCTAATTTTTGTATTTTTCATAGAGACAGGGTTTCACCATGCTGGCCAGGCTGGCCTCGAACCCCTGACCTCAGATGATCCACCCACCTCAGCCTCCCAAAGTGCTGGGACTGCAGGCATGAGCCACTGCACCCAACCTAGGAATAAGTTTTGTACAGAATCGTCACTCAAACATCATTCACATAAGAAGTTGTATTCTAGCACTTTCCACATACATCCTTGTCATAAAAGTGCTGTAAATTTCTAGAGTAATAATAATAAAAAAGCTTTAAAACATTGTATGAGCTCATCTTTATCAGAAAATAGCACAGATTTCCATATCAAAATAACTTAAATATTTGCTGAATAAATTAAACATGCCATCCTAATGCAATCAGAATTACAAATTATATAGCAGCACTCCTGGATTAAAAAAAAAAGTAAAAAAAAAAAAAAAAAAAAGAATTACAAATTGTATTAGAAATAATACGGCTGGGCACAGAGGTTCACGCCTATAATCCCAGCACTTTGGGAAGCCGAGGCTGGCAGATCACTTGTGCCTAGGAGTTCAAGACCAGCCTGGGCAACATGGTGAAATCCTGTCTCTACAAAAAATACAAAATTAGCCAAGTATGGTGGCATGCGCCTCTAGTCCTCAGCTACTTGGGAGGCTGAGGTGGGAGATCACTTGAGCCAGGTTGTGGAGGCTGCAGTGGGTCATAATCATTCCACTGCACTCCAGCCTGGGTGACAGAGTGAGACCTTCTCTCAAAAATAATAATAATAATCAAATATTAACACTAGTACTTTCAAAATTCATCATAAGATTATATGCTATTTATTAAGATGTTTTTGATTATATATAACAGAAAACCCAACTCAAACAGGTTTAGGCAAATTTATGAGCTCTTAAAACTGAATATTCCATACAATCAGTTAACTTTGGATTCTGTTTGACCAAGAGGTTCACAGCATAAACATCAATCAGCAACTCCATTTCTCTACTGTTCTCTCAGTTCTCCCCTCCTCCACGTGATTTGAAGACGTAATGAGAAATTTAAGTAAGTACTGATTTTCATCTACATTCCTAAAAGTTAGGTATATACAAATTGGCAAAAAAACCAAAAATTCTTCAGAGACATAGAGTAGACTCCCACTTGGTGAACTGGGTAACTCACACCAACTTTCTTGCTGCAAACAATCTCTGCAGTCCCTGACAAAGGGGGAACAAACAAGATGAGCCTGAGGATCACTCAACTGTTATGCCTGGAGGCAATACTGAACATCAGGGCAGGAAGGGGGACCCCAAAGGAAGCTTGGCTGTTAGTTTGGACAGGCCAAAGGGCTAGAATTTTGGGGATACAGTAGTAGAAAAGAAAGTGCCCCATCAGGAAAGAACTCCAGGTCCTGCACAGTGGCTCACACCTGTAATCCCATCACTTTGGGAAGCTGAGGTGGGTGGATTACTTAAGGTCAGGAGTTCGAGACCAGCCTGGCCAGCATGCTGAAACTCTGTCTCTATGAAAAATACAAAAATTAGCTGGGCATGGTGGCATGTGCTTGTAGTCCCAGGTACTTGGGAGGTTGAGGCAGGAGAATCACTTGAACCCAGGAGGCAGAGGGTTGCAGTGAGCCGAGATCACCCCACTGCACTCCAGCGTGAGTGACAGAATGAGACTCCATCTCAAAAAAAAAAAAAAAAAAAGGAAAAAACTCCAGAAACTAGCATAGCAGTATTCTTGAGTCTTCAGCTGAATACTGATCTACACGTGTACAATAAAACCCTACAAAGCTGGGCAAAGAAGAACTTTTGGGAAAAGAACAATAACCTGAGGAGCTACAAGCAAAACACTTCCCAGAGCTTACCCAGGGGTGAGAATTATTCACATTATCACCACCAGAATAAAAAGTCATCACTGGGAATACACAAAACATTCAGGAAAAACCCAAAAGGTCTCTTTGTTGGATGTAAGACATTGTGAATTTTAGACGGCTGAGGGCTGAATAATACTTGATTTTGTTCTGTCCAGAAGTTAAGCTTCTTGTGCATCAGTTTGACTCCTTTATGGCTTATTTATAAACTTTTTTAGTTCACATCTAACGTAATTTTTTCTTTGGAGCTAATTTATCCCATAACTAAGAAATTATCAATGAACTTACTTTCTTCTGCAATGTTTAATCTGTGATTAATGTCACCCAGTAAAATATTCACGTCAGATCTTGCATATTAACAACTGTAGCACTGTTATCAATCAACTTGAGAACAGAGCAACAGAAACTATCCAAAATTAAGCAAAGAAAGGGAAAAAAATTGAAGAAATATAAGCAGAGCTTTAGGGAACACTATGAAGCAGCCTAAATTATGTGTAATTGGAGTGTTGGTACGAGGGAGAACAATATTTAAGACAATAATGGCTGAAATGTTGTCAAACTACACCCACAGACCCAAGAAGTTCAATAAATTCTAAGCAGAATACAGATAAAACCACACCAAAAGACATCATAATTATTTGCTAAAATATAATGGTAAGAAGAATATTTTAAAAGCAGCCAGAAAAAAAGCACTTATATTGAAAAGACTGAATGTGAAAACAATTACAAGACTTTTCCCCTAAAATTATTCCAGTCAAAAGACAATAGAAAAATCTTTAAACTGCTGAAGGAAAAAAAAATGGAGAGGGAACATCTATTAACTTAGAATCCTATACCAGAGGAAATATCTTTCATAAGTGAAAGCAAAATAAAATTATTTTCAGACAAGCAATAGCTAAGAGAATTTGTTGTCAGTAGACCAGCAATATAATTTCAAGGACATTATTCAGGCAGAAAGTATGTATCACATGAAAACATGAATATACACAAAGAGATAAAAAGCACCAAAAATAATAAATATAGACAAAAAGACAGTTTTCTCATTTCTTAAAGTTAGAGAATATTTGGTCATTTAATACAGAAATATACTGGTAAATGTAAATAAGCAGTTTACAGCACAAAAGTTAGAAAGGAGGTAACAGCAGTACACTGTTGTAAGGTTCTTCCATTATACTCAAGTGCTATAAAGTTATTTGAAGGTAGACCATGATAAATTAAATATCATAAAAGCCCTAGTGTTGCAGTTTCTCGATGTGTAATTAGAAGACCTAAGTGTTCAGGACATGCTTTCATGGGGTCTGCAAAGTCAGAGCTATATTCCTAAGAGTGTTAATAGTTTGTCACTGCATTGACATTTGTACTAATGGTGCTCAGCAATGCTGAATAAAACTGTAGGTAGCCTGGACAATATAGTGAGACATTGTCTCTACAAAAAATAAAAACATTAGCCAAGTATGGTTGTACGCGCATGAGAGTGGGGAGCTATGAGCTCACTGCTGCACCCCAACCTGGGCAATAGAGACCCTGTCTCAAAAACAAAAACTGTCAGTGCCCTATCACAAATCAAAGCAATAGCACTGTGATGACTGTATTATTCAGGACATGCATTGAAGGTTTAAAAAAAAGAGGGGGAGTGGCCAGATTCATTTAAGTATGTCTATGACAAAACAGTAAAAATTATTAATTGTATTAAATATTTATATATGAGTAAACATCTTAACATTCTGCGTGACAAAAGGAAAAGTACAGGGCCGGGCACAGTGGCTCATGCCTGTAATCCCAGCACTTTGGGAGGCCAAGGCGGGCGGCTCACCTGAGGTCGGAAGTTCGAGACCAGCCTGACCAAATGGAGAAACTCCATCTCTACTAAAAATACAAAAATTAGCCGGGCGTGGTGGTGCATGCCTGTAATCCCAGCTACTCGGGAGGCTGAGGCAGGAGAATCGCTTGAACCCAGGAGGCAAAGGTTGCAGTGAGCTGAGATAGCGCCACCGCACTCCAGCCTGGGCAACAACAGCGAAACTCTGTCTTAAAAAACAAAAACAAAAACAAAAAAAAACTCGACTACACACTTGTGCAAAGGAAAAGCACTTGTGCAATTATTTGAGTTCTAAACTGAACAAATGTCTTTTTCAAGAACACTATTTTTATTTAAAAGAAAAACTGACTGCAAACTGCAGTGGCAGTCATTTTCTAAAAATTAGACAAAGCGGGCCCTTTATCTCCATGATATTTCTCCCAGAAAACCATAAACCCACTCAAGTCATAAGGAAATCATGAGAGAAACCTAAATTGAAGACCATTCTAGAAAATAATAGACCAGTACTCTTCAAAAGTGTCAAGTTCATTAAAAAAAGGAAAGATGACAAACTGTCAAAGGCCATAGAGACTAAGGAATTGTGATAGCAAAATATAATGTGATATTCCGGATTAGACACTGAAAGAGAAATAGGACTTTAATAGAAAAATTGGTGAAATCCAAGTGAAGTCTGGAGTTTAATTAATAGTAATCTACCAAAGTCAATTTTCTGAGTTTTGACAAATGTACAGGGTAATAGATGCTAACATTAGAAGAAACTGAATGAGAGGTATTTATGAATTCTCTGTATTGTTTTTTCAGTATCACAATAATAAAGTTATTCCAAAATCTAAAGTTATTCTGTAAATCTAAAGTTATTCCAAAATAAAAAGCTTATTAAAACAAACAAAAAAGGATGAAGTGTGCCAGTGATTTTAAGGAAAGCAATTGAAAGTAAGTGTTGCTAATAATAAAATCCAGCCTTTCAGTAAGAATTAAAATGCTGTGAACTTGTAAATGCCACTATATATATGTGTGTATGTATATACATATATACATATATATATGTTGTCAATAGACAGCAATATAATTTCAAGGAAATTATTCAGGCAGAAAGTATGTATCACATGAAAACATGAATATACACAAAGAAAATACACCAAAAATAATAAATATGGACAAATAAAAAAGACAGTTTTCTCATTTCTTAAAGTTTTAGAGAATATTTGGTCATTTAATACAGAAATATACTGGCAAATGTAAATAAGGAGTTTACAGCACAAAAGTTAGAAAGGAGGTAAACAGCAGTACACTGTCGTAAGGTTCTTACATGTAAGGTTCTTACAAAACTAAGACCCAACTATATGCTATTTATAAGAAACCCACTTTAAATATAAAGACAGATACAAGAATAAAAGGATGAAAACAGAAATGTCTGCAAAATATTAACTGCAAACAAGCTCTAGTGGCTAATAAAGTCAGATAAAAACTTCATATATATGTGTATATATACACATACATGTATATACATACATACGCGTATATACATATATACGCATATATACGTATATATGTATATATGCGTATGTATGTATATACATACATGTATGTGTATATATGTATGTATGCATGTACGTATATATGTATGCGTATACGTATATGTGTATGTATGCGTATATGTATGTATGCGTATATGTATGTATGTATGCGTATACGTATGTATGTATACATATGTATGTATGTATACGTATGTATGTATGTATGTATACGTATACGTATATATGTACACACACACACACACACACACACACATATATATATATATATTTTTTTTTTTAGGCAAGAGTCTTGCTCTGTCGCCCAGGCTGGAGTGCAGTGGCATGATCTTGGCTCACTGTAACCTCCACCTCCCAGGTTCAAGCGATTCTCCTGCCTCAGCCTCCCGAGTAGCTGAGACTACAGGCACGTGCCACCATGCTCAGCTAATTTTTGTATTTTTAGTAGAGATGGCTTTTCACCATGTTAGCCAGGATGAGCTCAGTCTCTTGACCTCGTGATCCACCTGCCTCATCCTCCCAAAGTGCTAGGATTACAGGCGTGGGCCACTGCGCCCGGGCCTATGCCACCATATATTTAACAGCTTCCCAGAGTTAGATTTTTGTGAGATCAGTGGTGATAATACTGTCGTTTTTTGATATTTTATAATGCAATGCTGTAACATTTGGAAGATCTACGTATCTGGTGCACCAGTACTTTCCAAATGACCAATGCATGATATTATAAAACCATGCATAAATACACATATCCATGCAAAGTGCAAGAAAGACCAATGCATTTTTCTATAACAGAATTATATGGTTTCAGATTCCACACTATAACTTACCTTTAAGAAACAACCACTTGATGAATTTTGGAGTGGCATCAGAGAAGAATGCCCACAATTATCTGAAAAGACTATTAAAACGTTCTTCTCTTTACTACATACATAACTGTGAGATTTTCTTCATGTACTTAAATTTACTAAAACAATATAAAGCAAAAAACTAAGTGCAAGAGTAGATATGAGAATCCAGCCTTCATTTATGCCATACATTAAAGAGATCTGCAAAAATGTAAAACAATGCCACTCTCCCCACTACTTGTTTTTTAATAGTCATTTTTCACAAATATGTTGTTTTTGTTAACATATAATAGCTTTATTCTTGTGATATTTAAATGATTAATACTTGAACACTTCAGTTTTAACTGGGGGTATAGTAATAACTGATAATCCCATAAACAAAAACCCTTTGAGGTCTTTATTAATTAAGAATCCAAAGGGACCCCGTCTCTATAAAAAAAATTTTAAAATTAGCCACACATGGTGGTATGTGCCTGTAGTCCTAGCTACTCTGGAAGCTGAGGTGGGAGGATGGCTTGAGCCCAGGAGGCAGAGGTTGCAGTGAGCCAAGACTGCACCACTGCACTCCAGCCTGGGCAATAGAGCCAGACTTTGTCTCAAAAAAAGAAAAAAGAATCCAAAGGTATCATGAGACTAAGATGTTTGAAAACTGTTGGTCAACAGCAACCACCAAAAAAGTAAAACAAAGGTAAAGCTAATAAGCTAATAGTGGTGATAAAGTGCAGTGACAAAAATACTCATTCAACCCAAAAGAGGGCAGGAGAAAAAAAAAGTGAAAGACCAGAAGAAATAATTTGAAAAGAAATAGCAAGATGGTAAATTTAAATCTGATCATATCAATAATGACAGTAAATGACATGCCATTTAAAAAATAGAGGGTATCAGATTGTATACAAAAGCAAGACCCAACTATATGCTATTTATAAGAAACCCACTTTAAATATAAAGGTAGATACAAGAATAAAAGGATGAAAACAGAAATGTCTGCAAAATATTAACTGGAAACAAGCTCTAGTGGCTAATAAAGTCAGATAAAAACTTCATAAAAGGAAATCTTACCAAAGCAAAAAGGACATATCATTGATGACACAGGGACCAATTCACCAAGACAACTTCAAAACAAAGCTTCAAAAAACAGGAAACAATAATTGACAGAAATGAAAGGAGAAATAACCAAGTACATTATGGTGGAGATTTTATCACTCTTCTCTCAGTTAGTGGTAGAAAAAGCAGAAAATTTAAAAAATATAAAAAATTTAACACTACCATCTAACATGACCTAAACTGATATTTACAGAATATTTCATTCAACATCTGCAAAATACACACTGCTCTAAAGTACACAAGGAACGTTCAGTAATGCCCCTATATTTGGGGCATAAACAAGTCTCAATAAATTGAAAAAAACTAAAATTGCATAACATATATTGTCTGACTGTTATGGTTTGAATATTTGTCTATTTGTCCCTTCCAAAACTGGTGTTGAAATTTAATCCCCAGTGTGATAGTACTGGGCAGGGGTGGGGGAGCCTTTAAGAGGTAATTTGGTCAGGAGGGCTCTGCCCTCATGAATGGATTAATCTGTTCATGGATTAACATATTATCATGAGAGTGGGACTGGTAGCTTTATAAGAAAAGGAAAAGAGACCTGAGCTCATATGTTCAGCTCCCTTGCCACATGACGCCCTGCATTGCCCTGGGACTCTGCAGAGTTCCAACCAGTAAGAGGACTCTTACCAGATGAAGCCCCTCGACCTTGGACTTTTCATCCTCTGTAACTGTAAGAAATAAATTCCCTTTCTTTATAAATCACTCAGTTTCCAATATTCTGTTATAAGCAACGGAAAATGGACTGAGACACTGACCATCCATATTAATCATTTATGAAAACATATCCGTAAAATCCCAAGATATTTTAAAAGTAAAATAACATACCTCTACATAATCATAAGTAAAGGCAGTAACAAAAGAAAAGGAAAAGTATCTTTCATTGATTGAAAATGAAAACACTGAAATTTATGGAATGCAGCTAAAGCACAGTTAGAGGAAAATTTGTAGCTTAAAATACATTAAAAAGATAAAAGGTCTAAAATGAATGATCCACCTTAGAAAACTAGAAAAAAAGCAAAATACATCCAAAGCAAGTGGATAGTAAATAATAAAGAACAGAAATCAATGAACAGAACACACAAAAAACAAGAAGTGAAAATCAGTGAAACAAAAGGTGTTTCTTTTAAAACATAATAAAATTGATAAACTCCTAGTAAAACTGATGAATGAAAAAGAGAAGATAAAAATTGCCAAAATCAGGAATGCAAGAGAGATCATCACTATCCACATTTCTATCACATACCTAGCAGACATTAAAAAGATAAGAAAATATGAATAATTTAATTGCAATAAATCCAACAATATAGATGACATATAAAACTCTGTTGAAAGACATGTTACCAAAACTGACTCAAGAAGAAACAGAAAACTTGAAAAGCCCAGGCTGATGTCAAGAAAAACATTAAATTTATAACTAAAAATATGCTCAACAACAAAAAACTTCCACACTTCACTTAGATCAGTAATTCTCAACTGGGGTTGACTTTGCCCCCTTAAGGACATCTGACAATGTCTAAGACATTTCAGTTGTCACAATGAGAAGTGAAAGGGGATTACTACTGGAATTCCTAGAGGCCAGGGGTACTACTAAATATCCTGTATTTCACAGGAAAGCCCCTCACAATATTTACATTTAGGTCATGTAAATATGTACTATGTAATATTTACATGACCTAAAATGTCAAAAGTGCTGAGGTTGAGAAACCTTGGCTTAAATTATTTCACTGGTAAATTCTGTCAAACATTCAAGGAAGAAATAACACCAATTCTACACAAATAATTTCAGAAAATAGAAACAATCCTCAACTTACTAAATGATGATTGTATTATCCCAATACCAGAATCTGACAAAAGCATTAAAAGAAAATTATAGACTGACATCCCTCATGAATATAGAAGCAAAAATCCCTAACATAGTATTAGCAAACTGACTTCTGGATTTCCACTCCAGCCTGTACACAGCTTAGAAATTGCCATTCCAGGACAGGTGTGGTGGCTCACGCCTATAATCCCAACATTTTGTGGGGGTCAAGGTGGGAGGATCTTTTGAGGCCAGGAGTTCAAGAAGTTGCCACTGCATCCTAACAAGTAAAAACCTAAGCAAACTGAAAAATTAATAATTATTCTTAGATTCACCAAAGACATGAAGCCACAGAGCAAACCACTGCCCCAAAACTGCAGAAACAAACACATAAAGAAGAATCACAACTTAGCAGAGCAGAAACCCAGAAGCTGAAACCTCTGGCAGTGCTGCAGTAGGAAAACATAAACTGTAATTGACAAACTGATAGAGGCTGAGTGTGGACAAGTCTGAGTGTTAGAACTCCAGGGGGTAGGCAG
Organism: Homo sapiens; assembly: GCF_000001405.40. Taxonomy (NCBI): domain Eukaryota; kingdom Metazoa; phylum Chordata; class Mammalia; order Primates; family Hominidae; genus Homo; species Homo sapiens. Next base: position 94,461,631 of record NC_000010.11, on the reverse strand, counting down.
CTATTTAAAAAAGGAAAAAAAATTAAAAATTAAACAAAACTCCAGGAGGACCCAGTTGCATACACTTTCGTGAGTTTTATTTCCAGGAACTCTACCAGGTCCTCAGACTGAGTACTGTGGGGAAGAAATCCCCTTGTGCTTTCAGCAGGAGAGGAAAAGTAATTATTTTGAAATAGTCCTTTACATTCTGTTCTTAACAAGGTCTGCCCTCAGGAGAAACTTTTTTACCAGAGCCTAACCTGCTCTAACCTAACTAGGGGAAGGGAAATACACAACTCCAGCTCCCTCTGTCCATTCTGTCCTGTCAAAGGGGGAAAAAAAACAAAACTGAGAAGCACTATGAAGCGTACCATTCAGAGGTACAGGTTCACCAAAAGATTAAGACCCAATCATAGGACTATAGAATGCTTCCCCTTTTCCCACACCTTACCACTACCTTACTAAAGTCCTATTTACCAGTTCCTTTTACCCACCACATTTATATCTACCTTTCAGCAAAACTTATATGGCATACTAAATGGTAAAAACCACAGTCTAAAGAGATTAAACAAGCATTAGAACCAGAGTCAGATATGATAGGAATGTTGGAATTATCAAACCAGAATTCGTTTTAAAGAGAACTATGCACTAAAGGCTTCAATGGAAAAAGTAGACAACATGCAAGAATAATGTAAGAGATGAAAAATTTAAGAAATAATCAAAAAGAAATACTAAAGATTAAAAAAACTGGAACAGAAATAAAGAATTCCTTTGATGGGCTGATTAGTAAATTGGACATGGCTGAGACAGAATCTCTGAACTTGAGGATATGACAACAGAACTTTCAAAACTGAAAAGCAAAGAGAAAAAAGACTGGGAAAAAAAGTACAGAATATCCAAGAACACTGGGAAAACTATAACGGACAAGAGAGAGGGGAGGAAAAGAGAGACAGAGAGAAGGAAGAAGAAATATCTAAAGCAATATGGACTGAGAATTTCCCCCAAATTAATGTCAACACCAAATCAAAGATCCAGGAAGCTCAGAGAACATCAAATAGGATAAACATTAAAAAAAAAAAAAACTACTTCTAGCCATATCATATTCAAATTTCAGAAAATAAAATCAAAAAATCTTCAAAGGCAGCAGAGGTAAAAACATGCTACCTATAGGAGCAAAGATATGAACTTATCCTCAGAAATGCAAGTAAAGAGTGGAGTGAAATATTTAAAGTGCCAAGAGAAAAAAAATTGCAAACCTAGAATTCTGTACCCTACAAAGTTATCCTTCAAAAGTGAAGGAAAAAAACTTTCTGGGACAATTATTAAGGCATTTGTTTGCCAGGAGACTTGCCTTGCAAAAAATGTTAAAAGAATTTCTTCTGAAAGAAGATATTTTTCTTTTTTCTTTTTTTTGAGATGGAATCTTGTTCTGTCACCCACGCTGGAGTGCAGTGGCGTGATCTCATGATCTCAGCTCACCTCAACTTCCGCCTCCCAGGTTCAAGCGATTCTCCTGCCTCAGCATCCCAAGTAGCTGGGATTACAGGCATGTGCCACCATGCCCAGCTAATTTTTGTATTTTTAGTAGAGACAGGGACTTGAGAGATGACAACGTGCTGGCAGCCCTTGCTCACTCTCGGTGCCTCCTCAGCCTCTGTGTCCGCTCTGGCTGCGCTTGAGAAGCCCTTCAGCCCACTGCTGCACTGTGGGAGCCCCTCTCTGGGCAGGCTGAGGCCAGAGCTGGCTCCCTCTACTTGCCAGGAGGTGTGGAGTGAGAGGTGCAGGCAGGAACCGTGGCTGCGTGCGGCACTCACGGGCCAGTGCAAGTTCCGGGTGGGTGCGGGCTCGGCAAGCCCCACACTTGGAGCTGCTGGCCGGTGCCACTGGCCCCGGGCAGTGAGGGGCTTAGCACCCAGGCCAGCAGCTGCAGAGGGTGTGCCGGGTCCCCCAGCACTGCCAGCCTGCCCGTGCCGCACTCAAATTCTCGCTGGGCCTCAGCCACCTCCCCACGGGGCAGGGCTCAGGACCTGCAGTCTGCCATGCCCGAGCTCCCCCCAACCCCCCTGGTGGGCTCCTGCGCGGCCCGAGCCTCCCCGACGGGCACCGCCGCCTGCTCCATGGCGCAAGGTCCCATCTACCATCCAAGGGCTGAGGAATGCGGGCGCACAGCGCGGTACTGGCGGGCAGCTCCACCCGCAGCCCCAGCACAGGATCCGCTAGGCGAAGCCAGCTGGGCTCTTGAGTCGGGTGGGGACTTGGAGAACTTTTATGTCTAGCTAAAGGTTTGTAAATGCACCAATCAGCACCCTGTGTCTAGCTCAGGGTTTGTAAATGCACCAATCAGCACCTTGTGTCTAGTTCAAGGTTTGTAAATGCACCAATCACTGCTCTGTGTCTAGTTAATCTAGTGGGGACTTGGCGAACTTTTGTGTCTAGCTAAAGGATTGTAAATGCACCAATCAGCACTCTGTGTCTAGCTCAAGGTTTGTAAATGCACCAATCAGCACCCTGTCAAAATGGACCAATCAGCTCTCTGTAAAATGGACCAATCAGCTCTCTGTAAAATGGACCAATCAGCTCTCTGTAAAATGGACCAATCAGTAGGCTGCGGGTGGGGCCAGATAAAGAAATAAAAGCAGGCCACCTGAGCCAACAACGCCAACCCGCTTGGGTCCCCTTCCACGCTGTGGAAGCTTTGTTTTTTCACTCTTCGCAATAAATCTTGCTGCTGCTCATTCTTTGGGTCTGCGCTGCCTTTATGAGCTGTAACACTCACTGCAAAGGTCTGCAGCTTCACTCCTGAAGGCAGCAAGACCATGAACCCATGGGGAGGGACGAACAACTCCAGATGGAAGGTACGAACAACTCCAGATGGAAGGAACGAACAACTCCAGACGCACCACCTTTAAGAGCTATAACACTCACCATGAAGGTCTACAGCTTCACCCCTGAAGCCAGCGAGACCGCGAACCCACCAAAAGGAAGAAACTCAGACACATCCAAACATCAGAAGGAGCAAATTCCGGACACACCATCTTTAAGAACTGTAACACTCACCACGTGGGTCCGTGGCTTCATTCTTGAACTCAGCGAGACCAAGAACCCACCAATTCCAGACACAGTTTCACCATGTTGGTCAGGCTGGTCAAGAATTTTTCTTATTCTTAATTGATCTAACAGAAAAAAAGTTTTCTTAGTCTATTTTCTGTTGCTTATAACAGAATACCTAAAATTCAAAAGAATTTATTTCTTACAGTTACAGAGGATGAGAGGAACAAGGTCAAGGGGCTACATCTAATGAGAGCCCTCTTGCTGATGGGGACGCTCTATAGAATCCTGAGGTGGTGCAGAGCATCATGCGGTGAGGGGCTAAGCATGCTAGCTCAGATCTTGCTTTCCTCTTCTTATAAAGTCACTAGGCCCATTCCTATGATAATCCAATAATCCATTAATCCATTAATGGATTAATCCTATAAAATAGATTAATCCTCTTAAAGAATTAATCACCTCTTAAAGGCCCCCTCTCTCAATATTGCCACAGTGGGGATTGCCTTTCACCATAAATTTTAGAGGGGATAAACAATCAAACCATAGCAACAGTTTACTCAAAATAATAACATCAATAATGTGTTCAATTATGTATGCTCATGTGTGCATATGCTCATATGTGAGTAAAACGAATGGCAGTAATAAAAGGGATGGGCAGAAGGAATTAGGAATGTTTTGTTGTTATAAGGTATTTGCATTACACATGAAACTCCACTTTCAGGTATAGTGTTGCCTGAAAGTGGAGTTGGCTTAGCTATAAATACATACTGCAAACTCCAGGACAACCACTAAAAAAAGTTTTAAAAAAAGAAGTATAACTGATATGCTAAGAAATGGGAGAAAATGGAATCATATAAGATGTTCAATTAAAACTAAAGACTGAAAAGATGTGGAAGACAAAACTGGAAACAAATTATAAAGGCAACAACTAACAAACAGTAACAGAAATGAGAGATAATAATCCAACTGTATCAATAATCACTTTAAATATCAATGGTCTAAATGCACCAATTAAAACACAGAGAGGCCAAGCATGGTGGCTCATGCCTGTAATCCCAGCACTTTTGGAGGCCATAGCAGGAGGACCATTTGAGGCCAAGAGTTTGAGGATGCAGTGAGCTATGATTACACCACTGCATTCCAGCCTAGGCAACAGAGCAAGATTCTGTCTCAAAAATAAAACAAAACAAACAAACAAATGAAGAAACAGAGACTGCCAAAGTGTATTACAAAAGAAGACCCAGCCATGTGTTGCCTACAAAAAAACCCACTTTAAGTTGAACAATGAGAACACATGGATACAGGGAGAAGAACAACACACACAGGGGCCTGTCAGGGGGTGGGGAGACAAGGGGAGGGAGAGCATTAGGACAAATACCTAATGCATGTGGGGCTTAAAACATAAATGACAGGTTGATAGGTGCAGCAAACAACCATGGCACATGCATACCTACGTAACAAACCTGCAAGGTCAGCACATGTATCCTGGAACTTAAAGTAAAATTAAATTAAATTAGGTTAAAATTTTAAAAACCCCACTTTAAGTATAAAGGCACATATAGATTTTTTAAAAAGGGATGGAGAAAGATATACCATGCCAATGCTAATCAAAGATAACAAGAGTAGCTATAGTAATCTCAGACAGAGCAGACTTCGGAGCAAGGAAAGTTATCAGGAATAAAGAGGGGCATTACATAATAAAGGGGTTAGTAATCCAAGAAGACACAAAAATCCTTATCATATATGCAACTAAAAACAGAGTGGTCAAGATACATGAGGCAAAAACGGATAGAACTACAAGGAGTAATAGATGAATCTACTATTACACTGGAAAACTTTAATGCCTCTATCAGAAATGGACAGATCCAGCAGTCAGAAAATCAGTAAGGACATAGCTTAACAACAGTACCATCAGTCAACTGGATGTAATTGACATCTGTAGACTACCGCATCCAACAACAGCAGAGGAAACATTCTTCTCAAGCTAACATGGAACATTCACCAATACAGACTACATTCTAGGTCATAAACTACACCTTAACAAGTTTAAAATAACAGAAATCATAAAATGTCTGCTCTCAGATCTCAATTAAATTAAACTAGAAATTGACAGAGATAGATAGCTGAAAAATCCCCAAATACTTGGAGATTAAACAACACACTTCTAAATAACACATGTGTCAAAGAAGAAATCTTAAGGGTAATTTTAAAATATTTTTAACTATATGAAAATGAAAATACAACTTATGAAAATTTGTGAGATGCAGCAAATACAGTATTAGAGGCAAAAGTATTGCTTTGAATGAATACATGAGAAAAGAAGAAAGATCTAAAATCAATCATCTAAGCTTCCACCTTAAGAAACAAGAAAAATTCAAGCAAATTAATTACAAAGTAAGCAGAAAAAAATAAAGAGCAGGAATCAATAAAATTGAAAACAGGAAGTCAGTAGAGAAAAATCAACAAAACCAAAAGCTAACAGTTCTTTAAAAAGATCAATAAAATTTATAATCCTCTTGCCATGATAACTAAGAGAAAACAAAAAAGACACAAATTACTAATATCAGAAATGAAAGTAGAGACATCACTACAGAGCCCAAGGACATTAAAAAGGATAATGAATAAGTATTATGAACAATTCTTTTTTTTTTTCTTTTTTGAGATGGAGTCTTAAGCTCTGTTGTCCAGGTGCCATCCTGGCTCACTGGAACCTCTGCTTCCCGAGTTCAAGCGAGTCTCCTGCCTCAGTCTCCCAAGGAGTTGGGACTACAGGCGCATGCCACCATGTCCAGCTAATTTTTTTGAAAATTAATATTTTTAGTACAGCTAATATTTTTAGTGCAGACAGGATTTCACCACGTCGGCCAGGCTGGTCTCGAACTCCCAACCTCAAGTGATCCACCTGCCTTGGCCTCCCAAAGTGCTGGGATTACAGGCCTGAGCCACCACACCTGGCTTATTACGAACAATTCTATGCCCATAATTTTGATAACCTGAATGAAATGAACCAATTCCTTGAAATATACCCAAACTAACATAAGAAGAAACTGAATCAATAATTAATAATCTTCCAAAACAGAAAGCACAGACCCAGATGGGTTCACTGATGAATTCTACCAAACATTTAAGGAAGAAATTGTATCAATTATCTATAATCTCTTCCACAAGACAGATGGAGAGGAAATACTTCCTCACTCATTATCTGAAGCCAGCATTACTCTAATACCAAAACTAGACAAAGGCATTACTAAAAAAGAAACGTACAGACCAATATCTCTTATAAACATAAATGCAAAAATTCCTCAAGAAAATATTAGCAAATCTAATCCAACAATGTATAAAAAGAATTCTATACCATGACCAAGTGGGATTTATCCTAGGTATGCACAACTGGCTCAATGTTTAAAAAAAAAAAATCAATTAATTTAATCAATTGCATCAAGAGGCTAAAGAACAAAAATCATATGATAAAACATCAATAGATGTTGGAAAAGCATTTGACAACATCCAACACCATTCATGAGAAAACCTCTCAGTAAACTAGGAATAGAGGGGAACTTCCTCAACTTGATAAAGAACATCTACAAAAAACCCATAGCTAACATCATACTTAATGGTGAGAAACTAGAAGCTGTCTCTCTAAGGTCAGGAACAAGGCGAGGATATCCCCGCTCACCACTGCTTCTCAACATTGTTCTGGAAGTCCTAGTTAATGCAATAGAAAAAGGAAATAAAAGTTACACTAATTGGGAAAGAAGAAATAAAATTGTCTTTGTTTACAGATGACATGATTGTCTATGGAGAAAGTCCAAAAAAATCAACAGAAAAACTTCTGGAACTAATAAGCAATAACAGCAAGTTTACAAGACAGAAGGCTAATGTACAAAAGTCAATCACTTTCTTACAATATAACAGCAATGAACAAGTAAAATTTAAAATGTAAAACACATTACCATAAAAATGAAATACTTAGGTATAAGTGTAACAAAACATATGCAAGATCCGTATGAGGAAAAGTACAAAACTCTAATGAAAGATAACAAAGAAGAACAAAACAAATGAAGAGATATTCCATGTTTATGATTAAGAAGACTCGCCGGGCGCAGTGGCTCACGCCTGTAATCTCAGCACTTTGGGAGGCCGAGGCGGGTGGATAACCTGAGGTCAGGAGTTCAAGACCAGCCTGACAAACATGGAGAAACCCTGTCTCTACTAAAAATAGAAAATTAGCCCGGCATGGTGGCACATGCCTATAATCCCAGCTACTCAGGAGGCTGAGGCAGGAGAATCGCTCGAACCTGGGAGGTGGAGGTTGTGGTGGCGCCACTGCACTCCAGCCTGGGCAACAAGAGCAAAACTCTGTCTCAAAAGAAAAGAAGACTCAATGTCATTTAGATGTCAGCTTTTCTCAACTTGATCTATAGATTCAACACAATCCCAATCAAAATCTCAGCAAATTATTTTGGGAATGATAAACTGAGTCTAAAGTTACATGGAGAGACAAAAGACCCAGAATAGCCAATTCAATATTGAAGAAAGACAAAGTCAGAGGGTTGACACTACTCGAATTCAAGACTTACCAGAAGGCTACAATAATCAAGACAGTGTGGCATTGGTGAAAGAACAGACAAATAGATCAATGGAACAGAACAGAGATCCCAGAAATAAGCCCACATAAATATAGTCAACTGATCTTTGACAAAGGAGCAAAGGCAATACAATGGAGCAAAGATAGGCTTTTCAACAAATGGTACTGGAACAACTGGACATCGACATGAAAAAAAAATCAATCTACATACAGACCTTACATCCATCACAAAAATTAACTCAAAATGGTTTACAGACCTAAATGTAAAGTACAAAACTATATAACTCCTAGAAGATAACACAGAAAATTTAGATGGCCTTGAGTATGGTGATGACTTTTTAGATCAACACTAAAGGCATGATCTACAAAAAAATAAAAAGTAAAATACAGTAGTCCCCCCTTATCCTTGGGAAATATGTTCTAAGATCCCCAGTGGATGCCTGATACTGAACCCTCTATGTGCTTTTTTCCTACACATATGATAATGTTTTATAAACTTTATAAATTTATAAATTAGACACAGTAAGACATTAACAATAATAAAATAGAGCAATTATAACAAAATTCTATAATAAAAGTTATATGAATGTGTTCTCTCACACACTCACATATGCACACACACAGACATACATGCACACAAAATATTTTTATTTTTTATTTTTATTTTAATATTTTCAGACTGCAGCTGACCATGGATAACCAAAACTGTGGAAAGTGAAACTGTGATAAGGGGAGACTACTATAATTGATCAGCTGGAGTTCACTGAAATTTAAAACTTCTGCTCTGTGAAAAGACAAGCCATAGAAAGAAGGTATTTGCCAAAGGCATGCCTGACAAAGGACTGTTATCCAAAATATACAAAGAAGTCTTAAAACTCAACAATAAGAAATTGAACAATCTGATTTTAACATGAGCAAAAGACCTGTATATCATCAGAGAAGATATACAGATGGCAAGTAAGCATGTGAAGAGATGTTCAACATCATATGTCATTAGGGAACTGCAAATTAAGACAATGAGACACCACCACACAGCTATGAGAATGGCCAAAATTCAAAACACTGACAGCACCAAATACTGGAGAAAATGTGGCACAAGAGGAACTCTCATTCAATGCTGCTGGAAATGCACAATGGTACAACCACTTTGGAAGATATCTTGCTACCTTCCTGCAAAACTAAACATATTCTTATGATCCAGTAATCACTTCCTTTGGTATTTACCAAAATGAACTGAAAACATAAAACCACACAAAAAATTGCACGCAGAAGTCTAGAGAAGCCTTATTAACAACAGCCAAAACTTGGAAGCAACTAAGACGTCCTTCAGTAGGTGAATGGGTAAATAAACTGTGGTGTTCCCAGACAATAGAATATTATTCAGCACTAAAAAGAAATGAGCTATCAAGCCATGGAAAGGCATGGAAGAAATATAAATGTATATTACTAAGTGAAAGAAACCAACCTGAAACAGCTAAGTACTGTCTGGTTCCAATTACATAATAGTCTGGAAAAGGCAAAACTATGGAGACAAGAAAAAGATCTGTGGTTTCCAGGGGATTGGAGGAGGGAAGAATGAATACACACAGCACAATTTTTAGTGTAGTGAAACTATGCTGTGTAATACTACAATGGTAGATACACGTCATTATACATTTGTCCAAAGCCATAAAATGTACAACACTGGGAATGAATGATACTGTAAACTATGGACTTTGAGTGACTGTGTGTCAATGTAAGTTCATTGGTTGTAAAAAATGATCCACTGTGGTGCAGGATGCTGACAGTGAAGGAGGTTGTGTGTATGTGGGGACAGGAGTTATATGGAACTCTCTGTACTTTCTCCTCAAATCTGCTATGAACCTACAACTGCCATAGTTTTTACATTTAAATACATATATTTAAATATATATGAATTTAAATACATATATTTAAATATATATGCATTTAAATACATATATTTAAATATATATATGCAGATCTAATCCAGAAATATGCAAGGTGAATAATAACTGTGACTGATCATAGTTTATTCCTGGAATGCAAAGTTGGTTTAACAACCACAAACTAACTTATACAACTTAATAATTTAAAAAAATGATCAAAAGAGTTGGCACTTGAGTTTTGCCTCACATGAATGGACCAAAAGCTACACATATAATGCCCAAGAAACATTCATCAAATCTCTGAAGGATGACATCATGTTAGCCTTCAAACTGTCTTCCATACATGATGTCTCAAATATTATATGTTTTCACATCCAGTACTCAAGCAAAGGTAACTGGGCACACAAAGAGATAAGATATCACCTGTTAGCAAAAACTAGCAGAAATAATATTTGATATAAGCAGACCTATAGGAGTTCCAGATGCTGGAATTTCCAGACATATGAAACAGCTTTACTTACTATATTCAAGGAGATAAAGGCCAAGCTTGAAATTTCAGCAGGGAACAGTAAACTGTAAAAAGTGATACAGCAGATTTGAAAAAGAACCAGCTAGGAACACAAGAATTAAAAACACACAAAATTGACATTAAGAACTCAATGTATGGAGCCAATGTATTCTTAACACATTCTCTAGGTAGTTCTAATCATCCAATGTGTTTGCAAATCAGAATAGATTATTATTTAAAAAATCTTAATAAACTTGTCCTCAAACCCACTGTTTTTTATAACCTTTTTAAGATTTTTTGTTTAATTTACATATAATAATTTTACATACTTATGGGATACATAGTGATGTTTTGATACATATAATGTATTGTGATCAGACCAGGGTAATTACCATAGCCATCATCTCAAACATGTATCATTTCTTTGTGTTGGGAATATTCAATATCCTCCTTCTTGCTATTTAAAACTGTATATTATTGGTAACTATGGTCATTCAACAGTGGTATGAAACACTAGAACTTATTCCTTCTATCTAGCTATAATTTTTTATCCTTTAACAAATCTCTCCCTAACATGCACTCCCCACCACCACCTTCCTCCTACCCTTTCCAGCCTTTAGTATCCTCTGTTCTATTTTTTACTCCTATGAGATCAACTTTCTTTTTTGGGTCCTACATGTAAGTGAGAACTTGTGGTGTTTAACTTTCCATTTCTGGCTTATTTCACTTAACATAATGTCCTCCAGTTCCACTCATGTTGCCACAAATGACAAGATTTCATTCTTTTTTATGGCTGAATAGTATATGCTTGTGTATATATACCATATTTTCTTTACCCATTCATCTGTTGTTGGGATACCTAGGCTGATTCCATATCTTGGCTATTGTGAATAGTTCTGCAATAAACATGGGGTTGCATATGTCTCCTTGATATACTGATTTCCTTTTGTATGGATAAATGTCCAGTAGCGGGATTGCTCGATCGTTACTGTTTTCTAATTCAGCTCCTATAATCCCTCCAGAATTATTTTTCTAATACATAAATTTGATATCTCAGTACCTCATTTAAAAGTATTTTAGATAAAACCCAATTCTCTAGCCTCGTGGCTAATGAGCCTTCACCATCTACCCTGTATCTTTGATATACTGTCCTATTAGCTAAACAGATCCTATTCATTCCTGTTTGCTTTTTCAATTTCCTCTATCTAGAATGGCTTTCCCCATCTTGTCTGCCTGCTTAATTCCTACTAATACACTTAGGAACACAATTTGCATGTCATCTCTGAGAAAAATAAATCACTCTTTCAACTGTACTCTCATACCCTGTCACAACTCCACTAAAGCACTTAAAACACAATATTATAGTTACATATGAAATTCTCTTCTACCCCTTGTCCCCTGCAGTTATACTGAAATAACTCAAAGGCTAGGATGTAGATATAGATATAGATATATGCACCAAGAACCTAAATTATACCTATTGCATTATACATAGTATTTTTTGAATAAAGAATTCATGGAAATAAGCCAGAAAATCTTAAGAAATCTAAGATCAATTCAAGAATTCTGTCCTTCAAGTTCTGCTATAGAAAAAGCCTAGAGTTTGCTAATATCAGGTCACACATTGAATTGGCAGCAGAATGGTATTCTACCACACTTTGATGCCTTGCGTTTTGTAGCGAAAGCGATTTACCAAAGAAGTGTACCAGGATGGAAATATGTGAAAAGATCAGACTGGATTCAAAGGGAGGGTGGCAAGAATCTTTGAATAGCTGCCTAAATAAATAAAATATGGGGACTGACAAGAAGAAAGAACAGTAGCATAGAAGCTTCTCCTTCAAAGACAAGGAGAGAGCCAAAATTGCCTGATATATACCCTGATATATCCATTAACTGACTTGACTTTGAGTTTCAATGGACAGTAGGAACACTCCCCTTAAAGGGGTTAGTGTTAAACCACATTAGTGAGTAAATCCTTCTATTTCTATATGCTGTGAACAATTTATAGAGAGCCAGAATAATGTTTCAGAAGCAGAAAAACTCCCCACCTCTACTATCTCAAGACCATGTCTGCCCAAGATAGAGTCTCTTACACAACTTGATCTAAGAGCTGAGGAAACCATTATGCTTGGGATAGACAGGGTTTAGCTGATTATGATGTCTTTATAGATTATAAATTTTATTCCAGATCTATGAATTAGGAGACAAAAAACCCATCCTATATTTCAAGCTCAATTGCAGTCTCGGGGCAAAGCATTTCATCACTTTCTGGCATATAAGAGTACCGTAGTAAACTTCATTTTTGCAAAGTTACCAGCACAATCTTGTTTGTTTAGTCTGAAGCCTGCTATAATATACAAGTCTGAGATAAAGACAGGATGAATACAACTTTTAATATAATGTTGATAAGCAAAACAGTATTCCTGTAATCAAATATAGATATTCAGAGTATTTTCAAACATAACCCTTTCCAAGTCTCTGTTTCTGATAAAATGAAAAAACGTCCCCTCAAATTCTACCGTTTAATTTGTGAAAACTTATCTTTATTCTTTTAATTTTCTTTAATAATTTAGGCTTCTCTCTTGAGGATCATACTTCTCCCTTCTCCCAGAAGCATAGGCCCAGAAATATTACTAGTACCTCTCCAATCTTTAGACCACACAAATTATTTTTTATGAAATCCATTTATACACAGAAATGCATAATAATTTATCAACCATCAATAAAGAACACACACGCAACTAGAAGTGTAGTTATTCACTACCTTTTCAAGGTGATAACAGATGAGGTAAATAAAGGTGAAAACAAAACATGCAAGAGTGTAACAATTTTTTAAACTTTTCGGGCCAGGCATGGTGGCACATGCCTGTAATCCCAACACTTTGGGAGGCCTAGGCAGGAGGATAACTTAAGCCCAGGAGTTCAAGACCAGCCTGGGAAACACAGTGAGACCCTGTCTCTACTAAAAATATAAAAAAATTAGCCAGGCATGGTGGCATGCACCTGTAGTCTCAGCTACCAGGGAGGCTAAGGTGGGAGGATCGTTTGAACCCAGGAGGTCAAGGTTGCAGTGAGCCATGATTGTGCCACTGCATTCTAGCCTGGGCAACAGAGTGAGATCCTGTCTCAAAAACAAAATTTTTAAAGAATAACTTCTGAACACAGTCCAGTCCCCCTACAATTTAACATCAGTGAAATAATTGTTTTGTTTTTGCAGTAATCAAATTTTACAGCAAGAATATCTATATTTAAGCATAATTAAAACCAATAAACTTTTCAAATACTCTATTACACATACCAATAAAATCAGAAACCAGAAAATTAAGCCCCAACATGTTCTAAGTGTTATGTATTTAACATTTAACTACTGCTCACAAAACACATGTATGCTAGTCCTTTCCATAATGTTGTTCCTGCAGTAAAAAATTTCAAAAGCAAAGCCTTAACTGAGGAAAGTGATCTATTCTACTTTTAGACAATTTGAAACTCTCTGATTAAGAAATCAGTATCTTACAACTTTTTTCCTTGCCTGTCAAAATTTATGTGAAACTGATTCAACCACTCAACTTAAACTTTACCAGAAAATGGCATGTGTATTGATGAAAAACTTGATCATCTAAGCACTACAATTTCGTTTTCACATTAAAGATGCCAATATAAAAGCAGTGCCTAGCAAAAAAAGGTAAGTTTCACTGAGAGATTATCAGTTTGACATAAATATGCATAAATAGTGCATATTCAATCTAGTATGCAATTGTATCATAATTACATATAACATGGTTCATTTGAAATCATTCTCACTTGCAGTTTCGAGTTCCTAAGACAAACCATGTAGCTATTCCAACTTTACCTACTAATTTAGAAAAAAAAACAAAAAACTCAGGTCAACTGAACTACGATATAACTGAAATACTATTTATAATTAACAGATTCAATTTTTAACACGGCTCACCAACTGGTTCAAAAGGCCACAAGCGGAATTTCACATCTGCAAGAGAACACATGTGATAATCCTCAAAAAGTAATACTAGGAATGTTCTTGTGATTTTGGAATTGATTATCAAGTTAACTTCAGTCAGTTTGATTTTGCTATAATCCTAAAACGTTTTTTATGTTTCTTTACTGTTAACATGGAAAGCACTAAAATTGATTAGACTTGTAATAAAAGTTACTGCAGGAATAAAAAGTTTTAAAATATTTAACAGATTCTTTCACTTATGAACCCAAATATCTCTGAAAAGATACAGGTACAAAACATGTAAAGTTAAATTGTATATAGATGTGTGTGTGTGTATATATATACACATCTATATAATTAAATATGGTGACATTTCATTCTTGAAATAGAAAAAAACATATAATTCCACATATGCAAAATATATACATGTAAAAATAATTACGTGTTTTTTCCACACAAAAAAATGAATTTTAAAAGGCCTAAAAATGTGAAAGGAAAGTGAACTGAGATATATCATTCTATGTTTTATATTTTATAAAGAGAATATAATCATGTGTTATTTGTGTCACTAATAATACATAAAAAAGGTTTTTTTTTTTTTTTTTTTGAAACAGCTCAGGCTAGAGTGCAGTGGCACGACCTCGGCTCACTGCAACCTCTACCTCCCAGGTTCAAGTGATTCTTCTGCCTCAGCCTCCCAAGTAGATGAGATTACAGGTAAGCACCACTATGGCCATTAATTCTTTTGTGTTTTTAGTAGAAATGTGGTTGGCCAGGCTAGTCTGGAACTCCTGACCTCAAGTGATCCACCTGCCTCAGCCTCCCAAAGTGCTGGGATTGTAGATGTGAGCCACCGCACCCAGCAAAAACTTTGTAAATTAAATCTTTTCTTCTTTACTTAGTGTGTAATCTTACAGATGTCTTTCCATTAAAGAAATGTTTGGTTTAATAACATATTTAAAAATATGGCAACTCTGCAGGACACAGTGGTGTGCGCCTGTAGTGCCCTGTACTCAGGAGGCTAAGACGGGAAGATTGCTTGAGCCCAGGAGTTTGAGGCCAGCCTGGGCAACATAGTGAGCCCCACATTCCAAAAAAAAATTTTTTTTCAAAAAATGTTTTAAAAGAATCAACAACTTCTTTCTGAAGACCTGCTTTAAAAAGTTATTAGCCAATGAAATACTACTACTCTAATCTCCTAATAAATCTTACTGCTTTACCATTCAAAAAGCAAGTGAGGCATCATTTCTCCAAGCAGTTTTTCACACCTAAATTACCAGCTACCTCTTCATTTCCTAAAGCCTTAACAGCTTAAGAACCTATCCCAAAACATGACAGAAGTGTCCTAACATTCTTCATGGCTTTACTGATACTATATTCACTTTCGGTTTCTGATTCCAAACGTAATAACATCTATCTGAAAGCATACATGGTAAAGGAACTCAGATACAGTTTTATATTCATAATCTTCTAGAGAATTCAAAAATCAGTGCTATGAAAAAATGTTTCTAAGTTAAAACAGAGACATAAAATTGTAAATTTACCATTACTATAAAAAGAAAATCATGCCCACTTTGAAAAATGAGAATTGCAGGGAAGAGGACAGCAAAATTAGACAAATAGGGAGTAGAGGACACACATTGAAGCAGAGATAGTAGAAAGCAAGAGGTAGAAACATGTTCCATCACATGGTAAAAGTAATACTTTTTTTTTTTTTTGAGACAGTTTTAATCTTGTCACCCAGGCTGGAGTGCAAGGGCACGACCTTGGCTCACTACGACCTCTGCCTCCCAGGCTCAAGTGATTCTCCTGCCTCAGCCTTCCGAGCAGCTGGAATTATAGGCACCTGCCACCACACCTAGCTAATTTTTGTATTTTTAGTAGAGACCAGGTTTCACCATGTTGGCCAGACGGGTCTCGAACTCCTGACCTCAGGTGACACACCAGCCTCAGCCTCCCAAAGTGCTAGAATTAAAGGTGTGAGCCACCGCACCCAGCTGATACATATTTTGAAGATGGAAAAAGGTCAGAAGAAAAATGACTTGACTATACATAATGCCTCCCAGAGAACAAACATAACCACAAAAAGGGCACTAAAACATATACTAATAGCTGTGACATAGCTGGAAAGTTCGAAAACTAAAATAAGTGGCGCAGAGAAATAATCGTCAGTTAAAGGATCAGAGAAGGGGCCGCAGAGGCAGAGGCAGCAACTACATTTCAACTCTACCCCTTCTTCTCAAATGAAAAAGAGCTGTTCTTTTCCTGACCACTCATGAAGTTCTATTGCTGTTGTTGCTGTTTTTTGAGACGTATTCTCGCTCTTTTGCCAGGCTGGAGTGCAGTGGCACAACGTCGGCTCACTGCAACCTCCGCCTCCCGGGTTCAAGTGACTCTCCTGCCTCAGCCTCCCAAGTAGCTGGGACTACAGGCACGTGCTACCACGCCCAGCTAATTTTTATATTTTTAGTAGAGACGGGGTTTCACCATGTTGGTCAGGATGGTCTCAATCTCCTGACCTCGTGATCTGCCCGCCACAGCCTCCCAAAGTGCTGGGATTACAGGCTTGAGCCACCGCTCCCGGCCCACTCATCAAGTTTTTATACCACATATATAAAAAAGGGAATGTGAGGGGCCGGGCGCGGTGGCTCACGCCTGTAATCCCAGCACTTTGGGAGGCTGAGGCGGGCGGATCACGAGGTCAGGAGATTGAGACCATCCTGGCTAACACGGTGAAACCCCGTCTCTACTAAAAATACAAAAAAATTAGCCAGGCGTGGCGGCGGGCGCCTGTAGTCCCAGCTACTTGGGAGGCTGAGGCAGGAGAACGGCGTGAACTCGGGTGGCGGAGATTGCAGTGAGCCGAGATCGTGCCACTGCACTGCAGCCTGGGCGACAGAGCAAGACTCCGTCTCAAAAAAAAAAAAAAAAGAGAATGTGAGGTCTTGGCTTTCCGAAATGAAAATAGCAGATTAAAGGTATACAGCGTATCAGCAAAGATAATTATCCAACCAGTAATTTATTCAGAGACTTATGGTAAGAAAATATCATAGAACATTAGTTTATATAAAGATATAAAAATGTATGTGCATGCATATTTAAACTACCATAAAAATCAAAAATACCTGTATAAACCTTCAGTAGCAAGACCACCGTTTTGCCTCTAGAGGGCGAACTTGGTCTTCTGAAACATTCTAGACGAGAGACGTTACTTTCAGACTTTACCAAAAGAAAAAAAAAGGAGCTAAAACTTAAGATGTCACAATAGCAGAGGTTCCCAACCTTTCTTGGTCAATGCCTTTAGTGTCTCTGATTTTTTTCACAGTAACTCTTAAGCCAAAAGAAATACCTAATGATTCTGTTTAATAAGTAGCTATGTCCAAACAATTTAATAAGGATATATTTCCTAACACTTAGTAACTGCTAAAAAAAAAAAATACACATAAATTGAAAAAAGAAATATGTTTTCTTTCATTCTTTTTTTTTTTTTTTCTTGAGATGGAGTCTTGCTCTGTCACCCAGGCTGAAGTGCAGTGGCATGATCTTGGCTCACTGCAACCTCCACCTTCCAGGTTCAAGCGATTCTCCTGTCTCATCCCCCAAGTAGCTGGGACTATAAGCATGCACCACCATGCCTGGCTAATTTTTTGTATTTTTGGTAGAGACAGGGTTTCACCATGTTGGCCAAGCTGCTCTTGAACTCCTGACCTCAAGTGATTTGCCTGCTTCTGCCTTCCAAAGTTCTGGGATTACAGGCGTGAGCCACTATACTCGGCCTCATTCTTAAATAACCGCAATTAATTACCAATTTGGGCATGTGTGGCTTTGTGCATTGTATACAATTTCTCAAACCTTAAAATCAGATTAGACATAACCCTCATTTCCAGTCCCACGCTGACTTTTTTACAGTATCTGGTTTTTATCACAGCAACCTCAGAAAAAACAGATTCACAAAGATATGATGCCACAGAAAAGTATGTAGTAGCACTTAATGTTGGAACTGTGTACTGCTTCTAATTACCAGTCTCCACCATATCCAACTGATGTGGAATATCACTGTTTGCCTCAAAAAATTTAAATATCCCACAGTACCCCAGTGTGTTAAGTGCAGCACACCAGAGTGTCTGAGCACATGGCTTGGGGATCACAGCACACAGTTTTAAGTACCAATAGATAAACTATTCACTATTTTCATCACTTGTAAAGAAAATTAACTACAAGCCAGGTGTGGTGGCACATACCTGTAGTCCCAGCTTCTCAGGAAGCTGAGGCAGGAGCATCATCATTTAAGCCCAGGAGTTTGAAGACAGCCTGGGCAACATAGCAATACCAAGTCTCTTGAAAAAAGAAATTAAGTTAGTTTACAGGGAGAGGAGGAGGCACATGGTCTAACTACTGACTAGCTACATAGTTCAGGCAAATCCTTCAAAAGGGAAAGGGAGGGGCTGCTTAGAAAGACGGCAATCTCAGCAACTTCTGTTTGTCTTATGCTTCTCTCAGGGACAAACATGCAGTCCTCTAGTGCCGTGCATGTACATTCTATGGGGGTGAACATCTTGGTTCTGGTTAAACAGCTAGTGCTTTTGACAGCTGTGCCAGGAAGGGTTAGGACCAACTACAAAAGAATATGGGTTCTAAAAGCATAGTGTGTGTCCCTAACTTTGTTTTTCCTGAGGAAAAAAATAAACCTTTTATTCAAATGCAAAAAGAAGAAAAAAAGAATTAACTACAATAATGTTTTTAAAGATCTAAAATTATTTTCTCATATTACTTGGAAAACCAGTTTTTCTTCTGAGCAATAAAAGGAACACTATTAAATCTTTAAAGGAAGATATCTTTTCCAATTTGAATGATGATTATTGCCTTCATGTGATTGTTTTTATAAATGCTAGCTGTGTTAAATTTGGTAAACTACAATTGGGAAGGATAAAAATAGGAAATGTACTATATGTCTTCTTCTGAGCAATAACTTCTCTGAACTTTAAAACACTGCAGATTGATCCAGTCTCACTGCTTTCCATTCTCACTTATCTAGTACTGAAGAGCCAAAGTTCAGAAGTCAAATAAGATCAGAAAGTCTTAAGAACTCAAGAATACAGATGTTAACAGAGATATCAGAAGAAATAGCTTCTAAATTACTAGAAACAGATTGTGTACCAACTCTTCTCATTTACAAAGTCCTTGGTTTAGAGAGGACACCAGAAAAGTGACAAAGGAAGGAGTTCAACCTCATAATCTACTCAGTTTTTGCTTTTTAATATTTCATCAGTTCACAACTACCAATATTCAGAACATCTGTGCCACTGACAAATGCTACCAACTTCAACTGGAAGTCAAACAGTATGTGGTGAGAGTGATTAGCTAAGTTTTTAAAAAATCTATTCAAGGAATAACTGGTTAAAAAAAAAAGTCTACGTTCTATTTGAAGAATTTTCACAATTATAAAAGATAACAGAAAATATATGACCTGTTTTTCTAGAAAATTTAGCAGGTCCCTATAAATACTTATAATCCCAAAAGTCTGTATCTAGAAAAATAAGAATAAAAATAGAATATGGTTAGTTTAAAAAAAAAAAAAAAAAGAAGAAGAAGAAGAAGAATGCTTGAAAAGCTAGGGTAAACTACATGGCTATGTCAGTACTTACCTGCTGAATGATTTTGGATGTTTTCTGAAGATTCTCTCTAGGAGGGACTTTACCAAATAATTTCCAACCAGGAGCACTATGGACAACTGATTTGAGTTCCTTTGTCCTTTTTGGAAAAAGGTTTCTGAAACACAGAAAAGTTACATGAATTGTGTTTTTTGTAACCAGAGAGCTATTTAACAGTAATTTTATAATAAGTTTGTTCCCAAGGCAAAAACAAAAATACTTTTAAATAAAACTATTTCTACTACTTATACCACTATTACTTAGAATAATAAGGCTCAATTAAGAATATGTAGCTTAATACCTAATGCATGCAGGGATTAAAACCTAGATAACAGGTTGATAGGGGCAGCAAACCACCATGGCACACGTATACCTGTGTAACAAACCTGCACATTCTGCACCTGTGTCCCAGAACTTAAAGTAAAATACAGACTATCTGGCTTATATAGAGGTATTAGAAGAATCATCAACAGAAATAATAAAAAGATAAACAAATTGGAAGGAAAATGATAGCCATAAATAAGATGCAAACATTTGTCTAAATCAGCTACAAAGTATACTAGAATTGACTGTACATGTACTTAACAATAAGAGCCAAAATTCTGAAAACAAAAACATTTAAAAGAATCTATATAACAGTTAAAGGATTAAGTAATACAATATTTGGATAAATATTATTTACAGTAATAATTTGTTATTTATAATAAAATTATATCTACTAATCCCCTATTGCTATAATATATATACATAACCTGTCTTTCCTAGGCCAGCTATGTACAAGAAAGCTTACTACAAAAGAGTCAATATATAACCAAGGAAGAAAGTATCTCTCACTGAAAAATCTAGAAAAAAAAAAACAAAACCCAGGACAGGTGCGATGGCTCACACCTGTAATCCCAGCACTTTGGGAGGTTGAGGCGGGCGGATCACGAGGTCAGCAGCTCAAGACTAGCCCGACCAACATGGTGAAACCCTGTCTCTACTAAAAATACAAAAATTAGCCAAGCGTGGTGGTGGGCACCTGTAATTCCAGCTACTCGGGAAGCTGAGGCAGGAGAATCGCTTGAACCCTAGAGGCGGAGGTTGCAGTGAGCCGAGACCGCCTCATTGCACTCCGCGTCATTGTGCACCCTGCACAAGTATTAAGGATTTTACCTATTATCTCCATGCCCTAACCAACCAAATTAAGTACCTATTTTTTTATGTAAGCAGGGATGATACTCAACATATGTACCCATCAAAACAACATGACCAGGGCCCAATGAACCAATTAGGAAGGTACTGATGAATTCAACTCAATATAAACCCTTTGCATAAGCTATAAGTGAACAGTAAGAAAATTCTTAATTCACACATATGATTAATTACAAACAGTTCCAAATTGAAGTCCCAAATAATTAGATTTATCTATACTCAAAATGCCGTATCAATATATCTTAAAAGTGCAGATTAGTGATAATAGAAAATAAGTTTTTAATGAAAAATGTTAAGGGACTCCTACAAAAGAATGCAGGCTAATCAATAATAAAGAAAAGAAATGGCCAGGCATAGTGGCTCATGCCTGTAATCCCAACACTGGGAGGCCAAAGCAAAAGGATCACTTGAGCCCAGGAGTTTGAGAACAGCCTGGGCAATGTAGTGAGACCCTGTTTCTACAAAAAATAAAAATTAAAAAAAATAGCCAGGCATGGTGGTGCACACCTTGTAGTCCCTGCTACTTGGGAGGCTAGGGTGGGACAATCACTTGGGCCCAGGAGTTAAGGATGCAGTGAGCTATGATACTGCCACTATACTGCAGCCTGGGCAACAGAGCAAGACCCTGCCTCCAAAAAAAAAAAGAAAGGAAAAGGAAATAAACACTCTTATTTCCTCAGGTGTATAACAGAAATAAACATATGACACTAGAGTAATTTCTACTTTAAGATACTCTGGAGGTTTCACCTCAGAGACCATGTACAGTGACTTAATTCTCTACTTCATAAGATCACTAAATAGGTGAACGTTTTCAATAATGAATATGCTGAGGACTAGGAATACTTCTAAGAAAAAAATTTGAAGCCTCAAAGGATGGTCTATTAATTTAAACAATGTTTGATACGTTGTGTACCACTTATCAAGAAAACACTTTGTAGCTGATTTAAACAAATGTCTACATCTTATTTATGGCTATCATTTTCCTTCCAATTTGTTTATCTTTTTATTATTTCTGTTGATGATTCTTCTAATACCTCTTAACTCCAAATTCACCTTTATGCTCTAAGATAACAGAAAAAATTCCTTTAATCATTTCTCCTTTAAAACAAACATGAAATTATTAAGCTTTCTGGGTAGAGGGCACCAAAGGGACACTGAAGGAGAAAGGGGCTCTCCTGTGGTTTCCAGCTGCTGCAGAGTGGATCGGGTAGAAGTGTGAGGACATCCAGTAAAATTCTGCTTAGCTCGATGCCCAGACTGCAGCCCCTCAGCAAACCTGCAGCCTTGCTGAACCTGCAGCCTCAACCTGGAGATGGCGTTCCTGCAGCCTGCTCAACAAAAAAATTGACTCCACCAAAGGCTTCCTGCCAGCAACAGTGTGCCAATTTCCTCTGCAAGCCCCACACAGGCCAGACAGTTCTCATCAAGTCATATTCCCTCTACAATTCCTACGTGACCTGCCTGCACCCTAAAGGTTTCCTATCTACCCACACAAATAAACACAAGAAAAAATCTTTGTCACCATGGTTTAAGAAAATAATTATTGGATATGACACAAAAACATGATCTACAAAAGAAAAAGTTGATGAACTGGGCTTAACTAAATTTAAAACATTTGAACTTCAAAAGACATCATGGATGCAAAATGACAGAATAGAAAGATCTAGGGGTCAGTCTCCCCACCAAAGTAAAAGTTGAGCTAGAAAGAGTAACTGGAGCGGGGCATGGTGGCTCACATCTGTAATCCTAGCACTTTGGGAGGCTGAGGCGGGTGGATCACCTGAGGTCAGGAGTTCGAGACCAGCCTGGGCAACATGGCGAAACCCTGTCTCCACTAAAAATACAAAAATTAGCCAGGCATGGTGGCGCAAACCTGTAATCCCAGCTACTCAGGAGGCTGAGACAGGTGAATTGCTTGAACCCAGGAGGCGGAGGTTGCAGTGAGCTGAGATCGCACCACTGTACTCCAGCCTGGGAGACAGAGCAAGACTCTGTCTCAAAAAAAGTAAGAGTTAAAAAAAAAAACTAAGAGTAACTGGAATCAAGTACTTTAGTAGAACTCTAGGAACTGACCAAACCCTTTTAACAACCAGGGGAGTGCTTGATGAAGGAAGAGGCTACCGATCTTTCATAAGTATGAATAAGCAGCATGCATAAACCAATTACCTTCCCCTATTCCTCACAACCACCACCACCACACCCACCACCTCTTGTGGCAGTGGGGATAGCAGCCCATGTTCCTGGAGTTGCTAACCGGTGCCAGGAGGGACAGTAGGGATCATGTCCTTCAAAATTTAGGGTTGTACATTTTGGTTGGTCTGGCCCTAAGGGAGTGATGCAGGCACATGCATCAGTTTCACTACTCTCCACAGCAGTGGCTTTCACTGTAAGTATTATTAGAACAATAAAAAAGGTAAAACCTTTTTGATCTCCTTTTTTGGAGCCAGATATCTAAGAAAATCTTTGTCAGGTCACCAGCTAGCCACAGAGACAACAGAACAAAAACTTGTGACCATACACAATATGGAATACATACTTTGTGAAAATAGCTTGTAAAGTCACAAACAGGTGGCTTCAGCCCTCAACAAGCAAAAAACAGCAATCACTGAGGAGTGGGAGAAACAGATTTATAGTTACCATACTATAATACTCAGAGTATCCAGTTGTCAACAACAAAAAATTACAAAACATACCAAGAAACGGGAAAGTATGGCCCATTCCCTAGAAAAAGGAATTTGACAAAAATCTTCCCTGAGGAAGCCCAAAGTAATTACTAGTCAAAGACATTAAGTCAATTTCATAAAAAAAAAAAAAAAAAAAAAAAAAAAGCTCCAGGAGATTGAAAAAGAAAAAAACCCATGGACAAAGAACGAAAGGTAATAAAGGAGGATAAAGGGGGAAAATGTATGAACAAAATGAGAATACCAGTAAAGGCAGAAATTATAATAAGCAACACAACAAATTCTGGAGCTGAAAAACAACTAAAATAAAAAATTCACCAGATGTACTCAACAGCAAATTTGAGCAGGCAGAAGAAAGAGCTGGCAAATATGATGATAAGAAAATTGAAACTGTCCACTCTCAGTAGTAGAAAGAAAAAAGAATGAAGAAAAAGGAACAGAGCCTGAGGGGCCTGTGAGACATTACTAAGTGTACCAACTACGTACCATAAAAGACCAAGGAGAAGGGAAAGACAAAGAGGCAGAAAAAATACGTGAAGAAATAACTCACTTTGGGAGGCCAAGGCAAGTGGATCACAAAGTCAGGAAATCGAGACCTTCCTGGCTAACATGGTGAAACCCCATCTCTACTAAAAATACAAAAAATTAGCCAGGCATGGTGGCGGGCGCCTGTAGTCTCAGCTACTCCGGAGGGCTGAGGCAGAAGAATGGTGTGAACCCAGGAGGCGGAGCTCGCAGTGAGCCAAGATTGTACCACTGCACTCCAGCCTGGGTGACACAGCGAGACTCTGTCTCAAAAAAAAAAAGAAAATAACCAAAAACTTCCCAAATCTGAGGAAAGACATAATCTACACATCCAAGAAACTCAACAACTTTAAGCAGAATAAACTCAAGGAGGTTCACACTGAGATACATTATAGTCAAACTGCTGAAACTCAAAGACAATTTTGAAAACAATAAGTGAGAGGTACCATCAAAACCAGAGATCCTCAATAAGATTAACAGCTTATTTCTCTTCAGAAACCATGGAGGCCAGAAGTAAGATTACATATTTAAAGGTCAGAAAGGAAAAAAAAAAATTGTCCACCAAAAATTCCATATCCAACAAAACTATCCTTCAAGAATGAAGGAGAGGCCGGGCATGATGGCTCATGCCTGTAATCCCAGCACTTTGGGAGGCCAAGGCAGGTAGATCACGAGGTCAAGAGATAGAGACCATCCTGGCCAACATGGTGAAATCCCGTCTCTACTAAAAATACAAAAATTAGCTGTGCGTGGTGGTGCGCGCCTGTAGTCCCAGCTACTCGGGAGGCTAAAAAGCATTAAAGCATTAAAAAAAAAAAAGATTTTTTTCTTTTTTTAAAAAAAGCAATTTTGACTTTGTATCATCAATGACAGCTGGAAATTTTTTAAAATCTAAAGAGATATAATAGCAAGAAAATACAAGGTATGTGAGAAGAAATCTAGCCAAAGTTTTATAAAAATTTATAGAGAGAATGAAATGATACATTATTGAACCACATTAAAGAAAACCTCATTAAATAGAAAGATAGTTCACATTTATAGAAAGGAAAACACTATCATAAAAATATCAATTCTCCCCAAACTTATCTATCAATTTCATCCAATTCCCATCAGAAACCCAACAAGATTTTTTAGGAACTTGAAGGAAACTCAAAAATTTATGTTAAAGAATAAAGGACCTGGGCGGGCACAGTGGTTCACACCTGTAATCCCAGCACTTTGGGAGGCTGAGGCAGGTGGATCATGAGGTCAAGAGATCGAGACCATCATGGCCAACATGGTGAAACCCCATCTCTACTAAAAATACAAAAATTAGCTGGGCGTGGTGGCGCGCGCCTGTAGTCACAGCTACTTGGGAGGCTGAGGCAGGAGAATCAACTGAACCCAGGAGGCGGAGGTGCAGTGAGCTGAGATTGCATCACTGCACTCCAGCTAGCAAAAAAGTGAGACTCCATCTCAAAAAAAAAAAAGGAATAAAGGACCCAAAATAAGATATTTTCAAGAAGAAAAAAGGCAAGGCTGAGTTGCCCTAACAGATATCCAAATTTACCATAACATTACAGTTTTTAACAACATATGGTATTGACCCAGGGATAAAGAAATTAATCAATGGAGAAAGAATAAACAACTCAGAAACATACCCAAGCATAAATGGAAACACAGGTGGCACTGCAGATCAACGAGGAAAGATTGTGTAATAAATAGTATCGGGACCTCCGGCTAGCAATGTGAAAGAAAATAAATTGGATTCCTACCACATACCACAGTCAGTTCCCAATGTATCAAACAGTTATACACGAAAGGCAAACTTTTGAAAGCTTTAGAAAGAAACACAGGAGAATTTTTCTTCTAATCTCACAGGGAAAAATCTAAAAATCAGTCCCAAAAGCATTAATTTTTAAAACTTGATAAAATCACCAGCATAAAAAGTAATGAGTTCTGTTCAAAGAGCACTATAAACAAAGTAAAAAGACATAAATTTAGAGGATAAATTCCAACACACATAAATGACAAAAAATTAGCACACAGAAAATACAAAGAACTCCACTAACCACTTTCATAAAAGATAATCTAATAAAAAATAGATAAAAGGTATTGCAGAAAGAGGGAAAACAAATGGCAAATGAGATCTATCACACAATATTTAGCCTCATTAGTAATAAGGGAGCTCACAAACTAAAAACAGAGTAACATTTGTAATGTATTGACCACTGTATATAAAATCTTAGCAAAACCTAAGAAACCTGATAATACCAAGTTTAGAAGGGGAAGAACACTGTTAGAAATTTACATGATATAAATTTGTTTTGATATTTACATGATATAAATACAGTTGTTTCTAGCTCATAAAGTTGAACAGCTGCATACCCTACCATCTAGCAATTAGACTTCTAGCCACGAATCCTAAGCAAAGTCCTGGACATGTACATTTGGAATACATATATAACAACATTCAGGACAACACTGTTCAAAAGAGCAAAAACCTACTCAAAATCCAAAAATCCACTGACAGAAGAATAGAAAATTCTAATTGTGGTATATTTGCAAATGTAATATTATTCCTCCGTGAAAAGCAACAAAAGCTAATTCATCACCATGAATGAAACTTGAAAAAACAATGTTCAGTCCTATGATCTGAATGTGTTCCCCAAAATTCATCTGTTGGAAACTTAATCCTCAATGCAACAGTATTTGGAGGTGGGGCCTAATGGGAGGTATTTAGGTCATAAGGGTTCCACTCTCAGAATGGATCAATGACAAAATAAAAAGAGCTCGACCTCTCAGGCTCAAACAGTCCTCTTGCCTCAGCCTCCTGAGTAGCTGGGACCACAGGCACACACCACAACACCCAGCTAATATTTTAAATGTTTTGTAGAGACGAGGTCTCACTATGTTTCCCAGGCTGGTCTCGAACTCCTGAGCTCAAGTAATCTTCCCGCCTCGGCCTCCCAAAGGCTGGGATTACAGGTGTGAACCATTGCATCCAGCCCCAAAATACTAGTTTTTATTACATCATGTAATCCTAATGTCCCAGTCAGGACTCCCTAGTAACTGGAGAGCCCTAACTAAAATGGTTAAAAGATTTTCTTTTTCTTTTTTTTTTTTTTTTAAATGGAGTCTTGCTGTGTCGTCCAGGCTGGAGTGCAGCAGCACAGTCTTGGCTCACTGCAACCTCCATCTCCCGGGTTCAAGCAATTCTCCTGCCTCAGCCCCCTGAGTAGCTGGGATTACAGGCGCACACCACCACGCCTGGCTAATTTTTGTATTTTTAGTAGAGACAGGGTTTCACCATGTTGGTCAGGCTGGTCTCGAACTCCTGACCTCAAGTGATCCACCTGCCTCGGCCTCCCAAAGTGCTGGGATTACAGGCGTGAGCCACTGTACCTGGCCAATTTTCATATTTTTAATCCATAGCTGAGGAGCTATCAATTTATCCTCTGCCTACACTGCATTGGGCATCATCTTCTGCCACAAAGCTTAGGTACACTTACTTGAACCAAAATGGATAAACATTTCAGACTTCAAGTACCCTTCTTAGGGTCAATTCACATTTATATACAAATCTGTCTCAATCATACTGAGGTAGTTACTGGGTCAGAAACCATACTAACAATAAGCCCTTGGGGAAAAAAATTTACAATGAACAAATTTTATTGTTTTTTTTACAGCTATTATCAACTCTAATCACTGACCAGACTGCAAGAACAGGTAGGCAGTTCTCATGAGGAGAAAAAAAAAAGCATTCCATTCTTTATATTAGAAATGCAGAGTTACATGTATAAATTATTAAAGCAGAGACACCATAAAATAGAAGGGCTTAAGCATATTTTTTAACTTAGTGAAGCATAGCTTCAAATAATGTGACCTGGCTGAGAAAACAGACATAGCAGCAGACGGAGAAAACCACAAATATAAGATGAAGTTATACCAAAGGAAAGTAATAACTACAGATCAGAAAATTCTTCATGTGCAGAATTCTATAAAGGGCCTTGGGGGTATTTATGTCTCTATAGCTTTACCTACAATTAGATATTGTAATCCTTACCAAACATATTCTCACATGAAAAACTAGAGGCTACACATATTAATATTGTCTATCAGATCTCTATAAGTTACAGAATTTTTTAAAATCACACCTAAAATGCTAAATATACATAAATCTTTGATTAGGGACTGTTAAAAATTATCTTGCATTAGCCAGGTGCAGTGACTCATGCCTGTAATCCCAGCACTTTGGAAGGCTGAGGTGGGTGGATCACCTGCAGTCAGGAGTTCGAGAACAGCCTGGCCAACATGGCGAAATCCTGTCTCTACTAAAAATACAAAAATTAGCCTGGTGTGGTGGCACGCACCTGTAATCCCAGCTCCTCGGGAGGCTGGGGCAGGAGAATCGCTTGAACCCAGGAGGGTTTCCGAGACGAAGTCTTGCTCTCTTGCCCAGGCTGGAGTGGCACAATATTGGCTCACTGCAACCTCCACCTCCCGGGTTCAAGCGGTTCTCCTGCCTCAGCCTCCCAAGTAGCTGGGACTATGGGTGCACACCACCATCCATGGCTAGTTTTTGTATTTTTAGTAAAGACAGGGTTTTACCATGTCGGCCAGGCTGGTCTTGAACTCCTGACCTCAGGTGATCCACCCGTCTCAGCCTCCCAAAGTGCTGGGATTACAGGCATGAGCTACCACACCCAGCTACTTATAAGGATATTTTGGACTTCCAAAATTAACTCCAAGAAATACTAACTTCTTAAATCAAATAACAGTAAGTCTTTCAGTGGATGTGGTTTTTGTAGAATCTTGCTATGATCAGCACAGATGAAAAGGAAAAAAAAAAACCTCCAAAATAAAAAAGCCTGGTTCTAATTATATATTATAGTCCTGACAATACAATAAGTTCAGAATGAAGTTTAAATTCTTGTTAAATCATAAAAAAACAAGCCAAAGCCAAATAACTTAAATTTATGCATCCAGGAAACATTGGTTACTACAAGAAATTTCCATAAAAGAAATATGAGCCCACAGGTATCCAGTTGCTAAGAAAGGCCATCAGATATTGTTCCACATTAATTTCTTATGCCACTAGGAAATTTTGGATTGGGTTTTCAGGTTATTCCCTGCCACAAACACTATTTATAACATAATACAGCAAAATGGCATATACCTGCAATGAAAAGTAATTTTAAAATATCATTACAAATATTGTATATGGAATTGTGTTAAAACATTACAGATTTAACAGGCTTCACTGGTCAGCCTAGGAAAATAATCACTACTTTATTAAATCTTAAGGGGGAAAACCCAGTGAAAAGGTACATAAATAGGCCAAAAATGTGTCATCTTTTGACGCCCCATCCCTTGTCTCGCGATCTACTGTTAGTAAGCCTGAAAAGCTGATGTCTCAATGGAGATAAATGTGAGACCACATTCCTCCGTATCACCTTTTCAAATGAAAGACAGACCGACAGACAGACACACACACTCACTCTCTCTCTCTTCCCTTTCTCCCACCCCCCAAAATATTAAAATTTCTTAAATATAAATCAACACTAAAGGCTTCTTAGCAAAACAAACCAGATGTGTTCAAGCACACCCACACAAAAGATAGAACAATTCTTTCAGGATTCCAGAGGTAGTGTCTGACTATATGAATGACATCTGTAGGGCACTTTTGGGGAAGGGGTCACTCTTGTGCTATGTTGTTCGTGTTGAAGGGAGGGGAAGCAGAAAGGAACATTCCTAGCTTCTCTCTGCCCCCTTATTCATCCCCACCTGAGGGACCAAATTTTGGCAGCAGACACTGCTGCTGAAGATAGTCTGTTCTGCTCTCCTGTTAGGAGGCCAAGTTACCTCTGTACCTCTCTGCTCCCCATCCCCACAGGAAAGACCTGCTGTGTTAATGTTTTGCTGAGTAAATTTAACACAAGTGAAATATTAAGGAGGCCAACTGTAGTCACACAACAAACCCACATCTTTTGATCCACAATGTATCTGTATTAAGACATATTTTGAAGTACCATTTGTTTTCCTATCTTTTCTCTATTGAGCCCAAACTTGAATGGGTTGCTAAAGGTGTTACCTATTAGGCCTTCCCAAACCCCAAGTATTTATAAATTGAAAAGTACCTTATTGCTTCAGGTATGGTAGAAATATTAAGAACAACTATGTGTTTTCAAATTATTTTCTTTCTTTTCTTTTTTTTTTTTTTTAAGAGTCTTGCTCTATCACCCAGGCTGGAGTGCAATGGTGCAATCTTGGCTCACTGCAAACTCCACCTCCTGGGTTCAAGCGATTCTCGTGCCTTAGTCTCCCAAGTAGCTGGGATTACAGGTGCGTGCCACCACACTCAGCTAATTTTTGTATTTTTAGTAGAGACACGGTTTCTCCATGTTGGCCAGGCTGGTCTCGAACTCCTGACCTCAAGAGATCCAACCACCTCGGCATCCCAAAGTGCTGGGATTACAGGAGTGAGCCGCCACACCCAGCCTTCAAATTGTTTTCTTTCTTCATTCTGTGATACATCTTGTTAGCACATAACAGGGAATGGTAGTGTTAATCCATCTTTCCCCCTTTAAATTCATCCTCCACCCCAATCAACACTATATAAATACCATGTTCATGTACACGCCCATCTATACACACACAGACACAAACACACCATCTTCCATTCTCTCTACTAATTTGTGTCCAATCTTTTTAGCAAAAAGGAGTTGAGCAATAAGTTGCCCCAGTTAGGAAATAGCATCAACTGAGAAATAGCAGTCTAATGGTTTCTTCATTGTTGAAAACATATAGTTGAAAAAGAAAAGAGGCACACTAAGAAAAGGCTAATGTGGGGATTAGAAGAGAAAAGAGGGGAAAAGGCCTACTAATACAACCATTTCCCTGCCTTCTCCCTTAGTGGCTTTTATAATACAGGTTGGGTAAATGACTCTAGCTTATTAATACATGTTAACATTTGCTTCACATATCTGTGTGCTTGTATTCTCCTAAAATTTCTTCATTTCTTTTATCACACACAAAAAAAGCTACATAGGACCTAAGAGTCAGACCATTTGCCTACCATACCTTATCAAAGGCTAAAGCTCACTAAAAAGGGGCAAAATTTATTGATATCATGCAAATTCTCCACTAATGCTTTTTTAAATAACAGAATGTAGAGTGCTTGGATCTTTAAGAATTGGCAAACCCACTTACGTATCTGAGATAAAGGAATGTAAATCCCATAGTTTCTCAAACTGTGGAATTTGACACTATAGAAAATTGTGACTACCTAATCCTGAATCTTCTTACTGCCAACAGTAATGTGAGCTCCAGCCCTCCAAAAAGTAATTAATTTTGCTTAACATTTACATCAATTTGACTATTTTAACCTTTTAGACTCATTGGATAAATTCTAATAATCATTTCAATAGACTTGTATATTAAAAGGGGATTCAACACTGGGCACACACATGTAGTCTTGGCTACTCAGGCGGCTGAAGGAGGACTGCTTGAGCCCTGGAGTTCGAGGCCAGACTGGACAACATAGCAAGACACCATCTATTTTTTTAGAAATTGGGGTGGGGGGATAGAATACTTTTCGGCTGGGTGCGGTGACTCACACCTGTAATACCAGCACTTTGAGAGGCCAAGGCAGGTGGGTATCTTGCGTCCAAGAGTTCGAGACCGGCCTGGGCAACATGGCAAAACCCCATCTCTACAAACAAAATGCAAAAATTAGGCAGGCGTGGTGGCACGCACCTGAAGCCCCAGCTACTTGGCAGGCTGAAGCGGGAGGATCACTTGAGCCCAGGAGGTCAAGGCTGCAGTAACACAAGATCGTACCACTGCACTCTAGCCTGAGTGACAGAGCAAGAACCTGTCTCAAAAAAAAAAGTGGAGGGGATAGAATCAATTGAAAGAGTAAAATCAGTTTTAAAAATTAGAAATCATAACAGAGGGGAAGTTGGATGGCTGAAAACATAAAAACTTCCTGGACTTTAATTTCCCCAAAGAATAAAAAGCCATAAAGAAAACATTATCTAGTGACCATGGAATGCCACAGCTGACTACATAATTAATTCAAAGAAGTATAACTACTGTCTCTAAACTCAGTACTTTGGTTACCCTTGAGTATTCTGGATTAAAGATCTGGCACAAAGATTACTAACATTCTTTACAAGCCTCAATCATTTTTCACTTGGAAAAAACTTTCAGCTGACTATATGCAAAAAAAGTAGGGTTTTTTGCCAGATAACTTAGGCTTTTTTAATTCCAAGAATTTTCTTTTTCAAGCTGTTTTTGGATCTTGTCTTTGTTATTACAAATCCTAAAAATTAAAAAAAAAGTAGAGAATTTTTATTCAATAAACATTACTTAACTAACCAGATATTTTCTGAGATCAGAGCTATCAAAAAGGGAAATTCAACATCACCCACTCTGTCAAAACAAGAGAAATTACAAGGCTGAAAGGCTACAATTTTTCAAGTAATAAATAATATTTTAGAGCTTCTAGGGACCTTAGAAAATATCCGTAACATTGGAGAGTGTTCAGAGAAAAAGAAAATTAAAAATTAAATTAAAAAAAAAAAAGACTATCCAGGTCAGAGTTCTTTATTAAGAGTCAATCAACCTGCTGAGCATGATGACTCACGTCTGTAATGCCAGCACTTTGAGAGTCCAAGGCGGGAGGATCACTTGCATCTAGGAGTTCAAGACCAGTCTGGGCAACATAGCGAAACCCCGTCTCTACAAAAAAAAATCAGCCAGGCATGGTGGCATGCATCTGTAGTCCCAGCTACTCAGAAGGCTGAAGCGGGAGGATCACGTAAGCCTGCGAAGTCAAGGCTGTAGTGAGCCTGATGGCACCACTGCACTCCAGCCTGGGCAACAGTGAGATTTTTGTCTCAAAAAAAAGTCAATGAACCTACACAAATGGGCCACAGGTTGTCTACAAGCATTCTCAAATTGTGTGCACAATCCAGTAATGAGGTCAGGTAAGAAAAAAATATTGTCTGCACAATTTTAAGTAAATGATGTACTTACAGGCCAGGCATGGTGGCTTACACCTGTAATTCCAGCACTTTGGGAGGCTGAATGAAGCAGGTGGATCACTTGACCTCAGGAACTGGAGATTACCCTGTCTAACATGGCAAAACCCCATTTCCACAAAAAGTATAAAAATTAGCCAGGCATGGTGGCATGCGTCTATAGTCCCAGTTACTCGAGAGGTTGAGGTGGGAGGCTCACTTGAGCCCAGGAGGTTGAGGATGCAGCAAGCTGTGATTGTGCCACTGCACTCCAGCCTGGGAAACACAGTGAGACCCTGTCTTAAAAAAAAAAAAAAAAAAAAAAAGAAGTTCCAAACATTTCTCTTGGCCAGCTTTCATCAAATTCTCCTAGGATTCAATACACCAACCTACCACTTCCAAGACAGACTGATGACCCCACAGAGTCTTTGCCAAGGTCACACTACTAAGTGTTTGAAACAGGTCTCTCTTGCATAGTTGCTTTTCTTTTTAATCACATTCATATTGTTCATGTCCTCCATACAACAATCAAGATGTAAGAGCTTCACAACTAATCCCTAATCTTTTCCATCCTACACATTGCCAAAATGCCTTCATTTTAAACAATTCAAATATACAAATTTATTTTCTTATCCTTCCAGAATACAGTCCAAGTGTACTCATGTTAGCAAGTCACCTTATGTCTTATTTCTTATGGTAAATAAATTACAGGCAATGCCTTACTGATAGAGGTCTTCTTTCTTTTCTTTCCTTTTTTTTTTTTTTTTTTTTTTTTGTGAGACAGGGTCTCACTTTGTCACCCAGGCTGGAGTGCAATGGCACAATCTTGACTCACTGCAACCTCCGCCTCCCAGGTACAAGCAATTCTCCTGCCTCAGCCTCCTAAGTAGCTGGAATTACAGGCATGCACCACCACACCCGGCTAATTTTTGTATTTTTATTGGAGACAGGGTTTCGCCATGTTGGCCAGGCTAGTCTCAAACTCCTGGCCTTAAGTGATCCACCTGCCTCGGCCTCCCAAAGTGCTGGGATTACAGATGTGAGACACCATGCCCAGCTGAGATCTTTTTCTTCTTTTGCAGCAGGAGAGAACAAAATAGAATACATTTAATGATAAAAGAAAAAAGTAATTATAAAAAGTCTTGCTTTTGAGCTGCATACTTATTACATCATGCATGACATGTTTTATAAATAAAGTCTCTGTTGCTTTAGGACCAATGGTAGTATCTAAGATATTCAAAGGGAAGTTAGAAACCACCAGAAGAAAAGAGGAAGGATATAGAAAAGAACTTTTAGGATAAGCACACAAGCGGTAATAAGGAAAAACATCAGCAGAACATGGGCAAAATATTTGTCACCAGAAGGTAAGATACCTTTTAACATAGGAGAAAGGTGGGAAAGACAGGCAAGATGACTGATGAGGAATGATAAATGAAACTAACCATATGTGTAAATACCTTTCCATTTATGCCTATTGTATAAATACAACAGAAACTAACAGTGTTTTTGTTTACAGTAAGAGTAAAATACCTTCATATGTATTTCATCTTTATAATAGGTACAGGGTTTCTTTTGGGGATGACAGAAATGTTCTAAAATTGATTAGGGTGATAGTTGCACAACTCTGTGAATGTGCTGAAAACTATCAAATTGTACACTTTAAAGGGGCAAGTTGTGTGGTATTTTAATTATGTCTCAATAACACTGTTAAAATATTTAAATAAAAAAAATCAGGCCACCTGTGGTGGCTCACACCTGTAATCCCAGCACTTTGCAAGGCCGAAGTGGGTGGATCAAGAGGTCAGGAGTTCAAGGTCAGCCTGGCCAAGATGGTGAAACTCTGTCTCTACTAAAAATACAAAAAATTAGCCGGGTGTGGTGGCGAGCGCCTGTAATCCCAGCTACTCGGGAGGCTGAGGCAGAGAATTGCTTGAACCTGGGAGGCAGAGGTTGCAGTGAGCCGAGATCGTTACCACTGCACTCCAGCCTGGGTGACAAAGTGAGACTGTGTCTCAAAAAAATATACAAAAATAAAAATAAAATCTGACAATATGTAAAAGGAAAAACAACAAGACCAAGTGGGGTTTATCCTGGGAATACAAGGCTCATTCAACACTTGAAAGTCATTGATGAATCCAATTTTATTCACAGTCTAAATGAGAAAAACCCACACAATTACATCAATGGACACAGAAAAGTCATTTGGCAATACTAATAAAATAAAAAATCCAAAGAAAACTATGAATAAAAGGGAAGTTCATTAGCTTAATTAAAGGCATCTACCAAAACATAAAGATAAAAAATAATTTTAAAAACCCTACAGCTAACATCATACTTAATGATGGTGAAACATTAAATGTTTCCCCTGAGAATGGAAACCAGATAATGATGTCCACTTTTGCCATTCCCTTTCAAAATCATACTGAAAGCCCTAGCCAATGCAATAAGACAAGAAAAATTAAGTTAAAAGTCTCAAAGAGTAGAAAGGAAAAAATAAAATGTTCTCTTATTTGCAGACAGCATGACTGTCTACAGTCACCTCATAGAATCTACAAAAAAGTTCCTAGTAAGTTAAGCAGGATTACAAGATAAAAGGCAAGCACACAAAAATCAATCATATTTCTCTGAATTAGTAATGAATAGTTAGAAAGTGAAATTTTTAAGAAGTATCATTTATAATAACACAAAAAACTAAATATTTAATTATAAATTTAACAAAATATTACAGGATGTGTATGCTGAAAATGTCAAAACATTGATGAAGGAAATAAAAAATGACCCAAATAAATGGCTAGATATACTGTGCTGAAGAACTGAAAGATTCAACATCATAAAGATGTCAATGCTCCCTAAGTTAATTAACAAGAATTATCTGTAAATAAAAACAAGTTGATTCTAAAATCAATATGGAAAGCCAAAGGAAATAAAATAGCCAAAGCAATTTTGCAAATTTAATTAGCTGTCTTCTGCATTAAAATGTGAGCTCTTACTAGTTGGTTGAGTTGTAGAACAAAAAAAAACGTGAGTTCTATGATGTCTCCACTGCATTACAGTGTGAGCTCCAAATTTATTATTGTAACTTCAGTGCTGCGACTTCACACAACAAATGAAAGTCAGCTAATTTCAGAGAAATTAATTGAACATGATACATGTAACCTTCACAATGCCCTGCACTCACTGAATATTTTCTTTTTTAAACTGACATAGAACAAAATTGACCATTTTTCTTTTGGTGTATAGTTCTACAAGTTTTATCACATGTATAGATTTGTGTAACTACTATCACAATTGAAGTATAGAACACTCCCAATTCAGGTATAGAACACTTCCATCACGCCAAAAAAACTCCCTCATTTTGCATCCACTGAAGTACAGAGAAAGCAAACAAAAAACTCCCCATGCTATCTCTTTACAGTCACACCCTCTACTAACCCCGGAAATGAACTTGAAGATGGACTTGCAAACCAGAGGTAGTGCCAGAGGAGTAATTCTTGCTTGCCCCATGCAGTGATTCCCTATAATTTTATGTTGCCTTGGCATCAGTTTTTAAATATAAGTTTAACTTTCTCATACTAGAAGCAGGGCTCAGTCATCCTTGACAGTTTCCAGTTCTACACCTTTTCCCATTTCCTCAAGGTGGACCTCCTGTTGATCACCTCCCTATGGGACAGCTGAATACAACCTACTTACCTGGCCCCATTGACTGCCAAACCCTGCGTGAATTGTGCAGACATGCCACAGTGACCTTCTAGAACTCTTACCAGTTTACTTTAAACCCATTAATTAGAATTCCCCCACAGGAAATCTGCTTCGATATGCCCTGGATGCCAATAAAAGCTTTGGCCCATGGGTCCCCTCTATCCTTCCCAGCACTGACCCATCTCCATGTGGCCTTCAGACATGCCAGGTACTCCCAGGGCCTGTAATGAAATCCTTATTCCATTTTGTGTCTCTTTCTGTTGCTGAAGGGCTATTCTTTATTTTCAAAGAATTTAAAACACTCCATCTCATGCTCCCTGAGCTAGTATCACAGCACAGTGTTTCAATTTATGTTTCCATCACTGGTTTCAACAGAAAGGCCTTATTCTAGCTCCTTCTTTCGTTGGAATATAGGTGGTGCTCAAATATGCTTACTGAATGAACGAGGGGAGAATTTAGACAAACACAGGAGAGAGGAAGAAAATGACAGATAAGCCATTACAACTAGAAAACACTACCAAGTATAAGCAGAAAATAACAGAATATTTCACTTCCTTGTCCCCAAATCCTCAGTAACTCCCTACTATTTATGGAAGAGTTTTAATTATTTACCCTAGCATTAAAAGCTCTCCACAATGGGGACACAAATTATCTTTACAATATTATTTCCTACTACTCTCTTTCTACAACTAGGAAAAATATACAGTTGTCCTTTGGTATCTGTGGGGGACTGATTCCAGGACTTCCCTCAGATACCAAAGTTCTCAGATGTTCAAGTCCCTTATATAAACTGGTGCACTATTTGCATATAACCTATACACATCTTCTTGTATACTTTAAATCATCTTAGATTAATTATAATACCTAATGCAATGTAAATGCTATGTAAATAGTTATATTTTTTAGGGAATAACAAGAAAAAAGTCTGTTCATGTTCAGTACAGACTAAATATTTTTTCTGGACATTTATGATCCTAGGTTGGTTGAATCCATAGATGTGGAACCCACAGACAGAAAGGGTCATCTGACTGTATGTGGTTTTGGCATGCCTACAACCTACTCCCACTCTGCCATTCCTTCTCTGAAACAGTAGCCCAGAGTGGCTATTTTTGTAGTTTATGATCCGGGCCCTCAGTCAGAGCTGATTTAACTGTACCACTGATAAAACAGAGAAAAATTCATACACAGGCTAAGACAAGCAGACCCCCCAAGTTTTTTAATAGAAGCCTTAGAGATTGAGAAAGTTAAAAAATGGTGAATGAGGCCAGGCACAGTGGCTCACACCTGTAATCCCAGCACTTTGGGAGGCTGAGGCAGGCAGACCACCTGAGGTCAGGAGTTCGAGACCAGCCTGGCCAACATGGCGAAACCCCATCTCTACTAAAAGTAAAAAAATTAGCCGGGCGTGGTAGCGGGCACCTGTAATCCCAGCTACTCAGGAGGCTGAGGCAGGAGAATCACTTGAACCTGGGAGGCGGAGGTTGCAGTGAGCCAAGATCGTGCCACTGCACTCCAGCCTGGGCAACAAGAGTGAGACTCCATCTCAAAAAAAAAAAAAAAAAAAAAAGATGGTGAATGCTTGAACTGATAATTCGTGTAGAGCTGGTACAGCTTCACAGAGCCTTTGTAGGTAGAAAGCATGCATTGAACAATCAGGAGGCAGAAAAGAGCTGAAAAACCAAGCATCTCTTGGAAGGCAGAAAAACCACTGTTCCTGGCACTCTGTGATCCAGGTATAGTTTATTTTCTTATTTTACTTATTTTCTTTTTTTGCTTTATCTTTTTCTCTCTGCTTCTCTTTCTTTCTTTCAAG
This sequence comes from Homo sapiens, assembly GCF_000001405.40. NCBI lineage: Eukaryota > Metazoa > Chordata > Mammalia > Primates > Hominidae > Homo > Homo sapiens. Next base: position 94,423,096 of record NC_000010.11, on the reverse strand, counting down.
ACAGGGCCTCATTCTGTCACCCAGGCTAGAGTGCACTGGCGTGATCATGGCTCACTGCAGCATCAAACTGCTGAGCTCAAATGATCCTCCTGCCTCAGACTCCTGTGTAGCTGGGGCTACAGGCTTGAGCCACAGTGCCCAGCCTAGTTTATTTTTTATCTTCAAAATGCCCACAAGATGCCTATTATATGCTAACAATAAATTCTACTTTATTTAAGGTAGCTTAGCCAGGTGTGGTGGCTCACACCTGTAATCCCAACAACTTGGGAGGCTGAGACAGGAGGATTGCTTGAGGCCAGGAGTTCAAAACCAGCCAGGACAACATACTGAAACACCCATCTCTAAAAAAAACAGCAAAGAAAATAGCCAAGCACGGTACCTGTAGTCCCCACTACTCAAAAGGCTAAGGCAAGAAGACTGCTTGAGCGCAGGAGTTTGAGGTTGCAGTGAGCTATGGTCACGCCACTGCACTCCAGCCTGGCTATGGAGCAAGACTCTATCTCTTAAAAATTAATAAACAAACTGTTTCCTGATAGGAGTCCAGAAAAAGAAGAAAAAATAAATAAGGTAGCTTAAGTAGGCTTCTGTTCCTTAAAACTACATGAACCCAGCCGGGCGTGGTGGCTCACGCCTGTAATTCCAGCACTTTAGGAGGCTGAGGCAGGCAGATCACGAGGTCAGGAGATTGAGACCATCCTGGCCAACATGGTGAAACCCTGTCTCTACTAAAAATACAAAAATTGGCTGGGTGTGGTGGCACACACCTGTAGTCTCAGCTACTTGGGAGGCTGAGGCACGAGAATTGCTTGAACCCGGGAGGCGGAGGTTGCAGTTAGCTGAGATCGCGACACTGCATTCCAGCCTGGTGACACAGCGAGACTCTGACTCAAAAAAAAAAAAAAAAAAAAAAACTACATGAACCCTAAGATATCAGCTAAACTCTGTACTCTTCAATACATTCTATACTTTCCTGCCTGTGCTACAGATAGCTAAATACACATCTTATTTCCCCTATTAAAATACAAACTAAACTGGTTACACAAACTTAGAACTGTATATACATAAAATTTAAAACGTTGTCTACTTTTGTGCATCAAATGGTACTACCAAGAAGGTTTAATGACACCCATAGGAGAAAATAATTGCAAATCATTTATCTGATAAGGGTCTAGAATCCAAAATAGGTAAAGAACTCAAATAATTTAACAACAAAAACACACACAGCCCAATTAATATTAGGCAAAGGATTTGAATAAACATTTTTGCAAAGATGGTATACAAATGGGCAACAACAACATGAATAAATGCTCAGCATCATTAGTTGTTAGAAAATGCAAACCAAAATCACAAAGAAATACTATTACAAACCCATTAGGATGGCTGTAATTTTTTTTTCTGAAAGAAAATAACAAGAACATAGAGAAACTGGAACCCTCATTCATTGCTAGTGGGAATGTAAAATGCTGCAGCTTTTAGAAAACAGTTTGGCAGTTCCTCAATGAGTTAAACACAGAATTATCCTATAACCCAACAATTTCACTAATGGGCATAATATCCAAAAGAATTAAAAACCAGTGCTCAGGGAATATGCCAAAAGGAACTACACTCTCATGTTCAAATGCAGCATTATTCACAATGGTCAAGATATGGAAACAACCCAAGTGTCCATCAATGGATGAATGCATTTTAAAATGCATATGTACACGATGGAATATATTCAGCATTTTTAAATTAGGAAATTCTGTCATTTGTGACAACATGGATGAACAGAGAGAACATTATGTTAAGTGAAATTAGCCATGCACAGACAGACAAATACCACATGATCTCACTTATATTTGGAATCTAAAAAAGTCAGACTAATAGCAGTAGAGAGTAGAATAGTGGTTACCAGAGGCCAGGGGGTGGTCACAGGGGGAACCAGGTGGAGGTGGGTGGAGGAGAGTGAAAGGGAAAAGGGGAAATATTGGTCAATGGGTACAAAATGGGTTTCAGTTAGATAGGAGGAATAAGTTTTGGTGTTCTACTGCATAGCACAGTGACTATAGTTAATAATAATATATATTTCAAAACAGCTAAAAGAGGGTTTTCTAATGTTCTCAGGACAAATCAATGATACATGTTTGAGTTTATGATATGCTAATTAGACTGATTTGATTATTCCACAATGCATACATGTATCAAAACTTCACATTGTGCCCCATAAATATACATTCGTCAATTAAAAATAAAACTTGAAAGAAAAAAGTGTTCAAACAAAAACTTGTACACAAATGATACTAGCAGCACTATCCATAACAACCAAAAGACGGAAACCACCCAAATGTCCACCAGTGGATAAATGGATGAACAAAACGGTATATCCAAGCAATGGACTATTACGCAACCATAAAAAGTAATGCTGTACTGAGGCATGCTACAATATAAATGAACCTTAAAAACATGCAAAGTGAAAGAAGCCAGACATAAACGGTGACAAACTATATGACTCCCTTTATATGAAATATCCAGACTGAGCAAATGCACAGAGACCAAAAACAGATTGCTGGGTTGGAGACAAGGCAGGATGGAAGTGACTGCTTAGTGAGTACAGAGCTTCTTTTTGGGGTAATGAAATGTTCTAGAATTAGATAGTGGTGCTAGCTGTACAACATGGTGAATGTACTGAATGTCACTAATGGTAAATTTTATGTCATATGCATGTCTTAGCTCACGTTGCTATAACAAAATATCATCGACTTGGTAGCTTGAACAACAGACATTTGTATCTCAACGTTCTGGAGATGGAGAAGTCTAAGATCAAGGTCCCAGCAAATTTGGTGTCTGGTGAGGAGTCTCTTCTGTTTTCAGACAGCTACCTTTCTGCTGTGTGCTCATATAGCAGCAGGGCAGAAAAAGGGAAGCAAGCTCTCCAGGGCCTCTTCTTATAAGGGTGTTAATCCCATCATTAGAGTCCCACCCTGATGAACTCATTTAAACCTAATTACCTCAAAGATACCACCTCCAAATATCATTACTGGGGATTAGGCCTTCAGCACATGAATTTTGGAGGGACACAAACATTCGGTCCACAGCAATATATTCCACTGCGATAAAAAAATTTAACAGATTTATAAAACTGAACTTCTAGTTATCAGTTCTTAAAATATGGTTGCCAGCATTCATCAACAGATTAACTGCTTGCTTCTTTCAGTAGGAGTAAGTATCCCAAACCAAAAGCCATATCTAAACCACACATTTTGGTAAAATAAAAACTACTTAGAGGAGATTCACTTTTTTCTTTGTGGCTCTGTTTGGTATTAAATGTATTAAATAGAAAACTAAATTACACTGGTTAAGGCTTTTTAAACAAAATACAAAAATGACTGTTCCTATCAAAAGCTGTTTATTCTATATGAGCTGCTTCTAAGTTTGTCTTTTTTTTCCCTGAGACAGAGTCTTGCTCTGTCGCCCAGGCTAGAGTGCAGTGGCGCAATCTCGGCTCACTGCAACTTCTGCCTCCCGGATTCATGGAATTCTCCTGCCTCAGTCTCCCGAGAAGCTGGGATTACAGGCGCCACCACGTCCAGCTAATTTTTCTATTTTTAGTAGAGACGGGGTTTCACCATGTTGGCCAGGCTGGTCTGGAACTCCTGACCTCATGATCCACCCACCTGGGCTTCCCAAAGTGGTAAGATTACAGGCGTAAGCCACCGCACCCGGCCTTTTAAGTTTTATTGAATCTAAAATGCAGGTTAATGTTAAAAACTTCACGATGATAAACAAATGTTATTTAGTATGGAATCATACTAAATAACCTATATACTTAATATACTTTAATATACATTAAATAACCCGTATATGTAACACATTTAATAGTAAATGTACAAATCCTTAAGAATAAATAAAAGATGTATGTGTTTGCTATCAAAAAAATGGCTGGGAGGCCAGGCGCGGTGACTCACGCCTGTAATCCCAGCACTTCGGGAGGCCGAGGCCGGTGGATCACGAGGTCAGGAGATCAAGACTATTCTCGCCAACATGGTGAAACCCCATCTCTACTAAAAATACAAAAAATAGCTGGGCGTGGTGGCGTGCACCTGTAGTCCCAGCTACTCGGGAGGCTGAGGCAGGAGAATCACTTGAACCAAGGAGGTGGATGTTGCAGTGAGCCGAGATCGCGCCACTGCACTCCAGTCTGGGCAACAGAGCGAGACTCTGCCTCGAAAAAAAAAGAAAAAAAAAAGGCTGGGCACAGTGGCTCAGCCTCTAATCCCAGCACTTTGGGAGGCTGATGCGGGTGGATCACTTGAGGTCAGGCGTTCAAGACCAGCCTGACCAACATGGCGAAACCTCACCTCTACTAGAAATACCAAAAGTTAGCCTGGCACAGTGGCATGTGACTGTAATCCCAGCTACTCGGGAGGCTGAGGCAGGAGAATCACTTGAACCCGGGAGGCAGAGGTTGCAGTGAGCCGAGACTGCACCAGTGCATTCCAGTCTGGGTGACAGAGTGAGACTGTCTCAAAAATAATATAATAATAATAATAATAATAATAATAGACCAAAGTATAAAAGATTGAAGGCGAAAAACAGACATATCTAGTTCTACAGAAATTGAGAATAATCTGTTAGGCTGATAAGAAAACCTAAAGAAGGTATTTTCTTCAAAACTAGCAATAGCATTAAGGCAATAGTTATAAAACAAAATTCAGCACTTTCTTTATATTACAACATTTCAGTTACAGATGCTGTAATCTGGATTTTCTTAAAAGCTGCGCAGCTGCCACAAGTATTTTACCAAAATCTATATGTTTAGGTAGTTACTCCTTTAAACATGGACTGTTTTGCCAGCACATGGGTAACTAAAGATTGTTGGGCTTTGTGAGAATTAATAGAGCTAGATTTACTTGGAGATAACCAAATTCAAGCGTGGCAGGGCCCAAGTTTCTGGTTTTATTATCCTTCAATTTAATCTATATCTCTACACAGAGGTAAAAAAATGAACAAGAACATGGTCTCTGTCTCTGGAGGCTTTGCCATTTAGTAGAAGAGACATACATGGGCCGGGCGCGGTGGCTCACGTCTGTAATCTCCGCACTTTGGGAGACCGAGGTGGGCGGATCACGAGGTCAGGAGATCAAGACCATCCTGGCTAACACGGTGAAACCCCACCTCTACTAAAAACTCAAAAAAAAATAATTAGGCAGCCGTGGTGGCGGGCGCCTGTAGTCCAGCTACTCGGGAGGCGTGAGGCAGGAGAATGGCGTGAACCCGGGAGGTGGAGCTTGCAGTGAGCCAAGACTGCGCCACTGCACTCCAGCCTGGGCGACAGAGCGAGACTCCGTAGCAAAAAAAAAAAAAAAAGAAGAAGAGACACATATACATAGAGGTAATTATGGAAGTCTCAATTTTTTTTAATCTCTTTCAATCCTCAAAAATGGCTGATAAGTATACTGTCCCAGTCCACTTTTATAAAGCAATGTACAGAACTTTTACACTAGATGTGAAACCTTGATTTTGCAACAATTTTACACCTCCAGGGTTTTTCCTGAGGTTGTTTCCTTTCTGATCCGCAACATCAAAACATGTAGCCAAATAGCTATTCTGGCTCTTTTCCCATCCTCATTAAATTCCTTACAAAATATGGTAAGCATAATTTTTCACATGACTCTATTTTCATATCATCTCAATTCCTTCAAAAACAAAAATCCAGTTCAAAGTTTATTTTCCTTAAAGCTTCACAAAAAGGCTACTGGTATGTCTCACTCAACTTATTAACCACCCCTTCTTGCAGAGATTGAAAGATTTATCTAGTTATTTACTTTTTTTCTCTAATCCAATATTACTGGTTTAAAAAATGTTATTTACATCAACTATCTGTATATCACATTGTGAAAAGGAGACTGACAAACACCCATAAACTACCATAACTATCTCCATGCTCCAGTTTCTCAAGTTGCAAATCATCTGCCACACCGCTATGCAAGTCACCGTTCCGAAATGTAGTTCTAAGTATGTCTCCATTGTTTAAAAAACCCACAAATGTTCCCTGTACTGCCACCTCTCACTGAATCAGTTCAAATTACTTAGTTCTGTCAGACAAATTTAGCTCCCCCATAATTTAGACCCAACCTTTTTGCCTCAGTTTTTGACACATACCTCATGCACCCTAGAGGCAATCATCCAGATGAGAATCTGCAGTCCCAAAAAGTGCTGAGCTATTTTATATATAATTCTATATATATGTTATTTTTACTTGTCCTGTCATCACACTCATTCTAACCCAAACCCTCTTCTTTAGTAAAATACTAAGCTTTCATGTTTCATCTACTGTAAAGTTCCTAACTTCCTGTCTCAAAGTTAATCACCCCTTCCTCAGTACTGATGCATCCTCATATCCTCTTTTATAACACTTATCAGGTAATATTGTAAACATTGATATTATAGGACTCCCTTATCTGAAACTTTTTAAATAAAATGTTCTGTTTACCTAATATCCTATGTGCCTAGTATACATAGAGGACTCACAATAATTTGCTGAATGAATAAATAGTAAGAAAATTCCAAACTAATTAATAAGAACTAAAAAGGGTTCTGTAGCAATCTTAAATGTCTGAAGGGTAATCATGTAAATGAATTGAATTGTATTTTGTGGCTCTAGGGGGGAAATTGGGACTATGAACATTACAATGAACTACACTGTACTTCAACATAGAACCTTCTAACAACTAATACCCTCAATAGGCTCTGTTGAGAAAACCAAGCTCCAAATTAGTAAAAGAATTCAAGCAAGACTAAATAACATCTATCAGATGTCTAAACCTTCTGAGAATAAAAAGCACACACTTAGCTGTATGGTAGTTGCTGGTGCTTTGCTTTGTTGACATTTTGCTCATGTCTGACGTAGAAGTACATCCTGAACTGATGATATGCATGATAGAACCTTTCTTCCAGTAGCACAGGTGAAACCCAGATCCTGACCAAGGTAATTGTATTTTTTTTCCCTACATAGTGTTATGTTTCTATTAAATGGACAACTAAATCAAAAGTTTATGTTCCAGTGGTGTTGTGGAAGAGCAATACAATCTTATCTACTCATTAAAATAAGTGGCTAGTTATTATTTTACTCAAGAAAATTTTATAGTGGTTATCTCCTAAAATTTTCCCTTCATGCAGTATAGTTCTCAGCTGTGTTATTTGTACACCCAGTTTTGAAAGTAAATCCTTATTCTAGTATTTTTGACAGTATTACTGTGCTTCTGGGAGTATATTACAAAGATGGGCATTATCCTCCAGTTATTTGTTCAATTAGTGTGCTAGTTACCTTATATGATAATTACCTATCAAAAGTTTTATTAGTCTTTTTTTTGAGACAGTCTCGCTCTGTCGCCCAGGCTGGAGTGCCCAGGCTGGAGTGCAGTGGTGCCATCTCAGCTCACTGCAAGCTCCACCTCCTGGGTTCACACCATTCTCCTGCCTCAGCCTCCCGAGTAGCTGGGACTACAGGCACCCGCCACCATGCCCAGCTAGTTTTTTTGTATTTTTACTAGAGACGGGGTTTCACCGTGTTAGCCAGGATGGTCTCGATCTCCTGACCTCGTGATCCGCCTGCCTCGGCCTCCCAAAGTGCTGGGATTGCAGGCATGAGCCACCGGGCCTGGCTAGTTTTATTAGTCTTTAACTCAAAAATTTTGGTGACCAAAACAGAATTCTGAACCACAAGTCCTTTGTTTTCTAAATAACATTCAAGGATTACCAATCTCTATAACTCTGGGTAGTACCAATAACGTTAAAAAGTCAATGAGGGGTTGGGGGAGTTAAGGCTTATGTAAGTACAAAAAAGCAACTTAAATGTTATCACTCTTCAAAAATACAGAAACTACTTATTCAGTTGGGATGTTTTCCTTATTTAAAACTTCAATAACTTACTTTAGAACTTAAATTTCTATGTACTATATCTTCCTGGTAATGAACCATGAATTTTTTCCATGTGGGTAAGAGGGACTTTAATTCCATTTGCTAGATTTACCCTGGTACTTGTAGGAAAAATTTTCCTTTCCTTTTAGCACTGGAACTCAAATAAGAATACAGTGTGTACAACTGTATATTGCATTTATTTTACCTTTTGATAAATGTACATTTTAGTACCTGAAACTATCATACTAACAACCTAAACTTTTAGAGCCTAAATTAAACTTTATATGTACAACCTGTTATTAAAAAATAGTTCAGTTTGCCTGTAATCCCAGCACTTTGGGAGGCCGCAGTGGGCGGATCACTTCAGGTCAGGAGTTCGAGACCGCCCTGGCCAACATGGTGAAGCCCCATCTCTACTAAAAATACAAAAAATTAGCTGGGCGTGAGGTGCACGCCTGTAATCCCAGCTACTCCAGAGGCTGAGATGGGAGAATCGCTGGAACCTGGGAAGCGGAGGTGGCAGAGAGCCGAGATCGCACCACTGTACTCCAGACCGAGAGACAGAGCGAGACTCCGTCTCAAAAAAAAAAAAAAAAAGTTTCACAGTATGGCCTATTGAGAAGCCACTGGGAGACAGGGACGTTAGGGAAGTTAAGGAGAGATATACAAGATACTTTAAAGACACAAGTGGCTAGAAACATCCACAAAGGCACTGAGGTATGCCAAGTAGAAAAATTAGAAAAATATGGAAATAATCTGTGGTAATACTCTGAAACCAACAGGCCTAAGAACTAACTACATGGCTAACTTCTACCTAACATTTATTCTCTCCAGCAATTTCTCTCTCTACGAATATCTTCAAACTCATTCTCTAATAGTTTCTCGTACTATACTTCCTTCCAAACTCTCAAATTTTCTTTATCATCTTCTTACCACCTTAACAAGAATAACGTGGAAACAATGTATTATCTTTACCATACTTTCTTCCAAACCCTCAAATCTTCTTTATCATCTTCTTACCACCTTAACAAGAATAACGTGGAAACAATGTATTATCTTTAGCTTTATTTTATATTCCTTCTCCTGCTTTTCAAAAGCAAATAATGTGAACATTTTATGTTTTTCTAAAAAAAAAGTAAACTATTATAGTATTTGAATGAATTTTTCCTGAGACAACAACAAAAGAAGTATTTGCCCTACTTGACTAAAAGATGGCTACGAACAGTCTAGATGAAAACCAGATTTGGAAATTCTAAATAATGCCTAACGTATGATGGGTAGTTGTACATTACAGTACTTGGGAAAATATGAGAAAACAGCACATAATTTGATTTCAAAATTATTATGTTCAGTTCCAAATTTAAAATGTTTTAATCTATGTGGGGTTAGAGACAAGCAGATGGAAATATTTTTTAACAAAAAAAGTATCTAACATAAAATTCAAATTAAAAAAAAAAAACCTGAAAAGCCAAATTCAAAGATGAGTTAAACACCTTATCAAGTTCACTCTCAAACTAGCTCTAAGTAAGAAGCATGACTTGTAGCTTGATTTCCTAAGGTAAACTTCTCTTAATTGCAGGAAAGAGCATGCTGAAAACCCAGACAGTCACATGGGTTTCCCTCTCTTTCTTATTTTGGCCACAGAAATAAGAAGCATAAGAAAGGCTGAAGCAGCAAATGTTGGAGGGGAGAAAACCATGTGCAGTGTGCAGGATTTCTTCTTAAAGGCACGGAAAAGAATTACAAATAGCAGCAGAAGGAAGGAAAAATAACACTTTTTTCATAGGCTATAAGAAAGGTAAAGGTATGCCAACAAACTGAGTAGACCTGAGGAAAATCTTACAAGTTAAAGCTTTTCACAAGACAGGCAAGCATGGCTATCTAAACAGCATAAAATGAAAATAAAAGATTTTTCCCATTAATAAAAAGGAAGCCAAGAATGAATTTGTCCGAAATAATTTCTCATCCAAGTAAAGGCTAGCAAAGTACTTAAAGATTTGTATTTTGAATCTGTTCTCTATTATACACCTCTGTTTATACTCATCAATTACATAGTACCTGAATATGACCCAATTTTAAATCAGTAAAGCAATGTGAGCTATAAAGGTGTGTTGTACTTTCAGTCACTACCTGAGGAGACCTGCCTATTAACCAGCCCAGTATTTCAGTGGTTATAGTCGGGGAATCGCCTGCATCAGAATCACCTGGGGGTCTTTTTAAAAAGTTGGATTCCTGGTGGACCCCACCCAGGATCTACTTGGGTCTCAAGGAATCTGCATTCTTAACAACCCTCCCCCTTCCAAGTAATTTTAAACACTAAATTTAAGAATCACTGTAGTAGGGTCCAAGCAACTATCAGCCATAACTATCTGAAGATAACTCATAGTGTAGCTAACAGAGTTCCTAGGGAGAAAAAAGCTGTCTCAAAAAGGACACACTTTGCCTTTCTGCATACATTTAGAGATGGATAACAGATGTATCGTCTCAAAATCTCCAAATGTTTCCACTCTTTCCCAAAACCTTCCTACCACAACATACTAAGTATGAAATGCATGAGTAAGCCAAGTTAAACATTTCATGGACTTAAACTAAAAAATTGGCTTTGCCTGTCTATAAAAGTTCCTTAAGACAATAAAAGATACAAATATTTTAATCTTTCTCAGCATTCCTTTCGGTTCCTTCTCAGATTTGCTTTTTAGTCAAAGCTTCAAGACTTCGGGAAATGTCATATCACTACATCAGAATCTATTTTAACATCCATCCAATCCCATGTATAAATTATGTTTAAAAATCTTCTTCTGCACAAATTGTGTAACGTTTCCCCAGACAGGACACAAAAATTCATCCAGTATCTTCCTTTCTTCAAATCAGTGGATTTCAGTGGTGAAGCTGAGGAAGGTGTTATAGTAGTCTTGCTACTGTCTGAATAATAACATTTGAATCTTCACTATATGCCACATAGTTAAAACAAAGAATGTAAAATATTATTTAACCCTCATGGCAATCCCATGAATTAGGCATTATTATTATCCCCATTTTATGGATGAGTTGCCTAAGATCCAGAGAAGTCCAGAATTAAAGAGCTAGTAAGCTAATTCAAACCCAAGCAGCCTAACTTTAGAACCAGCATTTTTAAGCACCATACCATCCTGTAATTTGAAGATGCCACCTAGGATTAAGCAATTCACTAAAACCTAGTTGACAATCTGAATCAACTGTGAGCAATTTTCTCTTTTTTTTTGGAGACAGTCTCACTCTGCCATCCAGGCAGGAAGGCAGTGGTGTGACCATAGCTCACTGCAGCCCCGACCTCGCTGGCTCAAGTGATCCTCCCACTTCAGCCTCCCGAGTAACTGTGGCTACAGGTGCACACAACCATGCCCAGCTAGTTTTTTTATTTTTTGAAGAGACAGCCTCTCACTATGTTGCCTAGGCAGCCTTGAACTCCTTGGCTGAAGCAGTCCCCCCACCTTGGGCTCCGAATGCAGGCATGAGCCACTGGGCCCAACCACGCAACTTTCTAAAAATGCAAATTCACCAGCCAAATAATAGGTCTCCTGAATCTGACTAGGCGGAGGCTGTGAATTAGAGAATCTAATTTTTTAAATGTGTTTTTAGGTGATTTTTAAATTTTTTTAAATAAAATGAGATGGGGTCTTGCTATGCTGCCCAGGCTGGAACTCCTGGCCTCAAGCAAATCTCCTGCCTCAGCTTCCCAACGTGCTGGGATTGCAGGCATGAGCCACTATATCTGGGTGCTTTCAGGTGATTTTGAATATACCAAAAGCTACAAACAACTGCACTAGTTCATCAAAGTGCTACAGTGGCAACCTTCATGAAATAACTCATGGTCTGGAAGTTAAAGGCTTAAATTCCAGTTAATTGATTAACTAAAATGTACTTATTACCCCATTCTCTCTCTCACTACTCCTCCCCACCTCAAAGAAATAAGAAAAAATAGATCTAGAATTTGCTACAGAAAAGAAAGAAGAGCTGATGCACTGTGCCATCTTCACATGAAAAACTAAACAAAGATCACTGATATTTCTATCATGATTACCCTAAGGCAGAGTTAGACCTTTGCTAAAAGAAACATTAAAGGTGGAATTTAGAGTTGAAAGGAATAGTCCTATCTCTGGCATGCCTCTCATTTTACAGAGGGAAAAAAAAATTCTGTTTTTTTTCAGCTTTCTCTTTAACTCAGTTCACATTTGTAGTATTTAACCAGTAAATATTTGTGGTCCACTACTGTGTGTGCAACAGAATTGTGTATTATAATACCATGATATTAGAACTGAAGGGACTCTGAATCTCCCAATTTCATAGATAAGGAAACCGAAGTCCAGAAATTTAGTGATTTGTCCAAGGTAACAGAATTATTTAATGGCAGAAGTTGTTACCTAGGACAAAAACCAAGTTACTTATCTCTCAGGCATTGTATTTTCACTACACCAAAAGCTAAGTTTTTGCTCTTAAATTTATAATTCATAGAAATCAGTGTATTAGCTTCAAGCCCTAGGAACAGATCTACAGTCTAGTTGTAATTCTTACATTAATTAGCTATCTGACTTTGGACAAATAACTGTAAAATAAAAATAAACCCTACCCTTCCTAGGTCACAGTAATATGTCAAGAACAACAACCAAAAAAAAACTGTGGCTGGGCACGATGGCTCACACCTGCAATCCCAGCACTTTGGGAGGCAGAGGTGAGCAGATCACCTGAGCTCAGGAGTTCGACACCAGCCTGGGCAACATGGTGAGACCTCATCTCTGAAACAAAAGAAAAGAAAAAAAACACATATGAAAATAATTTTAGAAAACTGTGAAATTATGTAGAACTAAGATACACTTTCATATTTTTTCCCAGAGGCAAACAGGTACTGGTTTTTAAATCTTGTAAATACTGCCCCTAAATAGTGTGCAGTGAAAAGCTTTGAATATCATTGTTCTAGGTTAAACAATGAGTTACCATGCATAACTCATTTCCAATATTAAATTAATACCATCTTGTTAGATCATATCTAGCAAATAAAAGATTATTTATCTGTCAACAGCATCATTGGCTTTCCATGGAGTATTAAGGCATGAATAAGGTGATCATAGAAGTTCCTTCCACTTAAAAGATCTAAAAACTTAAAAGTAAAAACTTTCACTTAAAAGTAACACAACCACTCCCCAAATAAAAACCTTTTAGTCAAAATCTCTATAATGAATAAAATGTGAAGTTTAATTAATAACATTGTACAAATGTTAGTTCCTTAGTTGTGACAAATGTACCATAAATATAAGGTGATGTTAACCAAAGGGGAACTGGGGGAGGGGTGTGGAAACTCTTGGTATTACCTTTGCAACTTTTCTACAAATCTAAAACTATTTAAAAATAAAAGATTTTAAAAATTAAAAATTAATCTCTATGGCCATTTTGGATAATGTAGAGATTTCTATCAAACAAGTAACTCCAAGTTAGTATTATAATAATAGTCTGCTTTGCTTACAAGTGTGTAGTAAAAAATGTTAATTTGGCCAGATGCGTAGCTCATGCCTATAATCCTAGCACTTTAAAAGGCCAAAGCGGGCAGATCACTTGAGCCCAGGAGTTTGAGACCAATCTGAGAAACATGGCAAAACCCTGTCTCTATAAAAAATACAAAACAAAATTAGCAGGTCGTAGTGGTGCATGCCTGTAGTCTCAGCTACTTGGGAGGCTGAGCTGAAAGGATCAATTGAGCCCAGGAGTCTGAGGCTGCAGTGAGCCGTGCCACCGCATTCCAAGCCTGGATGACAGAATGAGATCCTGTCTCAAAAAAAAAAAAAAAAAAAAGTTAATTTAATTTAGCACTTCAAAGTAATATGTTTGAGTGCTTAAATTATCTTACTTCCACAAAAATCAGAGTTTCTGAATACGTTCTACCTAATTTGTATTCAGGTTATCACATCTCTAATCTGCCAGCTGAATGAAAGCCACAAATTCCTAAGTTGAAGTCCTGAACCAATGCTGGATTTCCGGTGCTTTAGTGTAGGTCCCTAGAGTGTTGTTTTTTGGGGGGTTTTTAAAAGAAAATACGGGATCTGAGGTAGGGGAAGGAGTGACACACAGGGAAAAGATATAAAAGGCTCTTGAGCTAGCTCCCCAATTTAACATAATGGTAGCTTCACAACATTCTAAAATCCTAATAGACTTTTGTGTTTATTCTAGAGCAATTAATTACGTATTATTTTCAGTTTTCCTAAAATTTTAAACATTAATTATAGTAGCACAGTTGATCCTGAACAAAACAGGTTTGAATTCAATAGATTCTTCCTTCATTCTCCTTGTAAATAATTATATCAGAGTATTAAAAAGCTGCCCACTTTGGGGAGCTTTTAAAATCTTTTAAAACATCAGAAGTTTCATATTTTGCCTTTTCTTTAGTGATTTGAGAAAGGAATTTTTTTTGAGAAACTCACTTTGAAACTGTCGTTTTTTATTTTAGTTGACTGGTGGAGGCACTATGGAACAAGTAAGGGAGACTTATAGGACAGAGATGTTTATGATGGCTCAGTCAGATGGATGAATTATGATTTTGTCAACTAGCACAAATTCTAGGTGGAAAAAAGGACGTGGCTGACTTTGTTGTTTCTGAGAACCTTAAATTAAGAAAAAACTATACCTATAGGAATTTAGATTTTTCCATGTCATATTTAATAAAAACAAAAAAACTTCATTGGTTTTCATATTAGGGAGAATGGAGACTATCTAGATGTAAAAAGAAATCACTAAAAGAGCCTTTAGTTTTTCCTACTCAACCCAACCATTGTAAAAAGAGCTCTGTGAAAATAGCTTTTGCCACAATATTTAGGAAGTTTCAGAAGTCAACAACTACAGAGAAAGCCACATGGATCTGTATGTTTCAAAATCTATAAAGTCAATTTTCTTTTCAGATAAAGGGAAAAAAATCTCCAATTATTCCTTCCCTACCTTAGCAATGCCCTTTATTCACCAAATTCATATAAAGACTTGGGAAAAAAAATCAGCACTACCAGGAAACACAGATAAGTGTCTATGTTTTTAAAAACAGTAACTATGCCAATGCAATCCTAACAAGCTTCAAAACTATTAAATGGCCTAAAAACAAACAAACAGAAAACTATGAAAGAGTCTATCTATGTAAAAAATAAACCATTCTACTTAGAAAACAAGACATGAATTTACTTGAAGAACCCACAAAAACGGTTTAGAACTTTTTTTAAGAGACATGGTCTCACTCTGTCACCCAGGCTAGAGTGCAGTGACTCAATCATGGCTCACTGCAGCCTTGAACTCTTGGACTCAGGCAATCCTCCTGTTTCAGCCTCCAGAGTAGCTGGGACTACAGGCATACGCTACCATGCCCAGCTTAGAACTATTTTTTAAAAAGAGTAACAAATGGATCTTTGGGGAATTAAGGCAAGCTTGGAAACACAAAAGACTTCAAAAAAGCTTTCACTCCTCCTTACTGCTGAGTGGTACCCATCTAGCATTTCAACTTTTTTTTTTTTTTGAGACGGAATCTGTCACCCAGGCTGGAGTGCAGTGCCACGATCTCAGCTCACTGCAACCTCCCCCCAGGGTTCTAGCAATTCTCCTACCTCAGCCTCCTTAGTAGCTGGGATTACAGGCACCCACCACCACGCCCAGCTAATTTTTTTGTATTTGTAGTAGAGACAGGGTTTCGCCACATTGGCCAGGCTGGTCTCGAACTCTTGACCTCAGGTGATCCACCCGCCTCAGCCTCCCAAAGTGTTGGGATTACAGGCGTGAGCCACTGCGCCCAGCTGCATTTCAATTTTTATAGACAGGAAAGGGTCAAGGATCTGAGGGAATGTTACTTTTAGGGCTCTGACAGCCAAGTCACCATAAACACAGAAAGGTGTCCATGTGAAGCTGAAGCAAGCCCCCAGTAGGGACTGAAATAGAACTCACCTCATGTGGAAGGGAAGGAAAGTGGGAGATGACCACTAAGGCCCTCCAAATGAAAGCAGTCATATTCTAAATGAATTCCTGTTTTTCCTATATATCTACCAAAATGATGTGTCTTAACATAATACTATGTAGTAATAGATACATTGTGTAAAATGCTCCCCCCTCTTTACTTAAGTAAACATAAAACTGTTTTTTTTTTAAGGTTTCTCGTATAGATTTTTGCCTAATTAAGGGAAAGAGAAGAACGAAGTGGGAAGGGAAGAAGAAGGAAAGCATGGAGGATAAATAGGTGGGAGAGAAAAGAGCCATAAAGTGAACAAAGGTTGTAGACTGAACATAAACATGGATTGGGAAATCAGGAATCCTGGTTTCAAATCCCAGCATGCCACTAGCTAACTAAATTACCTTCTTTAGACAATGAGATTCCTCATCTAAAAAAATGAAGTGGGAGTAAGGGTTGCACCCAAGAACAAGATTCCATCCCAAACAAGCCACTTCCAAAGAGAGCCCTCACCTGGAGCTTCAGAGTTGAGAATAGCAACTATGCATTTAGGGGTAGGGTTGGATCTCTTGGGTTGTGTTGTGAGACAGGGGTAATTTCTGATTATTTTCACTGAGGATGGAGATTCTGCTCAAAATTACACTACCTAGCTAGAGCACAGTAAAAGGGAATCCATGAAAGCTACCTATTCAACCCAATCTGAATGGTGTTCTTCATACCAGTGGCTAGGTATTATAGATTCAGAGATGAATGTCACAGTTCCTGCCTTTAAGGTGTTCAGAATTCATTTAAGAAAAACTGTGCCTCTCTGACTCTGCCCTTTCTTTCCCAAGAATGTCATATAAAGGAAGCACTGACTCCTAGAGTCTTGACATTCAGACCTCTATCAGGAAAAATGAGGCTTAGAGAAATTAACTTTAGGGCACCTGTTTTCTGACTTCAAATCCAGTGCTCTGACACATATGAATAATGTGGCCATATGAATGTCATCTAGCTATATTAAGTTCTATTAGTCTATAAGTAAAAAAAATTTACAAATTAAATCAAAATTCCTGCCTACTTAAAACACATGGGAAATGAAAGAAAAAATAAAATTCCTGCCTACTGTTAATAATATGAAAGCCTCCTATAAATAACATTGTTGGCTGGGGCAGTGGTTCACACCTGTAATCCCAGCACTTTGAGAGGCTGAGGCGGGTGGATCACCTGAGGTCAGGAGTTCAAGACCAGCCTGGCCAACATGGTGAAACCTGGTCTCTACCAAAAATACAAAAATTAGCCAGGCGTGGTGGCGGGTGCCTGTAATCCCAGCTACTTGGGAGGCTGAGGCAGGAGAATCACTTGAACCCAGGGGGGCAGAGGTTGCAGTGAGCCAAGATGGCACCACTTCACTCCAGCCTGGGCAAAAGAGGGAAACTCCATCTCAAAAAAAAAAAAAAATGTTCAGAAATTGCAATGTATATATATGCATCTGTCTTCAAACTTAATCCCCATTAGCCTGCACCCCACCTGCAGGTAAGGGACAGTTTTCTAAATCATCTCTATTCACAATGCATGGCAGAGAGCAAGAACTCAAGAGTATACTAGTTGAATTTGTTATCTCCAAAGCCCCTCCCAGATCTAAAATTGCCTGACATCTGACCTCAAAACATGACCAAGATAGATATGACCAACAAACACCCAAAGGCCACACAGTGTCACAAATTTATAAACCTAACTCACCTTGAGATCTTTTAGAATACTGCCAGTACAAGCTTTAAATATATTTTTGCAACTATATTACAAATACAGATGTCATTACTACATATATTGTCCTGAGTAACAAAAAATTAGGATTTTCCACTTTTGATTTAAGAAACTTTATATTTGTAAATTTATACAAGCAAAAAAATAAGGATAAACTAGAAAGAGGAATAAGAAATATCAATTATAATCAGAAAATTGTGCCTTTATGTCTACAATATGTACGCTAATTGTATAACCTGCTAAAACTTGAGCTAAGAATTTGCTTCTTTCACTTCTGGTTATAGTCAAGATCCCCGAAAAGGTAGAAAAACAAAGTAGGGAGAACTCTGTAAAGGAAAGTTTTACAAGTTGGGAATATTTTCCTATTTGCCTGGGGACTTAAGAAAAAAGAAGAAGAAGAAGAAGAAAAAGGCGTGTCAAAATCTAACTCAAGGAAAACTGCCTTTTTTTTTTTTTTTTTGAGAGAAGTCTAGCTCTTATTCCCCAGGTTTCAGTGCAATGGCTCGATCTCAGCTCACAGCAACCTCCGCCTTCTGGGTTCAAACGATTCTCTTGCCTCTGCCTCCCAAGTAGCTGGGATTAAGTCGCCTGCCAACATGCCCGGCTAATTTTTGTATATTTTAGTAGAGACGGGGTTTCACCATGTTGGCCAGGCTGGTCTCGAACTCTGACCTCAGGTGATCCACCCACCTCGGCCTCCCAAAGTGCTGGGATTACAGGACTGCTCTTACAGTAAGGTGTATTAAGTATTTTCTGACTACTCTTATTTATCCCTATTAAATCAACAAACCTCCATCCTGAAATCTGCGAAGTCCAGCACCATAATTTAATTTCTTTCTTTTCTTTTTTTTTTTTTTTGAAAGACGGAGTTTCGCTCTTGTCCCCCAGGCTGGAGTGCAATGGCACGATCTAGGTTCACTGCAACCTCTACCTCCCAGGTTCAAGTGATTCTCCTGCCTCAGCATCCCGAGTAGCTGGGATTACAAGCACCTGCCACCACGCCTGGCTAATTTTTGTATTTTTAGTAGAAACCGGGTTTCACCACATTGGCCAGGCTGGTCTCGAACCCCTGACCTCAAATAGTCCGCCCGCCTCAGCCTCCCAAAGTGCTGGAATTACAGGCGTGAGCCACCGCGCCCGGCCCATAATTTAATTTCAAGAATATCCTGTCAAATCACAAATACAATACCATTTTTTAAAAAAACTAAAGTTATTGGGGAAAAAAAGGAGAGGCTTATCTGGGAGATTAGAAAAAAGGCTTTCCTTAGTAAAAGCCCTACTTTGGCTTAAAAAGTTGGGATAAAATTCTAAACACCAAACTGCATTTTAATAAAGACCACTGAAACAAACGATTAAACACTATGAAGCACAACCACTTCTAATTTCAAGAATTCCCAAACCACTTGAATGGATTTAGACGCTATGCAAGCACAGCAAATAAACAGCTCTACAAAATGACTTCCTTCTCTCTTTCACAACCACACCCGTACACACATACCGCCTCCCCTCACCACCCCCCCAACAACCTAAATGTTTGTAGTAAAATTTTTAAAAATTGGAGACGGAGATGGTTATCTGCTTTTCCAGAAAAGGCAACTGCATATGTGGCACTAGACAGCTGGCCCAACCTGACTGCTCAGAAGCCAGGTATGAATGGCAGGTACAGCCTCCCGCGGACAAGGCAACAGAAAGACTCGCTGTCCACAGAGCTCACAACTTCTCCTATAGAAACACAAAGCCGACCCAGTTCCTCTTCCTCCAGTGACAAATCAAAGCTAAGTCCTGACGCGTGTGGGGCTGGCACGGAAGCGGCCGACCAAGCTCTCCGCTCCGGCTCCGGCTCCGGCTCCGACTCCCACCAAGACCCCGGCTCCGGCCCCGGCCCCGGACCCGCCCCGAGTCCCATGCAGCCTGCGCTGTACCTGGTGAAGAAGTCCGCGAAGCCGCCACTCCGTCGAGCCCGGGCCGAAGCCCCCGCAGGACCCTGCTCCGCGGCGGGCAAGGGCACCGGCGGCCCCGCCGGGGGCAGGTGATCGCGGGCGCTCTGACCGCGGCTCACCTGGAACGTGTTGCGAGAGTTGAAGTGAATGTCAGAAAAGCCCAGGCGCGGCTCCGCACCCCCATTAGTCCTCTCGGCCGAGGTGGCAGGGGGCGCGCCCTCCTCGGGACCCCCGGCGCCGACTCCCCGCTGCTCTGAGTCCTCGCTACTGCTGCAGCTGCTGGCGGGGCTGTCCCCCGAGTCGCTGCCCGCGCCCTCGGGCTCCTGGGCGTCCGCGGCCACCAGGCAGCAGCTCCGCAGCGGGTCCTCAAGCGGAGAGGCCCAATCGGACGGGCTTCCCGCGCCGTCCGCGTCCTCGTCGCCAGGCCCCTCCAGGCGAAGGCGGCCGTAGGGGCGGCGGCGGCGCGACTCCCGGCCGCCGGCGCGCGCCAGCCCGCGAGCCTCTTCCAGATCGCGACAGTCCCGGCCCGGCAGAAAACCCGAGTCGCCGTTGGTCATGCCTTCGTGCCGCGGCGCGCGGCCATCAGCCACCTCCGCGCCGCGGTGTTTGGAGCCCGAGCCCAGCAGGCAGGCGTCCGATCGTGGGGCTGCCGAGGGCGGCGGGGCGCCGGCCTGGCCAGCGGGGAGCGGACAGTAGCAGAGCCCCGGCTCCAGCTGCTCCCCGGCCGCCGCGAGGTAACGCTGAAGGAGCTGCCGAGGCGGCGTCTCCTCCTCCTCGTCAGCCTCCTCCTCCTCGTCAGCCTCCTCCGGCGGCTCCACAGCGCCGACGCCTCCGCCAAAGCCGCCCGTGGCCCGGATTACCTTCCTGTCCTGGCCCACGGGGTCCGGCGCAGGCACCGGGAGCAACTTGGGGTTTCTTCCCGAGCAGGCTCCGGCATCCTCCGGACCCACCATCTGGGGGTGGGTGGCGGCCGCCCCAGGAGGCAAAGAAGGACTACAGGCGCAGGCTTGGCCAGAGAACAGCTCTGGGTGCTGGGGCCGCGGCGACAGCCGCCGCAACGTTCCCAGACCCACCCCTCCCACCCGCTGGGTCGGACAGTTGCTTGAGGGCGGGCACGCGCCAGGACTCGCGCACGCGCAAAAGTCGGACCGGTCAAGCCCCGACCTGGAGATTCCCCGAACCATAGAGACGGTAGCTAGAGAGACGCAGGCTGCCAATCTAGGATCCGCCATCTGGATGGTGGAAGCTGGTTGGCCCGCTCTAAGCGTGACAGTTCTTACCGAAGCGCGGGTATTGCTCGCTTAGCAAAAATTCACTTGATGTATTTCATTTATGGTAGTAAAATACTCCCATATTTGGGAGGTGTTAGCGTGGGTAAGTCCTTCCAGCTCTAATTGGTCACCAGTCGACTTTACGATTTTTACATCCTTCTCCGGCATCATTGCCACAGTTCAGGGCTTCATCACTTCATCCAGGAGGGTCAACACCCTCCCTTCTTCACTTCATCTAACACAAAAGAAAGATATCCTAAGTTATCTTGCTCACCTAGCACCATGTTTCATCACAGTCCTCTGTTTAAAAGATTATCACCGGCCGGGCGCGGTGGCTCACGCCTGTAATCCCAGCACTTTGGGAGGCCGAGGCGGGTGGATCACAAGGTCAGGAGATGGAGACCATCCTGGCTAACACGGTGAAACCCTGTCTCTACTAAAAATACAAAAAAATTAGCTGGGCATGGTGGCGGGCGCTTGTAGTCCCAGCTACTCGGGAGGCTGAGGCAGGAGAATGGCGTGAACCCGGGAGGCGGAGCTTGCAGTGAACCGAGATCGCGCCACTGCACTCCAGCCTGGGCGACAGAGCGAGACTCCGTCTCAAACAAGAAAAAAAGATTATCACCTAAGGAGGGAGAGGAAGTGGTCAGGCAGAGAGGAGCTATTGAAATAATTCCAGCACTCTGCGATAGTGGATTAAAATGGGATGATTGACCATTGAGTGGAAATGAAGTATATTTAAAGTAAAAGACGAAAGACTTGATAACTGATCAGAAGTGACAGAAGAGAGAGTAACCAATGATTACTACAAAGATATGAGACTGAAACTGATATGGTTTGAAGAAATAGAAAAGTGGATAGGAAAAAAACGATTAATAGGGGAAATACATCTGGTAAAGTAAACGACTGAAAATATCCAGCATATAGAGTTCTAAAACTTGAGTTGGCTGGGCGCAGTGGCTCACGCCTATAATCCCAACACGTTGGGAGGCCGAGGCAGGTGGATCACCTGAGGTCAGGAGTTCGAGACCAGCCTGGCCAACATGGTGAAACCCAGTCCCTACTAAAAATACGAAAAATTAGCTGGGCATGGTGGTGGGCACCTGTAATCCCAGCTACTTGGGAGGCTGAGGCAGGAGAATCGCTTGAACCCGAGAGGCTGAAGTTGCAATGAGCCCAGATCGTACCACTGCACTCCAGCCTGGGCAACAAGAGGGAAACTGTTTCAAATAAATAAATAATAAAACTTGGGTTAGGGTTTAGGTTCAGAGACACAGATTAGGCGTCATCTGTATAATGCAAGTAGGTGGATGAATCATGAGTAACATTACCTAGGAAGAAAGAATAATGATAAGGGTCGGGCACAGACCCAAATGTTTCATTATTTCAGGACAAAAAAGTTGTATTGCAAGAAATTGAAGAGGCATCAGTTGTGGATAAAACGAAGCAGAAAATATAGACCACTCATTCTATAAAAGTATATAGAATATAGACCACTCATTCATTCTAAAAGTATGTTAGTGAATGCAAGAACAGAAAATAGAAGTCGTAGAGGAGACATTATTGTCAAGCATTTAAAATTTATTTCATATAAAAATACCTATACATACAGATATAAGAGGGAATATAACCTTTATATAATAAAATGTCAATAAAATGGGCATGCATGTACCTAACACTCAATTTAAAAAAACATCAAGAGGCCAGGCGTGGTGGCTCACATCTGTAATCCCAGCACTTTGGGAGCCAGAGGCAGGCAGATCACTTGAGGTCAGGAGTTCAAGACCAGCCTGGCCAATATAGTGAAATCCCATCTCTACTAAAAATAAAAGCATAAAATAAAATAAAATTAGCCGGGCGTGGTGGTGGGCGCCTGTAATCCCAGCTACTCAGGAGGCTGAGGCAGGAGAATCGCTTGAACCCAGGAGGCGAAGTTTGCAGTGAGCCAGGATCGCACCACTGCACTCCAGCCTGGGCGACAGAGGGAGACTCTGTCTCAACAAAATAAAAACATCAAGTGTCTTCGAAAATAAGCGTTATTGAAGGCCCTAGGAAAGGACTAAGTGGCAAAGGCATAGTCAGCAATGCATTTATTATCAAGGTATTTCAGAAGGAAAAAATGACTTTCAGGACACGAGTGGAAAAAATATAAAAAGAGAGAAAATATTTGCAAATTGTATATCTGGTAAGAGTGCAGTATCCAGAATAAATAAAGAACTTGTATAAATCAACAACTGAAAAACAACCCAACTAAAAAAATGGGCAAGGGACTTGAATATACATTTCTCCTAAGAAACATATGTTAATGGAATATTAATAAGCATATGAAGTGATGCTCAACATCATTAGTCATTAAGGAAATGCAAATCAAAACTACAATGAGATAGCACTTCACACTCACCAGGATGTCTATAATCAAAAAAATAGAAAACAAATGTTGAAAAGAATGTGGAAAAACTAGAACCTTCATACATTTCTGGTAGAAATGTAAAATGGTGCAGCTTCCATGAAAAACAGTTTGGTAGTTCCTCAATAAGTTAAACATGGAATTACTTATAAGCCAGCAATTTTACTCCTAGGTGTATACCCAAAAGAATTGAAAACAGGTGTTCAAACAAAAATGTTTTACGTGGGTTGGGCACAGTGGCTCATGCCTGTAATCCCAGCACTTTGGAAGGCCGAGGCAGGTGGATCACCTGAGATCAGGAGTTCAACACCATCGTGGCCAACATGGTGAAACCCGATCTCTACTAAAAAAATACAAAGGCCGGGCGTAGTGTCTCACGCCTGTAATCCCAGCACTTTGGGAGGCCGAGGAGGGTGGATCACGAGGTCAGGAGATCGAGACCATCCTGGCTAACACGGTGAAACCCCATCTCTACTAAAAATACAAAAAATTAGCCGGGTGTCGTGGCGGGCACCTGTAGTCCCAGCTACTCAGGAGGCTGAGGCAGGAGAATGGCGTGAACTGGGGAGGCAGAGCTTGCAGTGAGCCGAGATCGCACTACTGCACTCCAGCCTGGGTGACAGAGCAAGACTCCGTCTCGAGGAAAAAAAAAAAATAGCCTGGCTCAGTGGTGCCCGTGCCTTTAATCCCAGCTACTTGGGAGGCTGAGGCAGGGAGAATCGCTTGAACCTGGGAGGTGGAGCTTGCAGTGAGCTGAGATCACACCACTGCACGCCAGCCTGGGCGACAGAGCAAGACTGCGTCTCAAAAAAAAAAAAAATGTTTTACATGAATGTTCACAGCAGCATTACCAATAATAACCAAAAGGTGGAAACAACCCAAATGTCCATCATCAGGGGAACTGATAAACAAAATATGGTATATCCATGCAACCAAATATTACTCAGACGTGAAAAAGAAAAGAAATACTGATTCATGCTACAAGGTGGATGAATGTGAAAAGCACTGTGGTGGTGTGTACCTGGATAGTCCCAGCTACTCGGGAGGCTGAGGTGGGAGGATCTCTTGATCCGAGAAGTTCAAGATCATAGTGAACTATGATTATGCCTGTGAATAGCTGCTGCATTCCAATCTGGGCAACATGGCAAGACCCCATCTCTTAAAAAAAAATAGATAACATATAATTCCATTCCTATGAAATATCCAGAATAGATAAATCCATAGAGACAGAAAGCAGATTGGTGATTATCAATGACTGAGGGAAAAGACAAATAGAGAGTGACTATCTAATGGATATAAAGGTTTTTGGGAGTATAAAATGAATTGAATGAAAATGAGGTGAACAGGCACGTATTTTGAAACTAGATAGAGGTGATAGTTGTTCAACTCTGTGAATGTACTAAATGCCATTGAATTGTACACTTTAAAATCGTTAATTTTATATTAGGCAAATTTCACCTCAAGTGTAAAAAAGCAATATAGAAGATGTCTGGACAATTTTTATTTTTATGTACACATATTTTGATACTAGCTGGACAAGGTGGCACGTTCCTGTAATCCCAGCTACTCAGGAGGCTGAGAGGCACAAGAACCACTTGAACCTGGGAGGTGGAGGCTGCAGTGAGCTGAGATCATGAATAAGTTAGGAAATGTTTGACAGCAGAAAGAAAATTGCAAGATAAATTCTTTAGGCAAACGACAAAGGTTGAAAAGATAAAAGATTGAGATTAGACTCCTGCAGCTACCCTCATTTTTACCATCGTATTACAATCCTTATGTCCAGACATCTCGTATATTGTTTTTTTACACGAGGTGAAATTTGCATAATATAAAATTAACCATTTTAAAGTGTACAATTCAATGGCATTTAGTACATTCTGTTTTGTAAAGCAGTGGAATGTACAATTTTTATAAGACTATGCGAATTGGTTTGCTACTGAAATCTTCAACTTCTGTAAATAGTTTAAATTCCATGCGTGCCTGGTAAAACCCCAGCTGGTAAGAGAGGGTGACTAGACTAAGGTTGCAGATTATAGTTAGATAACAAGTACTGAAAGGATGCCTACTGCAGATTAACTCAGCAGGGTGAGATATGTGTGGGAAATGAATGATAGTAAGATCACGAGGCAGCTGCTGTTTGGTAAGCCATAGTGGGACTGCCACAAACCAAGAGACAGATGAATGGTTAAAAATGCACACTGATGCGGCCGGATGCGGTGGCTCATGCCTGAAATCCCAGCACTTTGGGAGGCCAAGGCAGGTGGATCACAAGGTCAAGAGATCAAGACCATCCTGGCCAACGTGGTGAAACCCCCATCTCTACTGAAAATACAGAAAAATAGCTGGGCGTGCTGGTGCATGCCTGTAGACCCAGCTACTCGGGAGGCTGAGGCAGGAAAATCGATTGAACCCAGGAGGTGGAGGTTGCGGTGAGCCGAGATCGCGCCACTGCACTCCAGCCTGGCGACAGAGAGAGACTCCGTCTCAAAAAAAAAAAAAAAAATGCTGATAGCAAAAAGTTTAAGAGTTAAAAACTAGAAATCACCTAAATAATCAATAATATGAAACCGTAGGAAAAACTAGGTATATCGATGAAACATTATGAATACAATTAAAATGACAGAATGCAGAAATATGGAGATGTTTTACAAAATAATAATAAAAAGTAGAGATACACAATTGCATACCATAATTACAATGATGTATGAAACTGCATATCTAGCTTGATAAAGATAAAAAAAAGATAGACAGGAAAAGAAAATGATGGATTTTATATTTACACTTTTCCTTTCATAATTTAAATTTTTAAAAAAATTGTTTTCACTTTAGAGACTGAGTTTTGTTATGTTACCCAGGTTGGTCTGAACTCCTGGGCTCAAGCAAGCATTCTGGCTCAGCCTCCCAAATAGTTGGAATTAACAGGCAGGCATAACTGCACCTGGCTTGTCCTTTTGTGACATTTTAAAAATTGATGGTTGGGCCAGATGCTGTGGCTCACGCCTGTAATCCCAGCACTTTGGGAGGCTGAGGCGGGCGGATCGCCTGAGGTCAGGAGTTCGAGACTAGCCTGACCAATATGATGAAACCCCATCTCTACAAAAAATACAAAACTTAGCGTGAGCCACTATGTCCAGCTGTTTTTTTTTTTTTTTAAGCCTAGTCTAATGGTATGATCTCTAAAGTTATGAGAAACCTGTATTGAAGAGTACTTATCAGAATCTTTTCCATGACTTTTCTTGAAGAAGAAGCAAATTTTAGACTGTAGCTATCTACTTTTGAGCAAGCAAATTTTGTTATTACTGTGGCATACAACAATTTAGAGCTAGGTGTGGTGGCTGACACCTGTAATCCCAGCAACTCAGGATATTGAGGCAAGAGGATCGCATAAGGCCAGGAGTTCAAGACCAGCTTGGGTAACATAGTGAGACACTTTCTCTACAAAAAATTAAAAAAAAAAAATCTTAGCCAGGCATGGTGGTGCATACCTGTAGTCCCAGCTACTCAGGAGGCTAAGGCAGGAGGATCCTTGAGCCCAGTAGTTCCAGGCTGCTGTAAACCATGATCATGCCACTGCACCCCAGCTTGGATGATAGGTCAAGACCCCAACTCTAATAATAATAAAAAAATTATAATCATCATAATTGATAACATATTCCAAGACACTTCAGAATTTTAGGAATCTCATACAATTTTGGAACACATATTAATAACATATTAATAAAAATATAACTCAAAGAAAGTTAAAAACTTTTTCTTATTTGACAATGCTTTTCATATGATTTTAACATACTGATGGCAGTGGCCACTCCAAACAACCTGCCACTGCCATCATGCCGGCTGCAGCAGGGAGGCTCAGCCAGGGCTGCATGCTCCATGGAGCCCACAGGAGTTGGGGACAAGTGGGAGCCCCACCCCTTCTGAGCTGGGGTGGGAGCAGCTCCCTGGGTGCCCGCTGCAGCCACCAAAACCGCTGCTGCAGACCCAGCCTCCTGCTCCACAACTCAAGTTATGGCTGCAGATCAGAGCCTCTCTGTGCTCTTGGCCAGGAGCAGGCAAGAACCCTGCCCTACCCAGCAGAGCTGCAGCCACCCAAACCACAGCTGCAGACTCAGGCATCCCTCCACTCTTGGGAGCATGAGAAGGTCCCCCCATCCTCCCAGACTCCAAAGTGCCTGCTCCCAGAGCGCACTAGGAGCAAAGTGGGGCAGAGCCTGGGTGCCATGAACAGCAGCAGGAGGCAGACAGATTTTCTGAGCAGAAATGGGGGAAGGGTCCTGGTGTGGCCCCACCTTAAGGCAAGGGAGGGCCTGAAGGCTGGGGGCTGGGCTGCTAGTCCCACGGACACGAGCAGGAACTTGTGGTGCTTTTTCCCGGCCTTCCCATGGCCACCCATGGACCAATTGGTGAGCACTTCCTCCCCTCTGAGGCCCATAAAAGCCCCCGACTCGGCTGGGCACAGTGGCTCACACCTGTAATCCCAGCATTTTGGGAGGCCAGGACGGGCCAATCATGAGGTCAGGAGTTCGAGACCAGCCTGGCCAATGTGGTGAAACCCTGTCTCTACTGAAAATACAAAAATTAGCTGGGCACAGTGGCATGTGCCTGTAGTCCCAGCTGCTCAGGAGGCTGAGGCAGAAGAATCACTTGAACCTGAGAGGCGGAGGTTGCATTGAGCCAAGATCGTGCCACTGCACTCCAGCCTGGGCGACAGAGTTAGACTCCATCTCAAAAAAAAAAAAAAGCCCCCAGCTCGGCCAGAGCTGAGCAGGTCACAAGATGACCAGCTTCAGAGAGGACTTATCCTCTTGGAACGACCTGCCTGCAGAGAGGAGCCACCCTCTCTAGGACGCCTCTTTGCTGAGAGCTGCAGAGATGACAGGGCGACCTGCTGGCAGAGAGAAGACACCCACTGCAGGGCCTCCTCTCTGCTGAGAGCTGAACACTCAATGGGACGACCCATCTACAGAGAGGGGCAACCCACTGTGGGTCTCTTCCGAGCTGTTCTAACACTCCAAATAAAGCTTCTCTTCATCGTGTTCACCCTTCACTTGTCTGCATACCTCATTCTTCCTGCACACAAGACAAGAACTTGGGCAAAGGTGCCACCAGCCACAGAGGTTTCCAGCCAGAGAAGAGACACCCCAAATATCCCGTAACAATACCAAATAAGTCAAATAAGTCTCTCTTGGACTTCCAGGGTCCCTAATATCTAAAAATATCTAATCTGAGGTCAAAAAGACCTAATTTAGAATTAGAAATTTCATTTTGAAAAGTTTGTTAAATAACAAAGGTCTAAAACACTTCATATCACAAAAATAGGATCACAGATCACTGTGAAAAGAAATCATTCATTTATCCAAAGTGATCATTCAAAGATTCTAAAAAGCAAAATCCTTTTTCTGTGTTAGAGAAAAGACTCAGTTTTCTAAACAATAAAAAGGTCTAATAAAGACTGCATGAGACAGGCTGCACGCGGTGACTCACGCCTGTAATCTTAGCACTTTGGGAGGCCAAGGTGGGCAGATCACCTGAGGTTGAGAGTTTGAGACCAGCCTTACCAACATGGAGAAAATCCGTCTCTACTAAAAATACAAAAAAATTAGTCAGGCATGGTGGCGCATGCCTGTAATCCCAGCTATTCAGGAGGCTGAGGCAGGAGAATCGCTTGAACACAGGAGGCAGAGGTTGCAGTGAGCCAAGATCACGCCATTGCACTCCAGCCTGGGCAACAAAAGTGAAACTCCATCTCAAAATAAAAGAAAAAGAAAAAAGACTGCATGAGACAAACTGAATCTATCTTTTCCTCTCCCCCCTCTTTTTTTTGTAGTTTACTCAAATGTTGAATAAAAATATTTTACTATCTCTTACTAATATTACATCAAAATCTTTTTTTTGTTTTTGTTGTTTTTTGTTTTTTGAGGCAGGGTCTCACTCTGTCACCTAGGCTACAGTGCAGTGGCACAATCTCAGCCCACTACAGCCTTGACCTCCCAGACTCAGGCAATCCTCCCACCTCAGCCTCCTAAGTAACTGGGACTACAGGCATGTGCCACCATGCCTGATTAATTTTTATGTTTTTTTTTTTTGTAGAGATGGGATTTTGCCATGCTGCCAAAGCTGGTCTCAAACTCCTGAACTCAAGAAATCCTCCTGCGTCAGCCTTCCAAAGTGCTGGGATTACAGATGTGAGCCACTGTGGCCAGCCACAAATTTCATTTAAAAGAGAAAACCAAATTTTATCTTTGTATCAGTGTATTATTACTGTTAAAGTAAATTTTAATAAAATCTTTTTTTTTTTTAACATAGAGTCTTGCTCCATTGCCATGCTAGAGTGCAATGGCATGATTACAGTTCATGGCAGCCTCAACCTCCCAGGCTCAAGTGATCCTCCCACCTCAGCCTCCTGGGACCACAGATGTGCTGGGACCACAGATATGTGCCACTACACCTGGCTAATTTTTTCACTTTTTTGTAGAGATAGGGTCTCACTATGTTGCCCAGGCTAATATCAAACTCCTGTGTTCAAAAGATCCTGTCACTTCAGCCTCCCAAAGTGCTAGGCATGACACCACTCCTGGCCTAATAAATGTGAACAGATTTATCTACTCTTAATCAGTTTTGACCACACAAAATAAGATTTTTATAAACCTTTATAATCTCTTATAATTCAAAAAAGATGTCCCAACTTTTTATATCTACTTTCATTATTATTTAAATTTCAAACAACTTTTTAAACTTCTAAAATAGAAAAAATTACTTTTTCTTTAACAGAAACTATACTTTTATATCTTTATAAGCTCACAGACAAATTAAGTATATATTTAAAACATCATAGAGGCAACAGTTTTATCTTCTTAAAACATCTAGTAGAGACAGCACTGACTTATCAATAGACCCAGAAAAAATGTTTAAATTTTGAAGATGTTTTTATTTTACTTTATTAGGAATTTTAAAATTAGCCATATTTACTAAAGAGTATTGAATTCATGTTAACTTGAATAGCACTTGGACTTATTTAATTTATGAATATTTATTTATAAGCCAATTTGATATTATACAAACAGACATATATACATGTACACATGTACACAAATATATAGATAGACACAAATAAAGACTTTATAGCTTTAATTTTTTAATTTTAGCCATGAGACAGGTAAAGCTCACTAGTTTAAAAGGACAGTTGGATTCAAACTGTGCTTTTGTAAATAGAAAAGGTCTTGCTAAAGACGTCACTGAGTTTTAGAGAAAATGGGGTAGCAAATTTACATCTCAAAGTACAGATGTAACAGGACAAGCTGCAGACAAAACCCCTCAGACACCAAGTTAAAGAAGGAAGGGCTTTATTCAGCCGGGAGCTTCGGCAAGACTCACGTCTCCAACAACCGAGCTCCCTGGGTGAGCAATTCCTGTCCCTTTTAAGGGCTCACAACTTTAAGGGGGTCCGCGTGAGAGGGTCGTGATTGATTGAGCAAGCAGGGGGTACATGACTGGGGGCTGCATGCACCTGTAATTAGAATGGAACAGAATAGGATAGGGATTTTCACAGTGCTTTTCTTACAATGTCTGCAATCTATAGATAACATAACCGTTTAGGTCAGGGGTCAATCTTTAACTACCAGGCCCAGGGTGTGGCGCCGGGCTGTCTGCTTGTGGATTTCATTTCTGCCTTTTAGTTTTTACTTCTTTCTTTGGAGGCTGAAATTGGGCATGAGACGATATGAGGGGTGGTCTCCTCCCTTATTCCCCTCCTTTGAGAATCTCACTCAATAGTGGGAGTTCTTACTTTCCTTCTCACTACCCATGTCTTCTTGCAAGACAGATCGATGGTGATTCATATAGTACACTTGTGCTGAAGCATTTTGGTGAACTAAGGTAGCGTTGAAGCTTTTTATCATTTGAAGAAGTACAGGTAGCAAACAAGGGAGCAGTAAGCAGGTTCCTATTACTATTATAACTCCTATTATAAGAGTTTTAAATCTTTTTAGCACTGGGAACCATTTTCCAAACATGGCCCCAGGATCCATGCCACACTTGCACGGGCACATGTGCCAGTTTTGTCATATTTCTAACCATGTCTTCAACTACTTGCCCTTGATCATCTATGTGTAGACAGCAATTTGTAAGGTCAAATTTTCTACAGACCTCTCCTTCAGCTGCTAGCAAGTAGTTGAGAGCCAATCTATTTTGATAGATAGTATTTCTCATCTGAGTTTCTTGCCAGGCCAGAATAGTCAAGGCTCCGCCTGTCTTATTAGTGATTATTTCTGAGACAGCTTGTAACCGTTATGATTTGGTTGAGCATGTAAATGGGGGTTGGGTATCCCCACAAGCTGTCTTGTGCCCAAGTACCAGGCCCATAATATTGTATGATTCTCTCAGGGGGCCATTCATCATCTTTTTAATTTTCTATAGCTATGCTTCTCTTTTTGTGGGAGGCACAGAGAGGGAAGCCCAGGAATTAGCCTGTCTTTATGGGCAGTAGGAAGAAGGATGGTTTAAAAGTGCCAATAACACAACTACCTGCCCACTGGTCGGGTAATTTGGTGTAAGCTCTATGTCCACATATCCAGTATAATCCAGAGGGGGCTGTCTAGTCCCAGTGGGACTCCGGGTGGGTTCACACAGTTTGCAACTTTGGGAATTTGCTAAATGGATTTTTCTTAGTGTAATTTGAACTCCACTAGGTGGCTGTTTTTGTAGTATTTTGCCCAAGACAGCTGAGTCTTCCCACAAGAAGGGTAAAGTCCTTCCTCACTCTTGCTATACAGTATTGTCTAATGATTGAGGCTTTTAGGACCCAGAAGTTATTAGGGTGATTCTTTTGAGCCGGGAATTCATTGGGAACTGGGTCTATAGGTATTAACTCTTGGGCTTCCCATGGCCATTGATCTCCCATTACAGTTCCTCCACATACATAACATGAAGTGACATTGAGAGACTGGGCCACATGCTCAGCTAATTGCAAAAACAAATTTCTTGTTTTTCCTGGAATTTCTGGTACTGGCACATTCAGTTTATCACAGAAGGTTTGAAATACTGGCTCAGGAGAGCGTTTATAAACTTCTCCTCAAACCATGATACTTACTCGATGATCCAGTCCAGCCCTATTGATTCCCAGGGTTACACGCTCCCCTTTTTTTCAGCGAGGATCAAGGAGATTGGTTATTACTAGTTCTAAGGGGTTACACTGACCACTGGTACAGGAAGGGCCACTTTTCCCTTTCTGAAGGTGGACAGAATACATTTTATTTTTTATCCAAGTAGCCTGAATGACACAAGACCAGTATCCACATTCATTTCCACACAGTTCTAATTCATGACAAATGTACTTATTTTCTGCCATATAGCCTCTTTCCTAATTAAAAGAACCACATCCTATTCCTAACTTATTATTATTAATGATAGCACAGGCATCAAACTTCAAGGTGATTTGTTTGGGCACCCCTTTTTCTTTTGTTTTGGCTAACACTTTACTCGTATCATTTATAAGCCACCACCAGTCCTCAGTCCTTAATCTTATTTCAAAAACTGTGGTCATGGGAGGCTCAGATGGGTCATAACACACATCAGGTTGGTCATTTCCTGGGCTACATACTTCGCATAGAATAGCATTATACAAACAAGTTTTTTTTTGGAGTCCTGGTACAATCATAATAATCATAAAATAATAGGACTGTAGCAACTTTTTGTCCTATCTCAGTGACTTGATGTATACACTGGAAACAGTCCTCAGTCTGAGGAAGGTCAGTTAAAGTACTTACTGTACAAGTCCAAATTTTAAGGAAAATAAGTCCTGCGATGAGTTTTCTCATGCTTCGGCCATGCATGGACCCAGTCAGCTTCTGGGTGTGACTGGAGCAGGGCTTGTCATCTTCTTCACAGTCACTTTGCAGGGGTTGACAAAGCTGCTCCCGTCCATGTACCGCTCACAGTCTACTGATGTTCAAGGATGGTTTCAGAGGTTGGGCCTGCTAGAATAAACTGAGTCCAACATCTCTACCCAGTTATGTTCAACTGGGCTCTCTGATACCGGGAGCAAGGTGGTAGGGTTTAGGGTGTTGTAAACTTCAATGGTTATGTGGAGATTTCCACAGAGCAAGCTTTGGTACTTGGTTAATCTAGCATTTGTTAACCAATGATGTCCTTTGGTAGTCATCAAAGTTACTACAGCATGGGGGGGCCTTTATAGTCAGGTTTTGCCCAAGGGTTAGTTTTTCTGCTTCTTGTGCTAACAGGGCCGTTGCTGCCAAGGCCCTTTGACCTGGGGGCCAGCCTTTGGAAACCCCGTCTAGTTGTTTTGAGCGATAGGACACTGGCCTTGGCCAGGGCCCCACAGTCTGGGTTAAAACTCCAACTGCCATTTTTTCCTCTTTCTGACACATAGGGTATAAAGAGTTTTGTCAGGTCAGGTAGCCCCAGGGCTGGGGCCGACATGAGTTTTTCTTTTAACTTATGAAAAGCTCATTGCTATTGGTTGTAATAGATGTAGTTTATCCAATTTACATTTTTATTAACTGTTACCTACCAAAATATTGACTCAAATCCTGCAGCTATTTGATTTCAAGCTTTAAATTGATCTGGTGGTCATCCTGGGACTCCAGTTGCATCTAAATGGACGTGAGAGTCGAAAGACCCATAAGGGGCTTTTCTCGCTTTACAATGTCTTATTTTTCCTCCCTCTGGTTGATGAAATGCCAGGGTGAAAGGGATAGCCAATTGGACTAAAATACAAGTGCCATTCCAGTTATTCAGCAGAGTGCCAGTAAAGGTCTACCACGATACCACCACACATCCGCTCGGGGATGAACAAGGGCTGACTGATTGATAAGCTCTTGAAAATTTTTAAGCTCACTGCATCCCTTCAGGTCTCCTAGGAATGCTAAGTTTCCTCTCTGTCGTGAGAGACACGAAGTGAACTTAGTGTTGGGAAACGGAGGCTGGATGGCCCTCGGGGGCTGACCCACAGGGTGCCGAACTTTGGGATATAGCAGAGAGAGCTTGGCACAACTTATTACTCCAGGCTGTAGAATCCTGGAAAAGAGCTACCATGCAGCCCACGCCTGGTTGACTGGAGGACCACCTTAGTGGAAAGGGTACAATCTGGGCATCTGGTCTGCCATGTCCACAAGCATAACAATTGCTTTTGTTTAGTGTTCAGATGGAATATTTGATCCATTCCAACCAGGCATTTGCATCTTGGTATGCTGTCTTAATTGCCAAAGTTTGTTTTAAGTCTTTAACTTCTATGATCCTCTAGTAAAATAAATGTATGATTTTGGGAAATTACAAAAACCTGTTGGGGCTGTCCATCCTTGCTCTTTAGTGGTCCACAGAATGTTGGACCAACTACAGCATAAAAGCTCTACACTGGGGAGCAAGACTCCTGGTTGACACTGGAGACTTTATCGAAATTTCCCCGGATTAAATGGTCCTAATTTACTAATGCCCAGTCTGAGGAGAGTCAGGAGGGACAGAGGTACTTTTCTGAAGTAGAGAGCTGTCTTTGACTTCGCAAGTCCCCACAGGGTATAACAAGGCAAGCATTAAATGCAATACTTTGAGGCGAAATTGACTTGGTTATGTTAATAACCAGATGGTCAGCAATAGAGCGAGGAAAGAAGAAAGAGTAATAGAATAGATGAAAGAGTTAAATTTTTCTTAGCTTTAGTTTGGTAGGGTTTTCCCCTGGGACTGTGGCCCATGACTCTGGAGAGGGTGGCGCTTTGACTCGGGTGTGATGAGTCCATCCCTTTTCTGCTGTATGAACAGCAGTCTCAGTGGTTAGCAGCACAAGGTAGGATCCTTCCTAGGCTGGCTCGAGTTTTTCTTCTTTCCACCCTTTGATAAGAAGGTGATCTTCAGGCTGGTGCTGGTTTACTGGAAATTCTAGGGGTGGTACCTGTGCTAAAAGACTTTTAATTTTGAGGGAAAAGAAAGTGGAAGATAAACCAAGTGTATAATTTTTAAGAAATTGACTTTTTGTTTTAAATGTGGGGACATCAACAGTGGACTTTATAGTCTTTGGTGCCTTCTTACTGAGAAATTTCCTTTAGCATCTATTTTTATTAGTTTTTAGACCAAAGAAAGCCAAATACCATTTTATATTTAATAATGCTCTTGTATGATTTTTATACCAGATAAGCTAAATTTCACCTTTATATTAGTGTGCTATTAATATTAAACTTAGTTTCTTTTTCTTTTTTTTGTTGGGACAGGGTCTCACTCTGTCACTCAGGCTGGAGTGCAGTGGCCTATCTTGGCTCACTGCAAGCTCTGCCTCCTGGGTTCAAGCCATTTTCCTGCCTCAGCCTCCCGAGTAGCTGGGACTACAGGTACCTGCCACCACGCCCAGCTATTTTTTTGTATTTTTAGTAGAGACGGGGTTTCACTGTGTTAGCCAGGTTGGTCTCAATCTCCTGACCTCATGATCCGCCCGCCTCGGCCTCCCAAGGTGCTGTGATTACAGGTGTGAGCCACCGCGCCCAGCCTAAACTTAGTTTTAATAAAACTTTGTATACATATTTATTCAATTTTTATGTTGGGCCATAAGGCAAGATTTTTATAGACTCTTTTTAACTTTTTATAATCTTTGTTGAAGAGCAGGTTAGTGCTTTAAGAAAAACCCATTGTGTTTTTACTTTAATGTCCAGTTTACAGAAAAACTGGATGATACTCCTTTAACTTTAGCTAATATGTTTACACACAGAATTTTTTTTATGATTAATGTTTTAAAACTTGCTTAAACCTCCAAAACAAATTTTTTAATCTTTTAATGTAGATAAAAATTTACATTCTTATGCCTTCTTATAATCCTTTTACCAAAGGTATATTTTACTTTCCTTATAGCCTTGCACATAATCTGCTTTTTTTTTCAATAGTTTTACATTCAGGAGGCCTAGTTACTTTCAAATTATACAACATTTCTTGCATAAATTATTTTTTATAACATTTTTCTCTTTCACGACTTTCGCAGACAATTCTTCAACATGCCTCAACTTTCTGACTTATTACAAACATTTTTTTCTTTAAACAACCAGTTAATTTATTTCGGAACAAGAATTTACCATATAACACTCTTTTTACATAAATTCTGCCCCTCCTTTTTTTCCTTTTTTTTTTTCAAAGATGATAACCATTCTTTTCCAAAGTGAACTTCTTTTATGTCTGTGGACTAGACAGTCTAAGGTCACAAGATTAGAAGTTACTATAATACATGTTACACTGTTAACTTTTAGCAAACTTTACTTTTGTTGAAAACCTTGTAAGTTTGGGATTTTAATTATCCTTTGCTATTAATAAGACCTTGTTTTGTCCAAATTAATTTAGAATTGGTATAGATGGCTTTTTTTTTTTCCTTCAATTACCTGGGAGGAACCATCAATCTTCCTGTCCTGAAGGGAGTTCCTCCTAGGCCTGGTCGGACCTTCTGTGGTAATTAAGATTTAGATCCCCTGTTGGGAAACCTGCTGGGTTAAGGGAATTTTCAGTGGTTAATGTTAAATCATCCTTCTTTTTTTTCTTAGGATACTTCTGAACTGGTGAGGTGTGCTCACAATCAGGTTTCCTCTAAAAGCTATTTTTTTACTTTTTTCTGTTAGCAAAGCAGTTGCCACTACAGATTGAATGCATTCGGGCCATCTGTGGGTTACTGGGTTAAGGATTTTTGATAGGAAGGCCTCGGTGCTTTCAGATATGCCCTTGTTTACACTGACAACAAAATGGTATTGGAGTGTTATAGGGTTATGGAGAATACCTTCAATTATCAATTATAGGTTTTAAATTTACCTTGGCTTTTAAAGGAATAGGGTACACAGTTTTTTTCTTAACTACTTGTATGTCTATTTCTTTCTCTTTCTTTCTTTCTTTTTCCTGCTTTGTTTTTCCTTCTTTCTTTCGCTTTGATTTTCTGTCTTTTTTTCTCTTTGACTTTCCTTTTGCCTCTGTCTCTTTCTCTCTCTCTGCCTCTCTCTTTCTATCTCTGTCTCGCTCTCACTCTCTCTCTTTCCTTGACTCCCTCTTTGTCTCTCTGTCTCTTCCTCTTTCTCTCTCTGCTGGTCTTTCCTTGCCTCTGCCAGCCACTTATGCTGCTGTTCTCTCAACCGCTGGGGGGGTGGGGGTTGTCTAAAACCAGCTGTAACCAAGTGTCTATGTACGGGAACTGGTCTGAGTGCCCTGGCTTACAGGTTACCTTGTGCCATACCTTTGAAACAAGGGACCTGTCCAGCCTTCCTTCTGATGGCCAACACACCTCTAATGCTGGCCAGTCTATCTTACACAAAGTTTTAAGTTTTCCTGGTGCCATAATACTCCATAGTCTCCCTTAAATCCTTTCTTGAAATTTTTCAACAGAGTTCCTAGTGGGGTGGGCTTACTTTGTGCCTGACCCATGCTTCTTCAAGAGAAAACACCACGCTCACACCACACGCACACCACAATACAAAGAACGGGTAAAAAGGGCACACACACACACTTTTATAGTTTACACCAAACCAGAATCAAAACCAAAATCAGAGTATCAAGAAATCCAAGCCAGGTCGAAACCAAAACGAAAGTATCAAGCAATCCAAGTCAAGTCAAAAACAAAAACCAAAGTGCCGGTATAGGCACACCGTGGGTGTTCAGGCCACACTGCCACTCAAATGGAATGGGCAAGTTCCAAAGACTAGTCTTAGCAAGTTTCAGATGTCTGGACTCCAAGTGCCAGTTCCTTCCCGGTGTTCAGCCACTGTGTTAATCCTCTGTGGGGGCCTGCATGCGCTGCTCTGGCAAGGCATTCCACCGGGGCAATTGCCTACCCAGGAGCGCTCTCAGGATCTGCGTTGCTCAAGCTGGCTGGAGTCCCCCGCAGGGATGTTCCACAGGGCAAGCCTAAGCCACCTAAGGGGCTGCCTCAACCGTCCATTAATCACCTCGCTTCCCGGTCAGGGAACCAAGAAATGCAGCAGGACAAGCCGCAGACAAAACCCCTCAGATACCAAGTTAAAGAAGGAAGGGCTTTATTCAGCCAGGAGCTTCAGCAAGACTCACGTCTCCAACAACTGAGCTCCCCAGGTGAGCAATTCCTGTCCCTTTTAAAGGCTCACAACTCTAAAGGGGTCCGCATGAGAGGGTCGTGATTGATTGAGCAAGCAGGGGGTACATGACTGGGGGCTGCATGCACCTGTAATTAGAATGGAACAGAACAGGACAGGAATTTTCACAGTGCTTTTCTATACAATATCTGTAATCTATAGATAACATAACCGATTAGGTCAGGGGTTGATCTTTAACTACCAGGCCCAGGGTGTGGCGCCAGGCTGTCTGCTTGTGGATTTCATTTCTGCCTTTTAGTTTTTACTTCTTCTTTCTTTGGAGGCAGAAATTGGGCATTAGACAATATGAGGGGTGGTCTCCTCCCTTACAGAGAGAATTTAAGCTTTTTAGGAAGAAGTTTGGGTGTGTAAGTTAGAAGAAGATTAAAAATGAACATCAAGGTAACACAAAATCACAGGAATTTACCTTAGGATTTTATAAGGAGACCAATTTTATTTAGATAGGTGGCTTTTAATTTAATATTTGTTTTTTAACTGGACCATTGTGCTCAGGATGGAGCCCATTAATGAATAAGACTAGCGAAGTATTTGTAGTTCGTGGGGCCTAATAGTTTAAATAAGTGAAAAACAGGCACAGTTGGAAGGACAAGTATTTAAATTTTTAAGAATTAAAAATTGGGCTGGGCGTGGTGGCTCATGCCTGTAGTCCCAGCACTTTGGGAGGCCAAGGTGGGTGGATCATGAGGTCAGGAGATCGAGACCGTCCTCGTTAACACAGTGAAACCCCATCTCTATTTAAAAAATACAAAAAATTAGCCAGTTGTGGTGGCACGCGCCTGTAGTCCCAAGCTACTTGGGAGGCTGAGACAGAAGAATCGCTTGAACCTGGGAGGTGGAGGTTTCAGTGAGCTGAGATCACGCCACTGCACTCCAGCCTGGGCAACAGAGTGAGACTCCATCTCAAAAATAAATAAATAAATAAAAGAATTAAAAACTTACTTTTTCACTGAATCCTGGGTCCTCCAAAAGAGGGAAATGCCACGGAACCTGGCTGTGCAATGCTTTTACAGTGTGCTTGGTTACGACATTTTTCTAAGTGTTTAAGCCACATCCTTTTTATCTTAACATGCAAAGATGTGAATAGCCCCCTGTAGTATTACTCATTCACTGTAACTGCTGTCAGTCACCTCTAAGACTGTAGCTCTTTCCAGTGTCCTGCCAGCCATCTCACACACAAAGGTCAAGTTCTCTCTGGCAGGGTAAAATAATTTCTGGTATCCCAGAAGAGTGAAAGAAACAGGTAATGTAATGTTAAAAAAAAAAAAAAAAAGCTGGGCGCAGTGGCCCACGCCTGTAATCCCAGCACTTTGGGAGGCGGAGGCAGGTGGATCACCTGAGCCTGGGAGGCAGAGGTTGCAATGAGCCGAGATCACACCACTGCACTCCAGTCTAGCGACAGAGTGAGACCCTGTCTCAAAAAAAAAAAAAAAAAGCCGAGCTTTAAACCTGAGAAGAATCTGTTCATGACTCTTGAAACTCCATAAGGAAAACAGAGGACCCCCCCAAAAGTGGGAGTGGTTCCTTTTTCTCTGTTCCTTAAGGTGTCTGAGCTATTAGAGGCCCCCTCTAGAGTCTTTTATGTGATACTGAAGACAGCAAAGAGAAAGAAAGAATAGGGAGGAGGAGAAGTAAATGGAAGTGAAAAGAGATACCAAGCACATACTGTTTTTTTTTTTTTTCTTTAAAGAGGGTTTCTGTCAACTGAAAAGAAAGCACCAAAAACAAGATCCTAAAAGAGAAAAAGCAGAAAGTCCTTTTATGTACATCTCTCTCTCTATATATATATGCGTGTGTGTGTGTATATATATACACATATATATGTACTCTCACAAACATATATATGGCTTGAATATCAGCTTTTAATTAAGCTGACTTCTAACCATAGAGCTCTTTTTTCAAAAACCTTTAAAAATCTCATTATTAGATTTTAGCTGGGACAAATAGCTAATATTTATGGCTTTTGAATTGTTTTATTCCAAATATACCCTCCCCAATGCCTCACAAGATCCAGAACCATCCAAAAGACAGCTCAAAGAAAGAAAAATTTTGCTAGCTGAAAATAGGGTATAACCCACATTTCTATATTCTCTGGGGTCCCAGCTTCTCAGCTGATCATTTACACACAAAGGCCCAAAAGCCTCATGTGCCTCCTATAGACAGAAGTTGACAGGAAATCATAAGCTGTCCATGGAAGGAACAAGGATCATTAATAAATGGGTTCCTCAAAAAGTCAAAATTCACACAAATTTCAAACCAAAAGAGACTGATTCCCTGACTAGGAATTAAACCTAGGCCATGGCAGTGAACCTGTGGAATTTTAACTATTAGACTACAAGGCGGAGCAGCCCTGCCATTGTTAATCCCACAAGAGATCACAAGCAGGCAGTCTGAGTGTACAAAGGATTCTAGCTTTGTTTTAGGTCAGACCTTTGCTCTTTAATTTTGTCAAGATAATTTCTTTTTCTTTTTCTTTTTCTTCTTCTTCTTTTTTTTTTTTTTTAAGACAGAGTCTGGTTCTGTTGCCTAGGCTGGAGGGCAGTGGCACGATTTTGGCTCACTACAACCTCCGCCTCCCAGGTTCTAGAGATTCTCCTTCCTCAGCCTCCTGAGTAGCTGGGCTTACAGGCACCCACCACAACTCCTGGGTAATTTTTGTATTTTCAGTAGAGACAGGGTTTCACCATGTTGGCCAGGCTGGTCTTGAACTCCTGACCTCAAGCAATCCACCGGCCTTGGCCTCCCAAAATGCTGAGATTATAGGCATGAGCCACCACACCCGGCCTGTCTAGAGAATTTCTTCTCCTTCTTCTTGTTCTTCTTGTTCTTCTTCTAATTCTTCTAATTCTTCTTCTTTTTTTTTTTTTTTTTTTGAGACAGAATCTCTATCTGTCGCCCAGGCTGGAGTGCAGTGGCATGATCTCGGCTCACTACAACCTCCACTTCTCGGGTTCAAGCCATTCTTCTGCCTCAGCCTCCCAAGTAGCTGGGACTGCAGTCGCCTGCCACCACACCTGGTTAATTTTTGTATTTTTTTAGTAGAGACGAGGTTTCACATGTTGGTCAGGCTGGTCTTGAACTCCTGACCTGAGGTGATCCATCTGCCCCGGCCTCCCAAAGTGCTGGAATTACAGGTGTGAGCCACTGTGCCCAGCCCTGCCTAGAGAATTTCTAAGGCTAGCCATGATACTATTTTGAGTCTCTTTTTTAAAAACTTAATCTTTCTTTACATACAAATAAAGTAATTGTTTAGAATAAGAGATCTCTAAACTTCCTTTTTTAAAATTTAGGAGTCTTTCTAATTTAAAGGACCCATTTTTTGGCCACTGACTAATTTCTTTCTCTTTTTTTCTTTCTTTTTTTTTTCTTTGAGACAGAGTCTCACTCTGTTGCCCAGGCTGGAGTGCAGTGGCACGATCTCAGCTCACTGCAACCTCCGCCTCCCAGGTCCAAGTGATTATCATGCCTCAGCCTCCAAAGTAGCTGAGATTACAAGCATGCACCACCACACCCTGTTAGTTGGTATATTTTTAGTAGAGACGGGGTTTCACCATGTTGGCCAAGCTGGTCTCAAACTCCTGACCTCAAGTGATTCGCCCATCTGGGCCTCCCAAAGTGCTGCAATTACAGGCGTGAGTCACCACGCCCAGCCTGATTAATGTCTAATGTTGTATTCATTCCAATAGTGACTCAGTCCAATAGCCTTTTTGTGGAAGGTGAGGAAACAAGTCCGAAGATCCCCGACAAAAAATTCACTCCCGGGAATAGGCTAAGATAGACAAACTCTCCTAAGAGCTTGACACATTTGGAACAAAAAATCTTGAGTTCCCAGCCATTTTCAGGCTGGTCACCTGATGTCCTCTGAAAATCACATTCCCAGGATGGTGGAGATCAAGAGAGAATACTTGCTCACAAGTCAAACCCTCAAGGATATAAAATAAGACAAGCAGAAACCTCATCTGGTACCCTTTTTTATAAAAGAACAACACAGAAAGACAAATACAAAGGGGGAAAAAACAAACAAACAAACAATTTCTATGAGGAAAGGGATCAAACAATATGAATATTCATAACAAAAGACCAAAAAATATACCACAGTCACTACACCCAAGACTGGTCACACAAATCCTTTTCTCCTATTCATCAAAATTTTGCAGAGGAAAAAGAGAACAGTGATTTTCACCATCTACTCAACCCAGTTTCCACAGAGAGGCCTGGAGCCTGACTGGCGAGAAATTCTTACCCTTTGTTCTGGCTTGTCAAGTCCTGGGTTCCCTTCACTGTGGCTTCTGGAAGAACAGATCCGCTTTGGTGATCCCGCTCACAGCACCAAACTTTAGGGACCAAGGTAAAACTTTTCCTTTGCCTCCTGAAGTTTCACTGAAAAATCAACCCACAAAAGGCAGGTTAACTGGAGAAAAGGCATATAAATTTTATTAACATGTACACAGGGAAAAACACACACAGAGTGATTATCCATCCCCCAATGGAGTTTAGAAGCTTATATATCATCTTGAGGTTATGGAAGGAATGGGGGCTTGGATCCTGGCAAAACAGGTTATGGTAGCAGGGACATAAGGAAATACCTAAAGACAATGTACTTCTGTTTCTCCTCATACTTTTTATGCTTGAAACATTTATCCCTATGATGTTTGCCAAATGGCATCTATATCCATCATTTGTTCTACATTTAATTGGAATTCTAAGGTAAGAAAGAGATTTCCTTTCTCCTCTGTTTATTTATTCGATTATTTATTTATATCAGCACAGACTAATAGATTATCGTTTTATTCTACCTGCTTAAAATACAGTACTAAACTGTCCCATATTTGGTCATTGAGAGCCCCTAAAGTTCGTTCCTATGTCTTTTTTGACAGATACTCTTTTTTTTTTTTTTTTTTTTTGGAACAGGGTCTTATTCTCGCCCAGGCTGGTGTCCAATGGTGCAAACATGGCACACTGCAGCCTCGAACTCCTGGACTTAAGCAATCCTCCTGTCTCAGCCTTCCAAGTAGTTGGGACCTCAGGTGCTTGCCACCATGCCTGGCTAATTTTTTTATTTTTATTTTTGTAGAGATGGGGTCTCACTTTGTCTCCCAGCTGGTCTTGAACTCCTGGGCTCAAGCAATCCTCCTGCCTCGGCCTCCCAAAGTGCTGGAATTATAGGAAGGAGCCACTGCACCTAGCCTCTCATCTTTTTTTTTTTTTCTAAAGGAACTTTCTACTTTCTGGCACCACAAGATATTCCAGCTGCTTTCTGTATTTTCCCTGCGTCAGCCTTGGAAAGAGCCATTTTTCCAAAAAGTCCTGATTCCTTCTATAGAAAAATGGCATTTATACATTCAGATTTGGGAGCCAGGTACAGTGGCATATGCCTGCAGTCTCAGCTACTTGAGAGGCTGAAACAGGAGGATCACTTCAGCCCAGGAGCTCAAGGTCAACCTGGGACACATAGCAAGATGTCATCTCTAAAAAAATAAAATAAAATAATGATTAAAAAAAATCTGGGCGCTAAGTATGCTCATTGATACTGGAGTCTCATTGCTTCTAGGCCCTCTCAGCAGATAGAGGTAAGAGATATATGTAGGCCCGGCACGGTGGCTCATGCCTGTAATCCCAGCACTTTTGGAGGCTGAAGTGGGCAGATCGCTTGAGGTCAAAAGTTCGAGACCAGCCTGGCCAACATGGTGAAACCCTGTCTCTGTTAAAAATACACACAAAAAAAATTTAGCTGGGCATGGTGTTGTGTGCCTATAGTCTCCGCTACTTGAGAGGCTGAGGCAGCAGAATCCCTTGAACCCAGGAGGCAGAGGCTGCAGTGAGCTGAGATCGTGACACTGTACTCCAGCATGGGCAATAGAGCGAGACTCCATCTCAAAAAATAAAAAGAGAGAGATGTGGAGATATGTACACAGACACATAACCACACACATTTACATCTATTTCTGTATCCATATGTTTTTCTGTATGTCTGCGTTTTGTGTGTGTGTGCGTAGACAGAGAAAGAGAGATTATACTGATAGGTCCCATTTCAATCTAATACCATGGAGTTCTAGCCTTCTCCCCTTCCTTGTCTCTAACTCCTTTCTTAAATATACATTTTAAAGGCTTTAGTTTTTTACAATGCTGTTTCTCAGTGTGAATTAAAGGCTTCTGATACACACTGTCAAATTGCTTTTCAGAAAGATTGTGTGTTCCCTCCCTGCACTGTAAGAAAGTGCCCATCTTCCTGAATCCTCACCAAAGATAGATTATATCACTTTAAAAAACTTCCCAACTTTATAAAGGGACTTCTCTTTTTAAATTACTTCTTTTTTTTAACTACAAATGAAGCTGAACCTCCTCCCTACCCTGACATT
Source organism: Homo sapiens (assembly GCF_000001405.40). Taxonomy (NCBI): domain Eukaryota; kingdom Metazoa; phylum Chordata; class Mammalia; order Primates; family Hominidae; genus Homo; species Homo sapiens. Next base: position 94,378,437 of record NC_000010.11, on the reverse strand, counting down.
ACTTAGCCATTTATATTTCTTCTTTCAAGACTAAGTAAAATTTGTGTTCGGTCCAACTCGCTTCCAGTTCACCTTAGTGACTAGAAAATCCTAAGAAGTGTTTGAAAATTGAAAGGTGATCTTGGATAAGCGCACAAATTATGTGCTAAAATATAATCTTAAAGTACTTTAGATGTTTAGCAAAAGGCAACAGAAACTTCCATTAGAAGACAGTGATTACTTTTTATTTTATTTTATTTTTATTTTTTTTGAGATGGAGTCTCGCTCTGTCACCCAGGCTGGAGTGCAGTGGCATAATCTTTGCTCACTCCACCTCCCAGGTTCAAGCAATTCTCCTGACTTAGCCTCCCAAGCAGCTGGGATTACAGGCATGCCCCACCACGCCCAGCTAATTTTTGTATTTTTAGTAGAGACAGGGTTTCGCCTTGCCTGTAATAATGGTGGCTCACGCCTGTAATCCCAGCACTTTGGGAGGTCGAAGCAGGAGGGTTGCTTGAGCCCAGGAGTTAGAGACCAGCTTTGGCAACACAGCAAAACCTAGTCTCTACTAAAAATAATTTTAAAAAATTAGCCAAGCATGGTGGTGCACCCTATAGTCCCAGCTACTTAGGAGGCTGGGGTAGGAGGATTGCTAGAATCCAGGAGTTCAAGGCTGCAGTGAGCCATGATCATATCACTTCACTCCAACTTGGGTGATAGAGCGAGACCCTGCCTCTAAAACAAACAAAGAAATAAACAATAACAGGACCCAGCTTATCTTCACGTGTACAGGATGAGAGGAGGCTAGAAATTGTCCCACTGCCAACCCCGAGATGAATGCATATTTGACTTCTTCCTCTACTCTACGTTTACTTTATCTTACATAAACTGCAGATTTACTGAGCATGAGACAAACACAGAATTGGCTGTTCCTCCACATACATACAACATGTGGATTCAGTGAGAAATAATCAAAGCCTTAAAAGACTGTAACCACTTACCTAATTTTTTCCTACTCTCCCCTTTTGTTTTGTTTCCTCCTTCCCCATCCAGCCTGCTTTCTCCTCTTTAAAAACTGAACCCCTCAAAACCCTTTTTGGAAAAAGTGCGAGCCACAGATTCTACTGTGGGGTTTTTTTTTTCCCAGACACTTTCTCAACCTTGACAAAACAAACCTCTAAACTGATGGAGACCTATCCCAGATACTCTTTTTGGTTTATAAGACCCAGTTGGCATGATTTAGTCAAGGGCATGCATCAACTATCACCCAGCAGTTGTGCTCCTGGTTATACCCTTCAAGGAATTTTCTCACAGGTCCCCATGAGGACATGTTGGAGGATGTTCATTAAAGTGTGTGAGTGAAGTCCTTGTTGTGTGAGGTGAAAAGGAATTGGAGACAATCCAAAACTGGAGTAAATATGTACTAAGTGGCAGATGAACCACCCTGGAGCACTATGCAGCAATTAGAAACAACAGATTAGATATACAAAGAGCAGCTTGGACGAATATTAAAACCGTAGTGCCAAGTGAAAAAAGAAATGAAACTAATAAAACAATATCATAGACATAAATTAATAATATATAAACAAAACAGTCATTTTTTTACAATAACATGTTTCAAAATGTATATTAAACGCATTAAAATGGTTGCCTATGAAAGAGAGGAGAATGGAATTGCTGAAAGGAGACAAAACTGAATATACAGATAAATTTCAAAAAGCAAAAGAGAATCTTTGCATTGATGATAATGTGTCAGAAACTGAGAAAGTTGTTAACTCTCTGAATTCAAGGTGAAAGGAGAAATAAAGGAAGGAAGGAAGAAAGGAAGGAAGGAAAGAAGGAAGGGAGGAAAGAAGGAAGGGAAGAGGGAGAAAGAAAGCAGGAAGCAAACCCTGAGCTGTGCTCCTTTTAATAAAGCTGTGCTTCCTTTAATCACAGGGCTTTGAACACGCTGTTTCATCTACTAGAAATTTCTAATCACCACCACACACACACACACACACACACACACACACACACACACTGTTGACTCCTATTTTTCTCAATCTCAGTTCAATCATTATTTTTTCTGGAAAAGCCTACTGTAACCTCCTTGACCAGGCCATTTTTCCTTATTATAATGTGCCATAACAATATATACTGTCTTTTTTGGACATTAATTACAACTGAAACTTTAAAAAATGTTACATCTATTGATGTGGTTCTCTGATTTATATCTGCTTCCCACTAACAGACCATAAGCTCAGCAAAAGCAGGAATGGCTCTTTTCTTTTTCCAGACCCTGATAGAGTGGCTGACATAGAGTAAGTGGTCAATTCATAATTGTTGCATAAATGATTCCATAAAAGTATAAATGAATGAACTGAGAAGGGTAAACATAGGAAAATGGAGTGGTGTTGCACAGAGAATGGGGGTAGGGGTGTGAGTTGAACTGTTTCTCCACCACAAGATATAAGGCTTGTGGTGCTGGACCTGGCCAGGTTATAGCAGCCAAGAATGTTCCATAAAAATATATTATCAACTCCAACCTGATAGTTGACCTTGCCATGGAAGACCTCATTGGATCCTTGGTAGATCAGACCATAACTGGCACTCTTAAAAACTCTTCCTATCTGCCTGTAGTTCCGTCTACTCAGGAGGCTGAGGTGAAAGGATTGCTTGAGCCCCAGAGGTTGAGACTGCAGTGAGCTAGGATGGTGCCACTGCACTCCAGCCTGGGTGACATAGCAAGACCCTGTCTCAAAAAATAAAAAATAAAAAATGAAAAAATAATTTAAAAAAACCTCTTCCCATCAAAAAGTATCAGGAATGAAACTCTAAGATATATTCCTACCAGTTCAAGAAGTTCCTGTACAAGCCATCAGTCTAGCAGACTAGTCACCAACACAAAAGAGGGCACAAAATGTCTCTATATCAATGTTTTTCACACTATGCGTGTGATCCATTAGTGAGTCATGAAATCAATTCCATGAGTCACAATGAACATTAAAAAACAATAAAACAAAATAATTTTTAGAAAAGATAGGAAAAGAAATTCAAGATGGAAGGGCTGTGCAAATAGCCTCACAGTAGTTCTTGAAATTATTAGCCAGAAAGAAGAGGAAAATGATTCTCAGGTTTACCGCACCTTTTGTGTGCCAGGTACTTTGCATACATTATCTCTACTCACTGGTAGCATTGTTGTCCGCATATTTATTTATTTAAAGATGGAGTTTTGCTCTTGCTGCCCAGGCTGGAGTGCAGTGGTGCAATCTTGGCTCACTGCAACCTCTACCTCCTGGGTTCAGGCGATTCTCCTGCCTCAGCCTCCTGAGTAGCTGGGATTACAGGTGTGAGCCACCGTGCCTGGCCATTGCCCCATCTTTAAAATGAGTAGAAGCTGAGTCTTCATCCATGCTTTTTGTCAGAAACCATTTAGGATGCAGACATTGAGAAAAGTAGAAAAGGGGGAAAATTCACCAGGAGTGCTAAGTAGGAGGGAAAGGAAAGAAGAGAGAGAAAACCAGAGTTTAGCAGAATGCAGGAGGATACTGGCTAAACTAAAAAGGGAGATGACTATGAAAACAGTACTTCTTTTTTTTTCTTTGAGACAGAGTCTTGCTCTGTCACCCAGGCTTTAGTGCAGTAGCACAATCTTGGCTCACTGAAACCTCCTCCTCCCGACTTCAAGCAATTCTTGTGCCTCAGCCACTTGAGTAGCTGGGATTACAGGCATACACCACAACGCCAAGCTTATTTATTTATTTATTTATTTTGAGATGGAGTCTCACTCTGTCATCCAGACTGGAGTGCAATGACATGATCTTGGCTCACTGCAACCTCCACCTCCCAGGTTCAAGAGATTCTCCTACCTCAGCCTCCTGAGTAGCTGGGATCACAGGTGCGTGCCACCACGCCCCGGCTACTTTTTGTATTTTTAGTAGAGACAGGGTTTCACCATGTTGGTCAGGCTGGTCTCGAACTCCTGACCTCGTGATCCGCCTGCCTCAGCCTCCCAAAGTGCTGGGATTACAGGCTTGAGCCACTGCGCCCGGCCATTTCTTTATTTTTAGTAGAGACAGGGTTTCTCTATGTTGGCCGGGCTGGTCTCAAACTCCTGACCTCAAGTGATCCGTCCCTCTCAGCCTCCCAAAGTCCTGAGATTACAGGTGTGAGCCACCACGCCTGGCCTTGAAAATAGTACTTTTGACCTAAAGCTAAAAGTAAATCTACAGGAAACAACTCACCCGTAGAATGGAGAGTAAGAATAGGCTGGACCAATAATACATACTGTCATCCTGAGATTTAAACTCTAGATGTGTGGGTCTCACACTCAACTGCCCTTAGGGACTAAAAAGGCAGATAGATATTAGAGAATAGAAAGTAGCAGGGCCTATGGGGAACTACAGAGTGCATACTGAGCATATGCTCCAACCAAAGGCATTCAAAAATCAGTTAAAAAATCTCTCTCTCTCTCTCTCTCTCTCTCTCTCTCTCACACACACACACACACACACACACAGAGTTTTAACCAAATAAACAATTTCACTGACAGAGTTTAGTCCATGGTCCTCCAGTTTGTGCTTCCGTGACTGCATTAAACTCTAGAGAAAAGAGCTGACCGTGTCAAAGAAATAGGTAACAGAAAACACCCAGAACAATCATAGTCCTTGAAATCTGCAACAATCTAACAGGGGTACATGGGTCTGTACTTCGGATTCATCTTAAATCATTAGTTAAATTCAGTTAAACAAAACAGTAAATATTTATTGATTCTTCTTAGGTACAAAGTACTAACCTAGGTATGGGGGTTATAAAATAGAGTAAGTCACTATCTCTATACTTTGGTATTTAGTTCTCAGTTCGGGTCCTATGAAGTTTTATGAATGGGCAGTCATAGAGGGTACAAAATAATCTTCCTCCACTTTGGGAAGCCAAGGCGGGCGGATCACGAGCTCAGGAGATCAAGACCATCCTGGCTAACATGGTGAAACCCCGTCTCTAATAAAAAAATACAAAAAAAATTAGCTGGGCGTGGTGGCGGGTGCCTGTGGTCCCAGCTACTCCGGAGGCTGAGGCAGGAGAATGGTGTGAACCCAGGGGGCGGAGCTTGCAGTGAGCTGAGATGGCACCACTGTGCTTCAGCCTGGGCGACAGAGCAAGACTCTGTCTCAAATAATAATAAAATAATAATAATAATAATAATAATAACCTTTCTCTTCTGCTCCACAGAAAACGAGTTCCTTATGTTGTACATGATTTAAATCTCATCTTCATGATCCTTTGGCTTTAAACCTGTTATAGCATTGTAATGTTCCTTTTTTTTTATTTTTTTTTGAGACAGAGTCTTGCTTTTGTTACCCAGGTTGGAATGCAATGGCACTATCTTGGCTTACTGCAACCTCCGCCTCCCAAGTTCAAAACATTCTCCCGCCTCAGCCTCCCGAGTAGCTGGGATTACAGGCATCCTCCACCATACCTGGCTAATTTTTGTATTTTTAGTAGAGACGGGGTTTCACCATCTTGTCAAGGCTGGTCTCAAACTCTTGACCTTGTGATCCACCCACCTCGGCCTCCCAAAGTGCTGGGATTATAGGTGTGAGCCAGCGCACCCGACTGTAATGTCATGTATTCTAAAACTGGCTCTCTTGTCTACCTACATAAAAACTATTTATCTAGTGATAGGAAAATATTTTTAAATTCCAGTGCCTACCCAGTCCCAATATAGATATTGAACCCCATTCTGGTGGTTTTAAAATATGTCCACAGTTCTTTGATACTCTTCCCTTCAAGAGGTGAAGCCCAATTCCCCTACAATCGAGTGTGGTTTAGATTAAGTGACTTACTTATGACAAACAGAATAGCAGATGACTTTCAAGACTAGGTCTTAAAAGGTATTAGAGCTTTCCTCTTGCTCTCTCTTGGATAACATGCTCTAGGGAAAGCCTGCTGCTTTGTCATGAGGACACCCAATTAGTCCTATGGAGAGGTTCACATAGTGAGAAACCGAAGCTTTTTTTCCAATAGACATATGAATGAACCATCTTAGAAGTTAATCCTTGAGCCTCAGTAAAGTCTTCAGATGACTGCAGCCTTGACCAACATCTAGATTGTAAAACATCCAGAACCAAAACAAACCTGCTAAGCCATTCCTAAAATCCAGATCCACAGAAAAAGTCTGAAATAATGTTTATTATTGTTTTAAGTTGCCAAGTTTTAGGGCAACTTCTTAAAGAGCAATAGATAGCTTATGTACCTACTAGAACTGACATGCTAAACCATATTGTTTTGAAGCCTATCTTTTTCACTTCCTTCCTTTCCTCCACTTCCCATTTTTTGCCCCCTCCAGAAACTGGCAATTCCCTTTCTTCTTCCCTGGATGTTAAAAAGTCCTAACTAGGATATTTAAAAGTCTTTTTCCCCCTAATGGGCTCAAGAAAGAGATTCTTTAGGGGCAGATCCTCATCTTCTTCTTCTTTTTTTTTTTGAGACGGAGTCTGGAGTCTCGCTCTGTCGCCCAGGCTGGAGTGCAGTGGTGCGATCTCGGCTCACTGCAAACTCCGCCTCCCGGGTTCGCACCATTCTCCTGCCTCAGCCTCCTGAGTAGCTGGGACTACAGGCGCCCGTCACCACACCTGGCTAATTTTTTGTATTTTTAATAGAGACGGTGTCACCGTGTTAGCCAGGATGGTCTCGATCTCCTGACCTTGTGATCCTCCCCCTCTGGCCTCCCAAAGTGCTAGGATTACAGGTGTGAGCCTCCGCGCCCGGCCCCCTTATCTTCTTTTTAGTGTGACAGATGCTGGAGTAGATATCTGGATCAGTTAGACTTCTCATCAGTCTCATGGATATCCACTGATTTTACTTACCTATGCATTTATTCGCCCAAGTGAATTTTAAGTAAGATCAGCAGTAGCAGCTTGGAAAATGAAGGAAAGAAATCAGAAGCATAAATGCCACCCAACCAGGTCTTTGGAGTATATGCACAAGTATTTCCAAATTTGTAACCAAAGGCAGGCAGGACTTGAACTTCGGTGATAGGTGGAGTACAGAGTTTTTGTTTGTTTGTTTGTTTGTTTGATATTGGGTCTTGCTCTGGTGCCTAGGCTGGAGTATAGTGGCACAATATTGGCTCACTGCAAACTTTGCCTCCCGGGTTCAAGTGATTCTCCTGCCTCAGCCATCTGAGTAGCTGGGATTATAGGTGTACACCATCATGCCTGGCTAATTTTTGCGTTTTTAGTAGAGATGGGGTTTCTCCATGCTGGCCAGGCTGGTCTTGAACTCCTGACCTCAGGTGATCCACTTCCCTTGGCCTCCCAAAGTGCTGGGATTATAGGTATGAGCCACTGAGCCTGGCTTGGAGCACAGAGTATTATTAATAAAATAAGTAGGTAAACAATTAGCGGGGTATGGTGGTGTGCACCCATGGTCCCAGGTACTCTGGAGGCTGAAGTAAGAGGATCACTTGAGCCCAGGAGGTCAAGGCTGCAGTGAATCATGATTGAGCTGCCGCACTCCAGCCTGGGCAACAGAGTAAGAGCTTGTCTCAAAATAAAAATAATAAATAATAGTAAATTTAAAAAATAAAATAAGTAGGACTGGCATTGTGGGAGGTGTGAGGATGATATACATGATACCTTAGATGTTAGTTTATTTGATAGTTTCCTTCCCATTCAGCTATACTTCCCAGCAGCTTTGGAATAGAGACCTAGAGACAATACATCCTTGTTTTACAGAACGTTCTTTCACAGCGAGCTCCTAGCAGAGTCTGGTACAGAGTGGAGGGTGAAAAACTATTGCTGCTCAAAGGACTATCAGAAACTGTGCATGACTTTGTGCATGGCATCCACTTTTCCTTCCCTAGGGATTTTGAAAGACAATGAATAAATAAAGAATGGCTTTGAACAATCAATGTAAGTAAAGAAACAGGAAATGTCATTTCTTAGCTTAATTTATCAACAAACATCTTAAATAAAAAAGAACATGTATCACAACCCTAGGAAAATCCCTCTAAAATTTTTCCCTGACCATAATATTGCAGATTAGGAAAACAGCTTAAGGCATTTGATCCCTTTTGTTGGAAAACTATTCCCACTAGCAGGACTGGCATCTTGTTATGTTTCCCATCTGGTGTAAACACAAACTTGGCCACACTGTAATATCTAATCCTGTAATTCATTAATTAAATAAAAACAAATTAAACACAGCTAATATTTATATCATAAGATTATTGAGGATTCAATGAAATAATTCATATCTAGGGAAACATAAAAATTACCTAAATAAGTGGTACGCTGGGGTCCTCTGAATTTGATCTTGAGTTGAATCGTGTCCCCCCTCCAAAAAAAAAAAGATATGTTGAAATCCTAATCCTTGGTAACTATGAACATCATCTTATTTGGAAAGGTCTTTGCAGATGTAATAAAGTTAACATGAGGTCATTAGGGTGGGCCCTTAATCCAATATGACTAGTATCCTTATAAGAGGGGAAGACAGACATGTGAAGACAGAGGGACACATGGAGAATAATATGTAAAGATGGGGGCAGAGATTGGATTGATGCATCTACAAGCCAAAGATTGCCAAGGATTGCCAGCTGTCACCAGAATCCAGGACAGAGGCATGGAACAGATTCTTCCTCAGAGCCCTAAACATAAACAAACAATGCCAACATCTTGATTTTAGACACCTTGCCTCCAGAGCTGTGAGATAATACATTTTGGTTGTTTTAACCCACCCAATTTTTGGTTCTTTTTTACGGCAGCCCAAGGAAACAGATACATAAGGACTTGAGTGCAAGTGGTTTATTTTGAAGGTGAGTCCAGGAACCATTTCTAGCAGGGTGGGGTTGTGAGGCAGGGAAGCAAAGGACACTAATAGTGTGTGCTGATGAGTAGGATATCTCTGCAGGTGGAACTCAATCTTTGGGAGACAAAGTGGAAGATGTCTTAGAGCAGGGGTCCCCAACCCTGGGACCACAGACCTGTACCAGTCCGCGGCCTGTTAGGAACTGGGCTGTACAGCAGGAGGTGAGCGGCAGGTGAGTGACATTACTGCCTGAGCTCCGCCTCCTGTCAGATCGGTGGAGGCATTAGATTCTCATAGGAGCTTGAACCCAACTGTGAACTGCACATTTGAGGGATCTAGGTGGGACGCTCCTTATGAGAATCTAACTAATGCCTGATGATCTGAAGTGGAACAGTTTCTTCCTGAAACCATCCCCCACCCTGATCTGTGGAAAAATTATCTTCCTCAAAACCCGTCCCTGATGCCAAAAAGGCTGGGGAGCGCTGCCTTAGAGGTGTTCTACCTCTGAGGATTAAGGACATTGGTATGTTTTTGTTATATTTTATTGGTATATTAGCTTTCTATGGCTGCTGTAACAAATCATCACAAATTTGGTGGCTTAAAACACAGAAATTTATTCTCTCACAGTTCTAGAGGCTGCAAGTCTGAACTTAATATCACTGGACTGAGCTCTAGGGGAGAGTTTGTTCTTTATCTCTTCCCCTTTCTGGTGGCTGCTAGAATTCCTTGACTTGTCTACATCACTCCAATCTCTGCCTATTGTAGTCACATTACCTTCTTGTCTGTCTGTGTGAAATCTCCTGTCTCTTAAATGGATTCATGTGATTGCCCACTTGCATAATCATTTCATCTCAAAATCTTTAACTTAATCACAACTTTGCCTGTATAAGTTAATATTCATGTTTCCAGGGACTTAGCCTTCATATATTTGGAAGTCATGTTTCAGCCTACCACAATTGCTATAGTTATCCTTCAATTACCATTTGTTGTTGATTGAGGATGCTTCCAGTGGAAAAATCTGTGGCACTTCAGACCTGCCCTACAGGGGTCCAGAAAAAGTCCTTAAGTGAAAATTTGCAAGTGCTCAGAGGACTTTTTCAGCATGTATGGAACACGAAGTACTGAGGATATGTAGACGAGACACCAACAACATTTGTGTAGGGCCCCCAGGAGACCTCCCGCACAGCCCCTTGCGGCTTTCTTTCTGTGTCCTGAATAAAAAATTAGAGTGCCTTGACTGCTCTGTGACCTAGCCATCTGCAGGTTCATCCCAGCAGGCTTCAACACAAACTGGGGCTTTGAACAGTCCCAGGCACTGGTAAAAGTATCTAAGTTGTTGCCCAAAACACTGAAAGTACTGGCTCAGGCCCTGAGTCACATACCTTAAACCCTCATATAAACTCCGTACCCTGACCCCCTCACTGTGGACATACCTAGGTCCACACCCCTTTTCTCTCACTGTCCATCATGAGGATTGCCACAGCACTCTGTAGGTAAGTTCTCCTAACAATTGTTTTGGGTTGATCACCCCGGCATTTAATGCTTCTTTCGGCCAGGCACAGTGGCTTACGCCTGTAATCCCAGCACTTTGGGAGGCCGAGGCGGGCGGATCACCTGAGGTTGGGAGTTCGAGACCAGCCTGACCAACATGGAGAAACCTTGTCTCTACTAAAAATACAAAATTAGCCGGGCATGTTGGCACATGCCTGTAATCCCAGCTACTCAGGAGGCTGAGGCAGGAGAAGCACTTGAACCCGGGAGGCGGAGGTTGAGGTGAGCTGAGATCGTGCCATTGCGCTCCAGCCTGGGCCACAAGAGTGAACTCTGTCTCAAAAAAAAAAAAAAAAAAAAATGCTTCTTTCTATGGCATCCCAACTGGGGGCCTTTTCTCAAGACAGTTTGGGACACACCGTTGTGGGAACTTCCCTGTCGCTGCTTTTGTTTGTTTTTGAGATGGAGTCTTGCTCTGTTGCCCAGGCTGGAGTGCAGTGGTGAGATCATAACTCACTGAAGCCACTAATTCCTGGCCTACCACTGCTTTTGGGGTGATTCAAGCTGTGGGTTCAGCAGGACAAAAAATCTGCTACATCATTATTCTAATGTTTGCTATTATTTTGGTTTTTGGTTAATACTTTTAATTTAATAATTAATTATAATTATTAGCTATCTTAACCTAATTTTCTGATGCACCACAATATAAATTATTTGTACTACCTGAGTGACCTTGCTTAGAACAAATTATACCATCTATTTAAACTTTGTCCTTTCTCCTGTTCTCATTTAGGTATACATTGCTCTATGACTTCCTCTAAAGCAGCTTGTCTTTATTTTTTAGCACCTATGTGATCTTTTCTATTATTCTCTATTTGGTAATTCATAATTATCATTCTCAACTACACACAAACACACACACACACACACACACAATTTCTCAACAATATTTTAACATTTTCAAAGGTAGAGACCATGATATACGTATTTTCAAATCCTTTCTTTTTTTTTTTTTTTGCGATAGCCTCACTCTGTCGCCCAGGCTGGAGTGCAGTGGCACCCTCATAGCTCACTGTAGCCTTGAACACGTGGCCTCAAATAATCCTCCTGCCTCAGCCTCCCAAAGTGCTGGGATTACAGGCAGGAGCCACAATGCCTGGACAGTAATATCTAAATATTACTTAAATATTACAGTTATGTTTTTTTAGCTCTCTGATAGTGAGTTGTTTTTTTTTCCCCTTGGCTGTAGCACTATCTCAAAGGTCTGAACAGAGATTCTAGACTCCTTCCCTCCCCTGGATTTTATTTTACTTTAGTTTAGTTTTGTTTTTGTTTCCCCTGAATTTTAGGAAGGGAAACAGAAAGAGGCCTAGGCAGAGCCAAGCACTTCGACATAAGGGAGGACTGTATATTGTACAATTCCAGGGGCGTCATTCACAGTTTATTTGTAAAGATAGCAAACTTTTTTTTTTTGATCTATGACAGTGAAGTGTCTTAAGGACATGGAAGCTTTTTCTAATTTCCACAGGTCCCCTTTGGGTGAGCTGTAGGGCAACCTGCCTGCCTCTTTTATGTCTAAGATGATTGACAGTGATAACATCCAATTACGATGTTTATTTTCTAATTTGTGATACTGAAGTGTGGGCTTTTTCTATCGCCAAACACTTACTACAAAGTGACAAACATTCATATAGTCCCTTATTATAACTTATGTAAATTATCTTGTGGTACTGGAAAAAAAGAAGCCTTGTTTATTATTCCATGTCCACTTAGTGACAGTTTTCAAAACTGTTTGTTTATAGAAAATGGATTAATTATAATACGGTAAATGGCCAAGAAAGCCCTTGCTTGTTGACAAAGATCTCTGGAGTATTTGGGATTCTAGCTGTGGGTAAAAGAAAGAAATAGGGAATGTTACAAGAGGTACAAGTGAAAAAAAATAGTTCTTTTGAACATGGTAATGTGAAGTCCCATGGTTAGGAGGTAGAGCTGTCCAGGAGGCAGATGGCTATAAGAATGAAGCTTGGGGAAGAAGTATAGGCTGGACAAAATCTCTTTGTAATAGGTAGATGGATGAAATCACGCTGGAAAAGCAAGTAGAGCAAGAAGAGTGGTAGACAAGTGGGCCAAGAGTAGAACCCTGAGAGTCACCTACATTGAAGAAGCCTAAGGAGGAAGAAATGGAGGTAGGAGGAGAACCTGGGGAACAGGCTATTAGGAAAGCCAAGGGAATCAACATTCTAATGTGTGAAGGGAGATACGCGTAGCATCAAAGGCAGCAGAGAGATCTAGTGAGGTTAAATGAGAAAGAAGTAATGTAATTCCGTACACAATTAGAAAAAACTCACAACACTTTGGAGGTTCTTGGTGACCTTAATTAGATCAGTTTCAGCGGAATGTTATGGGCAAAGCCACGTAAGTTCTTAACAGACTTCCTGAAAGTGCTAACAGGAATCTCCAGGTACAATCCCTGTGATACTAGTTTGGGAAAGCCCAGTGACCCTTATCAGCTCAAGTGTCCAGGAAAGCTCTAAGGGATCTAAGAGGATCTGGAGTCCAAATGGGGCTTGGCAGTGGATTGAGTGAAGAAGAGATGACACAAAGGTGGACACACAGAATTAAGAAACCAGCAAGATTAAATGGAATTAAAAGGAATCATATAAACTTCCATTTTTGAGTATTTTCGAACAACAGGCTGCTCGAATTCAAGATGGGAGAGATTTAGCTTGGCAACAATTGCTTTAAAATGATCCAGAGATTTTAGTTGATTGTAAACTTAAAATGGGCCAAGAGTATGACACAGTTCTTAAAAAAGCTAGCACATGCTGGGCATGGTGGCTCATGCCTGTAATCCCAGCACTTTGGGAGGTTGAGGTGGGAGGACTGCTTGAGCCCAGGAGTTTGAGACCAGCCTAGGCAGTATAGCAAGACCAAATCTCTGCAAATAATATAAATTAGCCGGGCATGGTGGTGCGTGCCTGTAGTTTCAGCTACCCAGGAAGCTGAGGTGGAGGATCCCTTGAGCCTGGGAGGTTGAGGCTGCAGTGAGCTGAGAGCTGCCACTGCACTCCAGCCTGGGCAACAGAGAAAAAAAATAAAAAAAGGCAATCTTTATATTAAAAAAGAAAATACTAGCACAGGATTGGGCTATGACAATAGAGAAGAGAAAGTGGAGACGCTAAAAGAATACTTTTTTCTGGAAGTAGGGACAAGTAGGAAAAGAGGCACATAAAAGAGCAATTAAAGGGAGATAAGTTTATTAGAACAAATCTTAAAAATGGAAGAGATTTGAATATGTTTATAAGCTGAGGGGAAGGATCTATTAGAGAGGGAAAGAACACAGGAAAGAAGGGATAATTAATGATACAAGAATCTGATGAAGCTGGGAGGAGTTGGTTTTGAACTGGAATGGGGATGCCTCATCCTTGGAGAGACTGGAAGGAAGGCTAAAAGGATGGGAGTGACTGTAGATATGTTGATATGCTTGGGAGGGAATTCAGGCACTTGGGAAGAGCACAGGCTGATGTTTTCCACTTGTTTGATGAAGTAATACTCCAGCGGGACAGGCTCTGCTGTTTCTGACACTGTGTGGAAGGAGACAGAGCAAGGAAGAAGTTGGAAGGGAGGTTGAAAGAAGAGTGCCAGATGGACCTCTTGGTCTTTGTGGTGGGATCAGGAAATTGGTACTTTTTTCCCTCAGTCTCTCTAAGAGCAACACTATTCAAGGGGCTCAGAACCCTTTGAGCCGCACTACTGGGTTTTCCCACCTGCTCAGGACTGCGAGGCCAGACTCTGTGTCAGGGCCATGCTCAAAAATCATAGACTCAAAAAAACCCACAAAAAACTTGAAGTGGAATGCTTAAATTTATTGAGAAAAAAAAGTCTTTGAGAGACAAGCACTTTGATACTCTTATTCTTGCAATCCATAAAACTTCCTGTAAAAATGAACGACTTTAGGCGGGGCGCGGTGGCTCATGCCTGTTATCCCAGCACTTTGGGAGGCCAAGGTGGGCGAATCACGAGGTCAGGAGATCGAGACCATCCTGGCTAACACGGTGAAACCCCGTCTCTACTAAAAATACAAAAAAAATTAGCTGGGCGTGGTGGCGGGCGCCTGTAGTTCCAGTTACTCGGGAGGCTGAGGCAGGAGAATGGCGTGAACCCAGAAGGCAGAGCTTGCAATGAGCCCAGATTGCGCCACTGCACTCCAGCCTGGGCGCCAGAGCAAGACTCCGTCTCAAAAAACAAAAACAAAAAACGACTTTGGTGAAATTACTAAGCAGACAGAATTTACCCAAAGTTGTAAGATACTGAAATGCAGATACAGTTTTTTATTTTTATTTTTATTTTTTAGACAGTCTTGCTCTGTCACCCAGGCTGGAGTGCAGTGGTGTGATCTCGACTCACTGCAACCTCTGCCTCCTGGGTTCAAGCGATTCTCCTGCCTCAGCCTCCCGAGTAGCTAGGATTACAGGCGCACGCCACCATGTCTGGCTGATTTTTGTATTTTTAGTAGAGACAGGGTTTCACCATGTTGGCCAGGCTGGTCTCGAACTCCTGGAACTCAGGTGATCCACCCGCCTCTGCCTCCCTAAGTGCTGGGATTACAAGCGTGAACCACCGCACCCAGCCATGGATACAGTTCTTTATCAGCTAATGGTTAAAAATTAAAGCAAAAAAAAAATGCAAAATAAAACACTAAGAATCACAGACTTTTAAGTGACCAAGGCTGATGAGAAATCATTCGCCATGCTACAAACACGGCCAGAATGTCCGTCGAGGGGCAGGCATTACACACAAAAAATAAGCTTCTTTCTGCCCTCAGGACTGTATGGAGGAAAAAGACTACGAAAATCAGTATCTATAACAGCATGAGATAAGCAACGTGAGGAGAGGCACAAAATGCAATGAGGTGACCGAAAAAACCAAGTCCTCTCATTCTGAGAGGAGGAGCCCGATTTCCCCAAGGTTTTAAAAGAAATAAATAGGGCGAGAGTCAAAGAATCATACTCAGATAACCTTGCAAAATGCGCCCCTCCCGCCCGGCTTCCCGCCTTTGGCACCGACGCCCTCGGGGCTTCCCTCGTGCCAGTCCGCGCGCGCACGCCGGGGGGCAACCGGTCCAGGGCCGCGAGACAGTCACCGCGAGAGGGCGCGAGCCCGAACCTGTCTACGGAAGTCCCGCCCTCACTTCCGGCGGCGGAGGATTGGGAGGGACTGAAGGCCGTTTCCGGCTCTGGTAGTGTAGGGACTTCGGCACGTGTGTCATTCCCCGGGATTTCTGTAGTAACCCTGCTTCTGGTGAACTTGTCTGGCCGGCATTCATTTAAGGCCTAAGGATGAAGGCGGTAAGTGTCCTCAAAAGCCCGGTCGCCGCGGCCTAGGGCCCCTTCGGGTGATAGAGTCACTGCCTGAGTTAGCTTTTAGGCAGGTTTTCACCCGTGTCTAGGGGGCGGTGGTTTAGACTGGGGGCTTTCCATTCCTTACACCGAGCTCATCCTTGGTTACCCACTGTGTGCGCGCACCACTTCAGAGTATCACGAAGAGACAGGCACGGAGTTTTGCATGCGTGGGATTTCATACTTTGAAGGAATTTTTCAAGACCGTCTTTCGAACTCGTTTTTCACAAATGAGAAGCAGGGTCCTACCCTCAGCGAGTTTATAATGTGAGTCACGGTACCCATGAAGGGTAAAGAGATAGAAAAGCAAGTGATTTGTCCTGGTTCTCCCAGAAAATAAGAGGTAGTCCTGGGGTTCAGGACTAACTTTGGGATTTCTGAATGAGTCACCAGCAAGAGAAGTGGAATCCAAAGATCCGAATTCAGTTTTGCCCTCCTTAGTTTATGGGTCTTTTGGCAGCTTCATCAGTAATGTGAGGATAACAGCAGTCAGTACTCAACTAGGCTGTTAGAGGTGATTTGTTGGAGCACTTTGTAAGTAATAAAATCGTAGATAAATGTAAGTTTTATTAAAGACAGCCAGCATTTTGCTTTGAATGTGTTAAACTACAGGTGTGTTAAACTAGCCTTGAATAGCCACTTACCACTACTAGATCAGTGGTTCTTAACCTGTTTGGGGATCGTAGAACCCTTTGAATTGCTGTGAATTGGGATTGAATAACTGATGCTGTAGCGCTCTTCTGTAGGATTAAAGCCATCGTTTGGTTTTAGCTTTTATATGCAAGTCTGTGGCTGTGGGACATTGAAATTGTGGAATTGGTCTAATGAAATTTGTAATCAGTTCTCTTTAACCTGATTTAAAAAATAAGTTTCTGGGTATGCAGTATTCTTTCTGTTATTTTCTAGAGAAGAAATAAAAAACAGATCCCAAGCTTTCGCAAGTTAATAAAAACTAGTAAAGTCAAACTTGAAAACAAGCTAAAAAATAAGCAGTTTAAACAACAAAGCACTCTCAAGAAGTACCGAAAAGAACAGAGGAAACTAAGGCAAGCTGTGAAAGATGCTGTGTCTAAGAAACCCATTCCATTGGAGAACCCAAAGGAAAAGCGACCAGGTAATTGTGAAAACATCATGTGCTCTGGTTTCCATTGATTTATTCTGAAGTGTTCTTCATGGAAATAACTTTGCTTTCTAGTAATCGCTTTTCTTGTTCTCAGATCTTCCTAGAGTGGGTAAGGATAGTAGTCCTATAGGACTGCTATAAAGCATATATGCTTTATCACAGTCAGTATGAGAAAACATTTCAATACAGTATTCATTCAAGCTTCTGCTTTTAGTTTGTCTGGAAGGCAGATCTGAAGATGCACTACTTGGGAAAACAAACTGAAAGTACTCCGTTACATAAATATTGGGCAGTGTGCCAGTGCTGCCACTTTGCCATTCACCAGCAGTTAGGTAAGGTAAGAACATTGCTTGTCTCTGGTTCATTCTTCACAGTATTGCCAAGGTACACTTCTAAACTTCTGACTTTCTTTTCATGTGGAAACTTGGGGTGAAATTGAGTTGTAATTGTCATGGTTATTTTGTAAAACTATCTAAAAATTATTAAGTACTCAAAACTTGTAAGGAATATGACTATTTTGAGTCAGGCTAGTTCTACAACTTTGCTGGTACTTTTAGGGTATTCTTATTTGACTATATCAGATTATTAGACAACTATTCAGTCTTCTCAGGTCCATTTTTTAAAAATTATTATTATTATTTTAAATAGACAGGGTCTTGTTCTGTCACCCAGGCTGGAGTGCAGTGTGCAAAAATAGCCCACTACAGCCTTGACCTCCTGGGCTCAGGCAGTCCTCCTGCTTCAGCCTCCAAAAGTGCTGGAATTGCAAGGGTGAGCCACAGCACCCAGCTAAAGTTTTTTTTTTTTCTAATTTTGTGGGTACATAGTAGGTGTATATATTTATGGGATACATGAGGTACTTTGATACAGGCATACAATGCATAATAATCACATCAGAGTAAATGTGGTATCCATCACCTCAAGCATTTATCTTTGTGTTACGAACAATCCAGTTATACTTTTTTAGTTATTTTAAAACATAAAATAAATTATTGTTGACTATAGTCATCCTATCTATCAAATACTAGATCTTTTTCTAAGTGTATTTTTGTACCCATTAACCATCCCTACTCCTATCTCCTCCAACTGCCTTTCCCAGCCAGTGGTAACCATCATTCTACTCTCTTCATGAGTTCAGTTGTTTTAATTTTTAGCTACCACAAATAAGTGAGAACATGTGAAATTTGTCTTTCTGTGCCTAGCTTGTTTAACTTAGCATAATGGCCTTTAGTTTCATCCATGTTGTTGCACACAGGATCTCATTCTTTTTTGTGGCTGAATAATACTACATTGTGTACATGTACCATATTTTCTTTTATTATTATTATTATTATTTTTTTTGAGATGGAGTCTCTCTCTGTTGCCAGGCTGGAGTGCAGTGGCACGATCCCGGCTCACTGCAACCCCCGACTCCCCAGTTCAAGTGATTCTCCTGCCTTAGCCTCCCGAGTAGCTAGGATTACAGGCGCACACCACCACATCTGGCTGATTTTTGTGTTTTTAGTAGAGCCGGGGTTTCACCATGTTGGCTGGGATGGTCTTGATCTCCTGATCTCGTGATCTGCCCGCCTTGGCCTCCCAAAGTGCTGGGATTACAGGCGTGAGCCACCGCGCCTGGCCCCGTATTTTCTTTATCCATTCATCTGTTTATGAACACTTAGGTTGTTTCCAAATCTTGGCTCTTGTGGATAGTGCTGAATGAACATGGGAGTGCAGATATCTGTTCGGTATACTGATTTCTTTTTTTTGGATTCATGCCTGGCAGTGGGTGGGATTGATGGATTATATAGTAGTTCCATTTTTAGTTTTAGTTTTTTGAGGAACTTCCAAACTTTTCTCCATAGTGGTTGTGCTAATTTACATTCCCACCAAGAGTGTATGAGAGTTCCCTTTTCTCTACATCCTTGCCAGCATTGTTACTGCCTGTCTTTTGGATAAAAGCCTTTTTAACTAGGATGAGATGATATCTCATTGTAATTTTGATTTACATTTCCCTGATGATCAATGATGTTGAGCACCTTTTCATATACCTGTTTGCCATTTGTATGTCTTCTTTTGAGAAATGTCTATTCATATCTTTTGCCCATTTTTTAATGGGATTATTAAATTTAGAAGGCTCATTTAAAGTAGATAGGAGTGCCATTCTGTGCAGTGTGTACATTTATATAGCAAGATTTACTAGGGTCTTTTTTTGTTTTTTTTTTTGAGACGGAGTTTCACACTTGTTGCCCAGGCTGGAGTTCAGTGGCGATTTCTGCTCTGCTCATTGCAATCTCTGCTCTGCTCATTGCAATCTCTGCCTACGGGATTCAAGTGATTCTCCTGCCTCAGCTTCCCAAGTAGCTAGGATTACAGGCATGTGCCACCACGCCTCACTAATTTTTTGTATTTTTCGTAGAGATGGGGTTTCACCATGTTGGCCAGGCTGGTTTTGAACTCCTTGCCTCAAGCAATCCACCCGTCTCGGCCTCCCAAAGTGCTAAGATTACAGGTGTGAGCCACCGCGCTCAGCCAAGATTTACGAGTTTTAATGGGTCAGGAAGAATTGTAAGTTCTACTAGGAAAGATGCTAAGATTGTTTTATTCATAGTTGAATCCTCAGCACTTCAAATAGTGCCTGGCACTTAGTTGACTTTTTTTTTTTTTAAATAAAAAGAGGAGATGGAGAAAGAGAGCAAGACGCAGACAGTGAGCAGAAAGAGAAGTTAGAATGATCTGTTGTTGGGATTTTGTTAGATGTGAGTGCCTGAAGTGTTGAAAGAAAAATAGTTGAGGATATTGGCAAGAGTGTGGTTGAAGTGATAATCTTGCAGTCTAAGTGAGGGAGTGAAGACAGAACACACAGGTAGATAGAAAGTGGAGTGGTCAGTGGATTGAAAGGTTACATAATTGGTTAAGGAAGAAGTGCTGTGGAAGTAACTGAATGGGAGCTGGAAGGATAAAAGCTTGTGGTCAGAGAGAGGGGTGAGCACTAGGGTTTGGAATGTGGCCATTAGAGAGGCTGGCTGAAATGGAATACGAAGTGAAAGTAATTGGAGATGAGAAGGAGCTGAGGGGCTAAGTCATTGGTTTCCAAACGTCCTGAAAGGCATTTCAGAGTATGTGGAGACATTTAGTTTTTGGTTGTTACAATAACCTGGGAATGCTATTGGCATTTAGATTGCAGGAGTCAGAGATGCTAGCATTTTTCCAGACTCAGAACATCCCAGTACGACAAAGAATTGTTTGCCTAGCATATCAGTAGTTCTTCCATTTAGAAGCACTGGGCTCAGCTGTGAGCCATGGCCCACTCCCTGTAATCCCAGCATTTTGGGAGGCTGGAGTGGGAGGATTGCTTCAGAAAGCGTAAGCTTTTCCTGTTTAAACCCAAAATGCAGAGAGTTCTACATCTCTGATACTTGTTTCTAATTTTTCTTTGTGTGTGTGTGTGTGTGGTACAGGTAAAAGGATTGAGAGGGAAGAAGAGGAAGAAGAAGAAGCCCTTCCTTTAGATATGATGGATGAAGATGACTTACAGTTAATGAAGGATTTAGGACAAAGAGTATCTTTTCTAACAAGAGATCTTTCTTCTAGGTAATACTTCATTTGGGTTATAATCATTCATATCCATTTAGTGTTAAAAACTTGGTTCTGAATTTCACTTAGGTGGTTCAAGGTGTTCACCTTTGAGCACAATGTTTACAAAGAATAAAGTATTATTTAGCTTATTTCCTAAATAAAGGAGGTTCATGTATAAGATAAGCTGATTTCATTTAATGTACATCTTTCTTTTGAGTCTGAATAGTCAAGTAGAGTGAATGGGGGAAGAATGCTGTTCTCACTTTGAGGTAGTGGCAGAACAGTTCTGAGTTCCTACGGCTATGATTTCACTTAATCCTCATTACCCTGCTGGTAGGTCTTATTCCCATTTCCAGAGAGGAAACTGATGGTTCCCTGCAGTCACAAGTATCTGGAATTTAAAGTTGGACCTTTTAAACTCCAAAGTCTATGCTATACTCTAAAGATTTTGGGAAAGTAAGAGTCACACTTGGTTTTATGAACTGTTCTTCATAAAGAATCTGCTGTAACTTTCACCTTTATTTTGCATCTAGAGGGAAAACTGGATGTAGCCAAAGTTTGAGTTTGTATGGTAGGTTGTTTACCCATTTCTTTTATTCATTTGCTGTTTGAGTGCCTGCTATGTGCCAGACACTAGCCTAAGTGCTACTATCCATATACCTATTGAAAGTTGGCTGGTGGTTTTTCTGTACTTTTGAAATGATAGGTCTCTAGATAACTTTTTAGATCTATTAAGACTGAAAATTGATCTTTTTTTCCCCTGCAGTGAGCCTGTTCATGCGAAGAAACGGAAGCATGAACGCATTATAGATAAATATGAAAAAATACCAAGAACTCTGCAAACTGCACCAGAGAAGGAACTGATTCATTTACTTCCTATCAAAGATAAAAGTGGTATAATCCCACAGACTAGGGAGAAGCCAGGTGAGTCTAATAAACTGGTAATATTAGTTGAACTTTTACCCCCTTACTGATATCATGTTTTTTTTTCACTCAAAATTTAATTTTACTTTGATTTTACCCATATCTAGAAAATATTCAATTAGTCTTATAGCAAGCTTGATGATTTGGGCCAGAATTATAGATTATCTCAGGTACCAATTTGTACTGTGAGGACAACTGAAGCTACAAGGTTCAGGTGATTTTCTTTTCACTAAATTTTGTTGTTTCTAAAATTAGAGCATATTAACTGTTCTTGATTAGCTTTCTTTTTTAATGTATCTTCTTTTGTATGTGAAATAAAACAGAAAAGTTCAGATATCAAAGATGTGAAGTTACATGGTTTATAACAAAGCGCATACCTATAAAACTACTATTCAGACAAGGAAAAAAAACTACTGCTAGCTTCCAGAATCCTCCCTTGTGCTCACCTCAATCACTAATTGTGCTCTTCCCATAAAAGTAACTGCTATCCTGAGTTTTATCGTAATCACCTCCTAGCATTTCTTTACAGTTTTTACCACTTAAGTATATATCACAGTTTTAATACATATGTTTTCCATATAGTTACTGATAGTAACAAAGATGAAGAGGATCAAGAAGAAGAGAGGGAACTTGAGGAAGGTAATATGTCTTTACAGTTACTAAATTGTTAATTGAGAATTTTTTTGCATAATAGTAAATGTGAGTTAATTTTAGATGAAATCTGGAAGGTACATTTTGGAGTACTGCTCATTTCAAGGTCACTTTGAACATTTTTCCACATTTGAAAGCTTCATCTTGTGGAATTATTAATAGATTCTTTATTTTTTTGATTATGGAAAAATTTACACAATCATATTTGTAATATCTAGGCATACAAGAAGTGTGTCTTGTTAATTATTACTGTTCTGAATTCCTTTTAATTGTAAGAGAAAGACTACTTACAAATAACTGTTAACTTTTTAGCTTTAAATTACAAAAGCGATTCTGTAGTATGAAGTCATTTTGGTTTGTTTCTAGCACAATTATACTTGCATATGTTTCATATAATTGAATGTCAGTTTCTATTACCTAGGACCATTTAATCAAAGTTGAACTGAAATAATGCATTTTATTGTTTGAAATTATATTAGTTTGGAATTTGTGACAGAACAATCTAGTTAAATTTTACTTTCGCTTAGCAGACCTCATTAATAGCAAAAATGAATTACAGGTCAACTGTTTAACTGTTTTCAGTCACCCATCATAAAACCATTACAGATTATGCTAGTGTTGATTAAATCTAGTTCCCTATGAATTTCCTAAGGTGGACATGTTTTTCTGTAGCCCAAAACTATGAAGTATTAGTTTGTATAAAGTAATATATAGTGTTAAAAACAAAGGAGAATATTCTGTACTTAAAAAAAAACTAAATAGGATTATCCTATTTGTTAATTAATATGAATTATTTTGGGCTTATTATCATAGAAGCTAAGAATATGAGCTCTAGGCTGGTTGCACTGGCTCATGCCTGTAATCCCAGCACTTTGGGATGCTGAGGTGGGAGGATCACTTGAGCCCAGGAGTTTGAGACCAGTCTGGGCCACATGGTGAAACCCCGTCTCTACAAAAAACACAAAAATTAGCTGGGTATTGTGGCTCACCTATGGTCTCAGCTACTGGGGAGGCTGAGGTGGGAGGATCAATTGAACCTGGGAGGTGGAGGCTGTAGTAAGCTGTGATAGTGCCACTGTACTCCAGCCTAGGTGACCAAGTGAGACCCTGTCTCAAAAAAAAAAAAAAAAAGTTCTAGAATCAGACTGCCTGAGTTTGAATCCTATTTTCCTTTGGTTTATGAGCTTGAATCCTATTTTCCTTTGGTTTATGAGCTTAGCCAAGTTATTTTCTCTTCCTTTGCTTCAGTTTTCTTATCTATAAAATGGGTCCAATGATAGTACCTGTATTGTTGAGGAGATGATGTGTAGTAGTAAATACAAAATTCTTAGCTGTTGTCATTATTATTATTACTGTAAAAATATTTTATTAAGATTCTTGGATACTTGTAAGCAGAGGAATATGTAAGGGAACATCTAATCTGTTTTAGAGATCATTGAAGATCCTATTCAAGAGCTGACCATAGAAGAACATTTGATTGAGAGAAAGAAGAAATTACAGGAGAAGAAGATGCATATTGCAGCCTTGGCATCTGCCATATTATCAGATCCAGAAAATAATGTAGGTAGTATTAATTTCTTTAGGCTCTTTGTATTAGGTATGGTGTAAATGCCTAATTGTTAAGATTCCCTTGTTACCTATAAGCATACACTAAAAGGAAAAGCATTAACTAAACATAGTAGCTGGGTTAGAGTAAGAGAGTAGACAGAATCTTAGCTTAATGCTATGTCTGAACTTAATTTCTTTTGTAATCCTAGAAAAGTTACTTAAACTCTCTGAATCTTATTCTCCTCATCTTCATATATGAAAATACTGGACATCTTATAACTCTAAAAATGTTTAAATTTATAAAATTGTATTAGGGAGGAGGAACCTGTTTGCAAATTTGCTTGACATACCCGTGGAGTTTTTAAAAAGCGCGCTACAGGGGAAGTGTATGGAATTAGTTCAGGAATATTTGTAAGTTGAAAATATTTTAAGTGAACTAGAGCCAAAGTTAAAGTAAAGTGTTATTGTGCCATGTGTATAGTCGTTGAGTTAGTGATGGTTATAACACATGAACTAGAGAAATCTGAGGTTTAATCTTGGCCCTGATAAGTACTATCTGTGAGACTTTGGGTAAGTTATTTATCCAAGACTCTTTCATCTCTAAAAAAGGACAGTGTCTTTTTCAAAACTTTGTGGTGAGGATTATATGATGAAATATACGTGAAGTCATATAAAATGATACTATTATTATTGTTATGCTGGTGTCCCCAGCATACTATTATAACAAGTATTTGTTTATGAAATGATAGAATAGCTTATTTACATTTATAGAAGCAAATTTCATGTGGGAATGCTTTGGAGTAGTACTTGTCCTTTTCTAATGAAGTGAGGGGAAGATCTAGAGCAGAATTAGGGAAGAGAGATTTGGAATATTTCTTATGTGTATTCTCTCAATCATTACAAAACCATAGGCATAAGAGATTGATCTAATTTTACAGCTGGAAAATTGAGCCTTAAAAAACCCAAGTGATTTGTTCCAGATTTTAACAGCCACTGGATTGGAACCCAGATCTTCTACTCAGGAACCTGTGCTCACAGACAATAGTAGTTCATCAAAGCAGTCGAAACCATCATAGAAATTATCTTTGAAGCTCAAGTTAATGTGGCTATATTACATGTAATTCCTGATTAATTCATGTGTATGACTGATATATTTGGTTAATGTATATAACATTTTAGTATATTTTGAAAAGCGTTTTTAGAAGAATAGGACACACGTACTTTAGGAAAATCCAGCAAAAAAGAATTTCCCAAAATAGCTAAATAATAAATGTAAACTAATTTTTTAAGGTCTGTATGTTTCTAACTATATGACAAAAATATGATTACTGATATAGTTTGGAGGTGTGTCCCCTCCAAATCTTATGTTGAAATGTGACCTCTGATGTTGGAAGTGGGCCTGGTGGGAGGTGTTTAGATTATAGGGGTGGATCCCTCATGAATGGCTTGGTGCCATCCTTGTGGTAACAAGTGACTTCTCACTCTGGTAGTTCATGTGAGAGCTGGTTGTTTAAAAGAGCTTAGAACCTCCCCTATCTTTCCTGTGACACCCTGGCTCCCCCTTTGCCTTCTGCCTTGATCGTAAGTTTCCTGAGGCCTCACCAGGAGTAGACGCAGGCACCGAGCTTCCTCTACAGCCTGCAGAACTATAAGCCAAAATAAACCTCTTTTCTTTATAAATTATCCAGCCTCAGGCATTTCTTTCTAGCAATACAAGAACGGACTAATACAATTACTTTATGACTTTAGTGACTTATCTCTTGGTAAAGTGAGCAGGGTCTGGAGTTTGGTGTGGCATGACTAGACTTGGAGTCATTGTGTGAATTCCGCTTGTTTTGCCGGATGTGGGGCTGTTGTCTTTTGTTCATAATTGTTTCGTCATGATTTCTCCAGCTTTATAAGCTATTTCTTTAACAGATTAAAAAATTGAAAGAATTACGTTCTATGTTGATGGAACAAGATCCTGATGTGGCTGTTACTGTTCGAAAGCTGGTAATTGTTTCTCTGATGGAGTTATTTAAAGATATTACTCCTTCATATAAAATCCGGCCCCTCACAGAAGCAGAAAAATCTACTAAGGTAATGCTAGATTGCTAGATATAATTACTATCTAAAATAACTAAACATTTTGGAGAGATAGACTTTTTTTTTTTGAGGCAGAGTTTTACTCTGTCGCCCAGACTAGAGTGCAGTGGCGTGATCTTGGCTCACTGCAACCTCTGCCTTCCGGGTTCAAGTGATTCTCCTGCCTCAGCCCCCTCAGTAGCTGGGATCACAGGCATGCGCCACCAGGCCCAGCTAATTTTTGTGCTTTTAGTAGAGACGGGGTTTCCCCACGTTGGCCAGGCTGGTCTCAAACACCTGACCTCAGGTGATCTACCCGCCTCTGCCTCACAAAGTGCTGAGATTACAGGCATGAGCCACCACGCCTGGCCTAAACGACTGCCGCGTTTTTTGTTTTTTGTTTTTTTAAATAGTACTGGGTGTATACTAGACACACATATTTTATACTAATTTTGGGCTTTTAATGTTCTGATTTTAAAAAATGATTGACCTTTTTGGTCTTTTCAGACCCGAAAAGAAACCCAGAAGTTAAGAGAATTTGAAGAAGGCCTGGTTAGCCAATACAAGTTTTATTTGGAAAATCTGGAACAAATGGTTAAAGGTATATTAAACATATCTTCAAAGTTTGTAACATACTTAGCCTTGATCATGAAGGTGAATTCTGTACAGTGTTCTGTGTTGTGTAGTGAGAGGCAGGTATGGTCAGGAACAGAATCTAGAGTCAGACTTCCAGGGGTCAAATCCTGGCTCCACCACTTACTACCTATGTGATGGGAAAATTACATAGTCTTTCTGTGTCTCAGTTTTCCTGTCTAAAAAATGGAAATAATTATAGTACTTACCTTCCAGGATTATTGTAAGAAGTAACTGAGTTTGTAGATATGAGGTGCTTTAAACAGTGCCTAGCATGTACTATACACTATATTTTATCAATTATTAGTATTATTGCTGCAGTTTTTAGTAAGTAGTTGTATTTTTGTTGACTACAATGCATTTAACAAAATACATTGTTATGAACAGTTGGGATTTATTCTGCTGTTTTTTATTTGGAGGCATGGTAGTCAGGGAAGAAGGATAACTAGAGGCCAGGCGTGGTGGGTCACACCTGTAACCCCAGTGCTTTTGGAGGCCGAGGCAAGAGGATTGCTCGAAGCTAGGAGTTTGAGACCAGCCTGGGGAATGTAGTGAGACTCCTGTCTCTAAAAAAAAAAAAAAAAAATTAGGCATGATGGCCCATGCCTATAGAGCCCCAGCTACTGGAGATCTGAGCTGAGAGGATCACTTGAGTCCAGAAGTTTGAGCCTGCGGTGAGCTATGATTATGCCACTGCACTGTAGTCTGGGCGATAGAGTGAGACCCTGTCTCAAAAGAAATGAATAAATAAATAGAAGGATAACTAGAAATGGATATTTGCATGTCTTGAAAATGGATTTATGAGTCAATTATTTGGGATGATAAACTCTTAAACTCTTCAGAAAAGGAAGGACATAGAAAAAATAGGGGTAGGAATAGGGAAGACAGTTGTTGCCTAGGCCAGGTGTTTTCATTTGGCCTAATTGGCTCATTTACCCAGCTTATTTACTAAGATCACCCATTGCTGTCAGCTGGAACAGGACCACTGAATCCTGTTGGCCTAATAAGGGCATAAAGGTAGTGGAGTATAGTGGGGTGGGGGTGGGTAGTATGGATATTGCTTCTATGTTCTGGTGTTCCAGCTGGCACCCTATTAGTGTTTGTTCTTCCAGTGAGAGGGCCTGGGAGTTTTTCTTTTGTTTTTGAATTTCTGAACTGTTTGGAAAGCTCCTGGGATCTTTGTGCAACCATCTCTGTCTGATAGAACTATAACATGAGCCACATATGTCATTTAAAAAAAATGCAGACACACTAAAAAGCAATGAAATTAATTTTAATAGTATATTATATATATTCAGATTATCATTTCAACATGTAATAAATTTTAAAAATTAATGTCTTACATTCTCAGTTTTTTTTAGTACTAAGTTCAAATCTGGTTTGTATTTTATACTTAGAGTGTATTTTATACTTAGAGTATATCTTAATTTGTATTAGCTGCATTTCAAATGCTCAATTGACTCCTATATGTGGCAGTTAGTAGCCTCCATATTGGACCTTTCCTGAGCAGATCGAACCATTATGAAGTCTTTTTTTCTTCTTCTTTTTTTTTTTTTTTTTTGAGACGATGTCTTGCTCTGTCGCCAGGCTGGAATGCAGTGGTGCAGTCACAGCTCACTGCAACCTCTGCCTCCCAGGTTCAAGTGATTCCCCTGCCTCAGCCTCCTGAATAGCTGGGACTACAGGCGTGTGCCACCCACCATGCCTGGCTAATTTTTTTTTTTTTATGTTAGTAGAGATGGGGTTTCACCATGTTGGTCAAGATGGTCTCAATCTCCTGAGCTCGTGATCTGCCCACCTTGGCCTCCCAAAGTGCTGGGATTACAGGTGTGAGCCACTGTGCCCAGCATATGAAGTCTTTTTTTAAGGGGTGTGGGAATGTGTGTGTGTGTGTTTATGTGTGTTAAAATGTACATTGATTGTAAAAGAAAGCCAATTAGTTTAACTTTTGACCAATGAGTAAAGTAACTACAGTTATCTTTTGATTAGATTGGAAGCAGAGGAAGCTGAAGAAAAGTAATGTAGTTTCCTTAAAGGCATACAAAGGACTGGCAGAAGTCGCTGTGAAGAGCTTGTGTGAGCTGTTGGTGGCACTACCTCATTTTAACTTTCACAACAACATCATCGTATTGATTGTCCCTCTCATGAATGACATGTCAAAATTGGTGAGTTGCTGTAAATGGTTATTGCTGTCCTCCTTAGAAAATTATACACCATGTGGGCCAGGCACGGTGGCTCACACCTGTAATCCCAGCACTTTGGGAGGCCGAGGCAGGCAGATCACGAGGTCAGGAGATCGAGACCACCCCAGCTAACATGGTGAAACCCCATCTCTACTAAAAATACAAAAAATTAGCAGGGCGTGGTGGCAGGCGCCTGTAGTCCCAGCTACTTGGGAGGCTGAGGCAGGAGAATGGCGTGAACTCAGGAGGCAGAGCTTGCAGTGAGCTGAGATTGCGCCATTGCACTCCAGCCTGGGCAATAGAGCGAGACTCTGTCTCAAAAAAAATAAATAAATGAATAAAAAAAGAAAATTATACACCATGTGATTTTTTTCCCCCTACAAAATTCTTCTGAAGTTATTTATTGGTAAAATAATGTCAATTTATTAAACACTGTCTATCTGAAGAAAATTATCTGAACATAAGTTTGGTGTAGTGGTTCACAACAGGAAGCAAATTTGTCCCCCAGGGAACATTAGGCAATGTCGGCATACATTTTTGATTGTGATGACTGTGGTGGCGATAGAGTCTTAACTACTGGCATCTAGTGGAGAAAGTCCATGGAGGCTTTTAAACATCCTAGGACAGTCCCCCTACAACAAAGAATTCTGTTACCCAAAACGTCAGTAGTGCTAAGGTTGAGAAACACTGGTTAAGTATGACATTTTATTTTTCAGATATCTGAAATGTGTTGTGAAGCTGTGAAGAAACTCTTTAAGCAAGATAAATTAGGCCAAGCTTCTCTTGGTGTAATTAAAGTGATTTCTGGTTTTGTGAAGGGCAGAAATTACGAAGTTAGGCCAGAGGTGAGCCTTTTTTTTTTTACTTTGCATTTTGTTTTTAAATTACAAAGTTGATTTTCAGTTGTTATGAGGAATTTATTCCTTATAAGTGTATGAAGTAAAAAGTATTCAAGCTCCTTAAGTGTTTAACATGTCAACTCCTGAAATGTTTGATACTATTAACAGTTCGGTATTTATCCTTCTAGATGTTTTTCTTTGCAGATATAGTCATATATACTTGCTTATATTTTAAAATAAAAAATGGGCTTATACTTTGAAAACTGTTCTGGAACAGTTTTCATTTTCTATATTGTGAACTTACATATAGGGTTATCCCATTCTTTCTAATGCCTACCAGAGTATTCCATTGTGTGCCCTAATTGTTGAACAGCTGAGTTTTTTCTAGATTTTTGCTGCCACAGTCAGTGTTGAGAACATTTTGGCCATATTATTTTTTCATATTGTGTGAATATTCTGTGAATTAAATTTATAAAATGTAGATGCTGGATCCAACAGTAATCACATTTACAAACTCAAATTGTTGTTCAAAAACATTTAATCACTGTGTTCCTGCTAGGAATATGAGTGTCAGTTCCCTCCTACCTGCTCAGAATGTTACTATTTAATCTTTGTTAGTCAGGTAGGTGAAAAGTTTATATATATATAAACTTTTTTTACCTGCTTATTATTTGTCAGTTTTTCTCTTAAAGTAATTGTCTTAATGACTTGTGATGAGTTTTTAGTACATATTCATTTTAATAAATAACTGCTATGTGCCAGGCACTTTTTTTAGGTCCTGGGAATAAAATAGTAACAAAAGAAACGAAACTATCTGTTTGTGGAGCTTGCATTACATAAAGAATATTAACTCTTTGTTACATAGGTTGCAGATTGTTCTCTTTTTTACTTTGCCTTTTAATTCTGTGTTCAGCCTTATATATGAAGCTATATTTTTTGTTATGCACATAGTCTCCTCAATCCCAATTTACGGAGTCTCTCCGAGATTTTTAATTTTAATTTTTATATTTAAATATTTAAACCATTTGACATCTTTGTATGTGTGGTATGAGTACAGATTTAATATCTGTGTTTAATATATGTAATGAATATATATTTTATATAGTTTAATATATATTGAATATTTATATTATGTATATATTTGATATAATCTGACAGCCAGTTATTTCATCACCATTTTTTTTCTGCTGATATAAAATGCTGCTTAATTATTGTGTTATATCTATAGTATATTTGGGTATGTGGTACAATAATAATCAGAAAGGGTATAATTGATAAAAGACATGACTATTCTTTTTTCTCCACAATATTCTTATTTATTTCAGTATATTACTCCAGGCAGTTTAGAATCCATTTTTCACTTCCTTCCCTCAAAATAGTCCACACAGAGAATCTGATTAGAATCGATTCAATGTATTGATTAGTTTGGATGAATTAAAATATTTACAGAATTGATTTTTTTCTATTCAAGAATATCATATCTTGCCATTTATTTAAGACTTCTTTTATGTTCTTAAGTAAAATTTTATAGTTTTCTTCACTGAGGTCTTAGATATTTTAATTTGTCTTTAGTAATACAGTTTTGGGTGTTAAGCTGTTCTACCATTTTATTTCTGGATTTCACAGTTTTCCTTTGGCATCAGATTCCTTTTTATTTTCTTAAATCTGATTTCAGTTGAATTGCTAAAATTATAAACATTAAATGAAAGTAACAGAGCATATTTAGCATCTTTACTTAGAATTGTAGAGCAATCAGATAAGGCTTGAACATGAAACTCAGCCATAGGAAAACCCTTTAACTTTCGTGATGCTAGAGTAAAAACTACATCATTTGATTTGGAGTTATTTTTCGTTGGTAGGTGATATTTTGAGCACATACAGTACCTACAAAATATTCAGAGTTGGTCTTTCTGATACCTAGAATGACTTCAGGTTCACTCTTTATGCCTTTAGTTATTCCTTGTTTCATTCTGTGCTTTTAGCCGTGTAATCCCAAATACTCAGCTTTCTTCCAAATGTGCATATTGGAACATCAAAATAATACAAACCTGTAGTTCTCAAGGTTTTTTCCAGGAATGCTGCTGTGCCTGCGGGAGGTCGGTAGGGTGATTTCATCCAGAGAAAGTGTAGCATTTTAAACCCCTTTTGTTCTTAGTGTTTGAGTATGCGAAGTTTGCTGTATCACACAAAACACCAGTTTCCAAATTAGTTTCTGAATTTTTGAATGGCATAAAGCAATAATTTTTATTTTTGTCCCCAGACCAGCATCAGCTGGGAATTAGAATGCAAATTCTGGGGCTCAACTCAGACCTACTAAATCAGAAACTCTGGGGATAGGGCCCAGCAATTTGTGTATCTTCTCCCATACTGGTCCAAACCTTTTCCTGGCCTGTTTTCTCTTTGTCATCCTGTTGGCATGTGTTCTCTCTTCCTTATACTCATTAAACTGCAAAGAAAGTTTTGTATATTTAGTTAGTATTTGCTAGCGTCCGTTTTGTATGTTTGCTCCCGTCCTTCCATAGACACAAGTTATTAATATAGCATACAGATAAAAGAAGTTGGTGTAAAATGTTATAAAAGATGTTTGAAGGTTTTTTCATGAACGAGGGAAATAACACTGTTAAATGCTTTTCTATGTAAAGTTTTTGAGGGCAATATAAATATTAAGCTGTATATTTGTGTTTTTTTTCCAATATTAGATGTTAAAAACATTTTTATGCCTAAGAATCAAGGAAGTAGAAGTGAAAAAAGATACAGAAGACATTAATAAACCAAAAAAATTTATGACTTTCAAAGAAAAGAGAAAATCTCTATCAAGAATGCAGAGAAAGGTTTGACTTATTTCCCCTTTTGTTTCATTTAAATTTTCTGTTTATTTGATCTTAGATTAAACTTATAGGCACATGTAAAAATCATAGTTAAATCATAAACATAAAAGTTTTGAAATACATCATTTAGAGAATTTTATCTTTTCCTGTTACTGCAAAGAAATGTTTTCTTAAATCAGTTTTAACTGATAATGATTGGCAAGGAGAGCAATAGATGAAAAGATATTTTTGCCATGCTGGCTTTTATCCTTTGGCTTTTTAGATCAATTTAGAGTTATGATACACAGATTCCTTCCTTAACAGAAAAGATGCATTCACGTGAAGTTGGCAGCAAAGTGAGTTTCTGTTAATTGAATCTTGTTTCTTTGTTGGTTTGTATTTTAAACTTGGGTTGAAATTTCAGCCGCTTGTTTATTTACTGAAACTTTGGAAACTTTATTTATTTATTTATTTATTTTTTGATAAACGGGGCTAATAATAGTACCTACCTTGCAGGGTAATCGTGCAGGTTAAATGAGATGATGCATATAAAACACTTGGCAGGCTTTATAAACCTTAGTTTTAGTACCACCACCATCATCACTATTATTGTTATCATCACATCTCAGAACATTTCTAAACAGTTTATTAGAGTGATCAAGTTGCTTGTAAAAACAAAAGTAATCTCTGGGGATATTCATCTTTGAATGGGTCTAATTTTGAAAACATGATGGAAGTATCAAAATAGACTTAATAATTGTGAACAAAAGAAGATACATATTTTAACTATTTATATTATACTATCCTAATGCAGGTTGGATAGCTCTGTTAGGAAGAGCATGTGTATAGATGAGGTGAGGAAACAAAGACCAATAAGAACATGGCAGCTCTTTAACAACTTCTCATGAGAGAAGGAAACAATTTTTCAGTTCCCTGTGCCTCAGGCAGCTTAGAAATTATCATTTACTGCTCTTACAGCATTAGGTAGTAGAAAAAAAAGGATATTTTATTGAATTTCTTTATAGGGCCCAGTTTTATGCATTGTATGTAAATGTGTTGGGGAAGTATTGTTGGTGACTGGCTTCCAAGTTATAGATGATTTAATCCTAGCCATTATTTTTGGGCTCAACATGTTCTTTCCTTTTTTTTTTCTTTTTTGAAAAACTTTAATAATAGAAAATGATAGCATATCCCAGATATCTGCTATTCAGAATGAGCAAATATTAATAGATTTACTTTAGTT
Source organism: Homo sapiens (assembly GCF_000001405.40). NCBI lineage: Eukaryota > Metazoa > Chordata > Mammalia > Primates > Hominidae > Homo > Homo sapiens. The sequence goes on along the minus strand of NC_000010.11, from coordinate 94,345,205 downwards.
TTTTTCCTGGAAAAGAAAGAAACCATAGGTGAGAGAGTAGGAATTTCTTTTCTCTCTCCAATCTCATTCTTCTACCTTCTTCCCAGGAGACACCATCTTTAATTTGGTTTGTATATACTTCCCGTCCATGTTTCTCTACTTTGTTTATATTTGCATTCATAGACAACATGTGGTATTACTGTATGTGTTTTATGACATTTACGTATTCTGCCTCTGCTTTTTTCACTCTGTGGTATATGCTCTTAGATTTTTGTTTTTCAATCTATTTTCAGTGGAAGAAAGCAGAAGAGAAACTAGAGCGAGAGCTTCGAGAGGCAGAAGCTTCAGAGAGTACTGAGAAAAAACTTAAACTGGTAGGCAGTTTCATATTCTGTTATGCTTTTAAAATGCGTTAAGTTGTTTAAACTAGAAATTTATTGTTTCAGCTTGTAGCTGTGTAATTTTGGTTTCTTTCATGAGGCTTAGATGTGTGACTTTTGTGATGTGCGGGAAACTGTGATGTGATCAGTGCTAGTTTTATGCAGTCACAGGGTGTATATCTTCATTCTGTTTTGTTAAAAATTTCAAAGATTGCATTGTGGGGAGGGATGGGTAGGGAAAAAAGTTAACCTGTTGAAGTGATACTTATGCTCACTCAGGAGAAAGCATACCAGGTTATCCTAAAGTCATTTTGTCTGTCTCCTCTGCCAGCACACAGAGACTCTGAATATTGTGTTTGTAACCTACTTCAGAATATTGAAGAAGGCCCAGAGGTCACCTCTCCTGCCAGCAGTTCTAGAAGGTCTTGCCAAGTAAGGGCTGTGTAGGTTGAAATCTTTTAGATTCCTTCTAAATAGGAAAGACCAAAGAATTTTCGAGAGTTCCCTAATGATGGCCCATTATCCTCAGTTCTCATTCCTTTTCTGATTGTCACCAGCCTTTACTTGAAGCTATTCATAACAGTGGGCTTTTTTGATTTTCTCATCTCAAACCTTTTATTTTTAAAATCTCCTTTACCAACTCCTTCTTTCTGCCTACTAAATTCTAGGTGTTCCTAAGGTTAAATCTCTCAGTTCTTGACTCTTTCTGCACTGTGTAGTCAATTGCCCATCGTCATAGTTTGAGTGGATCATGCAGATGACTCTTAAGTCTATTTTAACCCGGCTGTACATCATTTCTCTAGTTCTGTGTAATGTGTTTCTGCTAAGATAGATCTTTTGGTGTATTCACTCAACACTAATGGCCTTGTCAGGATGTGAGCTAGAGTAAGGGTTGTGGTTGTCATGATAGCGTTCCACAATTTTTTGAGGTGGTATCCTATAGAACATTGCTATTCGGTAAAAATATAATGTGAACTTACATATATAATTTAAAATTTTCTATTAGCCACATTAAAAAGATAAAAAGAAACAGGTGAAATTAATTTTTATATATTTTACTGGATTTGATTTATCTGAAGTATTTTAACACAATATTAAACATTAATGAGTTGTTTGGTGTTTTTTCATAACATATTTTCGAACACTTATATTTTACGCTTGTGTCTTAATTTGGACTAGCTACATTTTAAGTGCCTAACAGCCACATGTGGCTAGTGGCTACCATTGTTGGGCAGTACAACTTTAGGAATAGAGTTGGAAATAGGACTGATGGCTAGAAGATATAGAAAAGGCAAGTTCTGTTTATCATAAGAAATTACTTTCTAATAACTGGAGCTATTTGGCAATGGTATGCATTTCCTTATATGGTGATACGGTCCTTGTGGTTAAAAATCTTCAGAGAGGCTGGTCAGAGAAGGGATTATTCCTACATTGTGTAGGACTTGCTGTTTTTATTTTTGTTTTTAAATAGAGACAAGCTCTCACCATATTGCCCAGGCTGATCTTGAACTCCTGAGTGAGTCATCCTCCAGCCTTGGCCTCACAAAGTGCTAGGATTACAGGCGTGAGCCACCATGCTCGACCCAGCTATTTGTTTTTTAATAACTAATTCCTTTATTTAAAAAAGTTTAAAAAATAATATATGGTCATTTAAAAAATTTAAATAATGCAAAAGAATATACAATTTAAAATTGCAAGCTCCCCCTCCTATATATGTATGTAGTCTGTCTGCGTGCCATCTGCCACCTTTTTTTTTTTTTTTGGAGACACTGTCTTGCTCTGTTGCTCAGGCTGGGTTGCAGTGACGTAATCTGAGCTGACTACAACCTCCACATCCCAGGTTCAAGCAGTCACCTGCCTCAGCCTCTCGAGTAGCTGAGACTACAGGCATGTGCCATCACACCTGGCTAATTTCTGTATTTTTAGTAAAGATGGGGTTTCCTCATGTTGGCCAGGCTGGTCTCGAACTCCTGACCTTAGGTGATCCATCCGCCTCGGCCTCCCAAAGTGCTGGGATTACAGGCATGAGCCATCGCACCGGGCCTGCCTGCCATCTTTCATGCAAATGGAATCATGCTATGTTTAGTGTCCTGTAACTTGCTTTTTTTTTTTTTTTTGGTTTTGTAAACAGTTACTTTTGGTACCTCTCCCTTATCACATATATATCACTTAATTTTTAAAAAATTTATAGTGCTCCATTTTATAGATATATTGTACTTTATTTGGTCAGTCGCCTATTTGCACTGGGAATACTTGCGCACGTGTGTGTGTGTGTGTGTGTGTGTGTGTGTGTATCTTCATGCATGTGTGTGCATGTAGTGCCAGATCAAAGGGTATGCTCATTTTAAATTTTGATAAATAATTGTCAGATTGCTTCTCCAAAAAGTTGTACCGATATGCATGGAATATGTCACTCATAAGGTCTTTTATTCTTCTAAGATTTACATAGATCAAAGACTTCTTGCTAATATTGAAGAGATGTCCTGACTTTAACCTACTTCAGTGTCTACTATAGTATATGGAGTAACTCTCAAATTTAGCAGCTCATATGATTCTTCTTTAACCCTATTGGGTGGTCTCAGTTATTTCTACAAATAGAGGCCCAGGACAGTGAAGTGAGTTACCTAGGATCACGCAGGTAATTAAGAGCAGAGCCTGAACTAGATACTGGGGTCCAGTATTCTTTCCATTTTATCCTTAAAGCTGTCATAAGGTCCATATTCTTGTAAGTAGCAGAATCTTTCCTTGTCTCTCTTCCCACCACCTGTTTTCTTAGAAGCCGATCCTGCCGGATACCTCCTAAACTTTCCTCAGGAAGTTGTTTGCTTCTAGTAATTTCTTTCTCAGTGCAGAAGGATTTTTGAAATATTTTTGGTTTGTTCAGTGCCTTATATATTTCTACTGAGTTTAGTGTTCAATGGTGTATGAATTGTTGAAGAGGCCAATCTGAATTAATGAAAAGTATCAATAATTGCCATGTCTTTCATAGCTAACATTTCGAAATAAAGAATATTAAAAATACAGTTTTAAAGTCAAGCTTAATTTCTACCAGCTTTATTTCTGCTTTTAGTTCACTGATTAACTGTTTTGTTTGATTCCAGGTTTGCTCACCTTATAAATGTGGAATTTTTTGATGATCTGTTAGTAGTTCTTCATACTCTCATTGAGTCTGGTGTAAGTAATAATAAATTATTTTTTAAAAGATATAAATGGTAATTACTATTTTAAAAATTTTTCAGGTTTATTGAGATATATTTTGTATACAGTAAAACCCCTTTTAGATGTACAGTTTATGAATTTTGACAAAGGCCTATGATCATATGATTACCACCACAGTCAAGATGTAGAACGTTTTCAACCATTGGAGAGTTTTAAGCAGGAGGGTTGTCTGACCTGTTTTCTTTTTTTTTTTTTTAAATTGATGCATAATAGATGTACATGGTTTCAGGGTATATGTGATAATTAAATATATTCATATAATATAGTTTGTAAATATTTTACTTGGGATATCAGTCACCTTAAATATGTGTCTTTATGTGACAACCATTCAAATTCTTCCCTCCTAGCTATTTTGAAATAGATAATAGATTATTGTAAACTATAGTCACCCTGTAAATCTGCCTCATACTAGGTTATCTTAAAGATAACCTTTATAGGTCTTTTTTTTCTTTTTTGAGATAGGGTCTCACTCAGTTGCCCAGGCCGGAGTGCAGTGGTGCAATCACAGCTCACTGCAGCCTTGACCTTCCAGGGCTCAGGTGATCCTCCCACTTTAGCCTTTTGAGTAGCTGGGACTACAGATGTGGGGCACCATACCTGGCTAATTTTTCTATTTTTTTGTAGAAATTTTTTTTTTTTTTTTTTTTGAGAGGGAGTCTTGCTCTGTCACCCAGGCTGGAGTGCAGTGGCGTGATCTCGGCTCACTGCAAGCTCCGCCTCCCGGGTTCACACCATTCTCCTGCCTCAGCCTCCCGAGTAGCTGGGACTACAGGCGCCCACCACCATGCCCGGTTAATTTTTTGTATTTTTAGTAGAGACAGGGTTTCACCGTGTTAGCCAGGATGGTCTTGATCTCCTGACCTCGTGATCTGCCCGCCTCGGCCTCCTGAAGTGCTGGGATTGCAGGCGTGAGCCACCGCGCCCGGCCCTGAGAGATGGGTTTTTGCCATGTTGCCCAAGCTGGTCTTGAACTCCTGGGCTCAAATGATCTGCCTGCCTCAGCCTCCCAAATTGCTGGGATTACAGGCTTGAGTCTTTGCTCCTGGCCTTAAAGTTCTTTTTTAAAGCTATAAATGGCAATTACCATTCTTAATATTCCATCCCCCTCACCCCCCCCTTTTTTTTTTAAAGGACCTAAGCTATCAAGAAAGTCTTCACTGTGTCCAGACTGCTTTTCATATTCTTTCTGGACAAGGTATGATATTTTCTTAATCAAGTTTTGTTTGCCTTACCTTTGAATGCTATAACATACCTAATTGGTGTTTGTTGTCATTTCAAAGGTGATGTTCTGAATATTGATCCATTGAAATTCTACACACATCTCTACAAAACACTGTTCAAATTACATGCAGGTATGTATGTTTAGATAATGTTTCTTTTATATGTATTTATGTTTTAAGAATATGTTATGACCCATCATTGTAGACAAATGAGAAATAGGAACAGGTACATAAAATGGTGACTTTCCAGTGCCATGCATCTGTATTTAATCTTATGTAAGACTTGGAGAAAGAGCTTCTGGAATTGACTGGAGATGCAGTAAGTATAGCCCGCTGTATCTCCTTAGCAGTATAGCACTACCTCATTGATTAGAGAAATGGTTTGGGACAGGTACAAAAGTTTATCTTGGGTTTATCTGAAGTTCAGTCCAGTTGCGTAATGAAAAAGTAATGAGAACAGCTCTGAAGAATATGTCTGCTGTTTTAGGTGCTACCAATGAAGGTGTTGAGATTGTACTCCAGTGCCTTGATGTCATGCTAACTAAGCGCAGAAAGCAAGTTTCTCAGCAGCGAGCTCTTGCCTTCATCAAACGCCTTTGTACCCTTGCTCTTCATGTTCTTCCAAATTCAAGTATTGGCATTTTAGCAACTACCAGAATATTAATGCATGTAAGTAGTGATACAAATGAACAGAGCTAAGTTCTTATAATGCAATGATTTTTTTTGTTTGAGGCATGTCTTTTCCCCCCTTTTATATTATTTCAATTACAGAAGTAATTCACACTTGTAACAAAATCAGGTGACAAAAGAGGTATATAAAATTGAAAAAAAGCATTTTATACCTATTGACACTTCTCAGTGTCATTAGGTGGGTATCCATTTACCATTTGGTGGGTATTTTTCCAGCAGCCTTTTAAAGTTCATATATAAACACATACACATAGAAACAACTCAACTTTGTATTTTAATGGAAAGAGGATTATGCTATATATTCTACCACTTTTTTAACCTTAGCATTTAATCATGGTAAACACATTATAATGTCACTACTCTCTTTATGTAAGGTTTATTTAATTCTTTGCTTAACAAACACCATAGTTCTGACTATGTGCCTTCCAGTTATAAATGCCTTACAAAAATTTAATTTTCATAACTCTGAGGTAGCTACTATTCTTGTTCCTATTGTACATGTGGGAAAACTGAGGTCCAGAGAGGTTAAGTGTCTTGGCTTGAGTAGCAGTGCCAGTCAGTGGTAGAAGTGATATTCAAATGTAGGCAGTCTGGTTTTTCTGCTTCTTTCTATTTCTCTTGATATAGGTTATTTCTTTTTTTGCTATTACAAATGATGCTATAGTGAATATCTTTATGTATTTATCTGATGTAATTATTTCTATCAGATTTCTAAAAGTGTGATTGCAAGGTGAGAAGCATATTTTTTTCTTTTGCAAGATAAAATTAATTTTCAAAGCAAGCAAAGATAAAATTTTTTTTTGCAACTCTTGTTCTTACTATATAAACTTAAATTGTTTTTTATTAAATCTAGGTGTAAAGACTTTATGCAAAGCTCTTATACAACCATAAATTTAAATGCAAATACAACTACAAACCAGTAACACCTCTTATATTAACAATGTTAATTTAACCAATTCTTTTTATGTGACATTTTTGCAGACTTTCCCCAAAACAGATCTACTGCTTGACAGTGAATCTCAGGGAAGTGGAGTTTTCCTTCCTGAACTGGATGAGCCTGAGTACTGCAATGCTCAGAACACTGCTCTGTGGGAACTGCATGCTCTGCGGGTAAGAGTGGCCCTGGTTTTTTTCTTTTTGGGGATGTTTGTGAATAATTGTTTTCCAGTTTTTCTTCAAATAGTTGTTATTGCCAGAGTACTTAATTATATTTTGTTCTGGGGCTGCCTTTTTTAGAATTCCTGTGTTAGTATGCTACATTTTACTTTGCTGTTACTATTCTTTAAGCTGTTGAGGTACATTTTCTAAGGAAGCAGAAAACAGTGTCAGTTCTGTAGGGTGCAGTTGTGGAAGATTTACTGAAACCTTTCCCTTTATTGAAATCTTTCCCTAACACTCTTCAGAGGATTTGTTATCAGGTACATTTCTGTTGAGTCTTATCCAAGGAGACTTTAGTAAGCCCTGTTTCAAGATGGTTTCACCTATGCAGTGATCCTACAGTATGGACAGCATTAGAGTGAGACTTGTAGAAAATAGAAGTGGCAGGTAACCTGTTGTAAATTAACTTTTTTCACTCTGAAAGAGGAATTGCTTTTTGATTTTTCTATTTATATTGTAAAAGCAAGACTAAACTACTTCACTGGTAACTTGATTTGTGTTTTAATCCTATTAGCAAAGATAATATTCTTTCTGTGGGTATGTGCTTCTAATGAATTACATATACTGTACATAGGTGATGAAAAAAAATTTGGTGTAATTTTATTTAAGAAAATCTTTGCTGTGGCTAGTGTTTTTTGTAAAGGACTGACCTGTGCAGAATGTGATTGTCCCGTTTTCCCTTCAGAGGCATTATCATCCCATAGTGCAGAGATTTGCAGCCCACCTGATCGCTGGAGCACCTTCTGAAGGCTCTGGAGCACTCAAACCAGAGTTGAGTCGAAGGTAATATTTAGCATTGCCTTATTCTAAAACTACAGAATTGAGCTGATAGCCACTTACTATGAGAAGACTGTTTCATAAAGTAACATACTACAAAATGTAAAGTGCCAGTTGGGTATCTGGATTGGTCTTGCTTCATATTCCTGAATTGTTCTGAAAGAAAACATGCTATGATTTTGTTGATCACTTAAAACATTTTTTTTCTTCTTCTGTCATTCAACTTGAAAAACATTTTTTTAATCGTGAAAAGTTTCGCACATACAGGATAGTAGAATGGCATAGTGAATGTCCATATGCCCCCCATCACTCAGGTTCAACAATGAATAATCTATGGCTATAGGTGCTTCATGTGAAGATAAAACACAAGTCAACCAAATTAAGCTTCCTTGCTTTCTCGCTCGCTCGGTCTTTTTTTTTTTTTTGAATGGCCCTGTTAGGGCAGGATGAGGAGAAAAAAAAAATGAGGAGAGGGAAGAAAAGAGGTGCTTTGGAACACTGCCATCCAGAAGGGCAGCTTTTTCTTTTTTTGGCCCTTGCAGAGTACCTTCTGACCTATAAGCAGCTTGGATGGGTACTTCCAGCATCTACCTCACACCCAGATGGGGAAAAGGTCCTCCTAAAAGAGTCTTCTTTTCCCTGAACTGTTTACTTACAAAATTTTCACAAGTACAGAAAGGTGAAAAATAGTAATTACTTTTTTTTTTTTTTTTTGAGATGGAGTCTCACTCTGTTGTCCAGGCTGGAGTGCAATGGCGCAATTTCGGCTCACTGCAACCTCCGCCTCCCGGGTTCAAGCGATTCTCCTGCCTCAGCTTCCCGAGTAGCTGGGATTACAGGCACCCGCCACCATGCCCAGCTAATTTTTGTAATTTTTGTAGAGATGGGGTTTCACCATGCTGGCCAGGCTGGTCTCGAACTCCTGACCTCAGGTAATCCACCTACCTTGGCCTCCTAAAGTGTTGGGATTACAGGCGTGAGCCACTGTGCCCAGCCAGTAATTACCTTTTTTTAAATACAGACAGGAAATACTTAAGTTATACAGAGAAAGAGAGAAAATGGTATAAAAAATCCCTCAGTCCATTTATGGTGCCATAAAAAATGCCTAAGACTGGGTAACTTATAAACAACAGAGGGCCAGGCTCAGTGGCTCACGCCTGTAATCCCAGCACTTTGGGAGGCCGATGCGGGTGGATCACCTGAGGTCAGGAGTTCAGGACTAGCCTGGCCAACATGGTGAAACCCCATCTCTACTAAAAATACAAAAATTAGCCAGGCGTGGTGGTGGGTTCCTGTAGTCCCAGCTACTTGGGAAGCTGAGGCAGGAGAATTGCTTGAACCCGGGAGGCGGAGATTGCAGTGAGTCGAGATCTCGCCATTGCACTCCAGCCTGGGTGACAAGAGCGAATCCGTCTGAAAAAAAAAAAACAGAAATTTATTTTCTCAGAATTCTGGAGGCTGGGAAGTTGAAGATCAAGGTGCTGGTAGGTTTGGTTGACTGATGAGGGCGCCTCTCTGCTTCTGAGATGGCATCTTGTTGCTGCATCTTCTGGAGGGGAGGAACCCCATGCCCTCACATGGCAGACAGGACAGAATGGGAGCAGTGCCACAGCTTCACTTCATGAAGCCTCTTCTATAAAGACTTTAACCCATTTATGCCAGAGGTTGCAAATTTTTTTTGTGTGTGAAAAATCAGACCTTGGCGATGACCTTGAGCAGTAGGATATAAATAACTCCTACAAGCTTAGTGTTCTGATAATGGAACACTAGTAGGCATAAATGGGTTAATCCCATTCATGGCTTAATCACCTTTTAAAGCTTTTGCCTCTTAATACCATCACATTGACTGTTAAGTTTCCGTATCTGAATTTTGGAGGGGACACATTGAAACTATAGCACCTTACAATGTACTCATTACCCAGAATTAATATTTTGCTGTAGGTTTTTTCCGTTTGCAAGCCCATTGGTTTCTGTAATTCAGAGATCATAGTTTGGTGACCTGTGGGCCAGGCCGATTTTTCTGGCCTCAAGAGTTTGAAAAAAATTGAATTAGTTGCTGTCTTTTAAATATTGAAAGAATTCATCTGAAATTCACATTTCCCGCTTTTCTTGAAATACTGGGAGGTTTGGTGACATTGGCTTGTATTTTACATGACAGTAGTCAGTCAGTTGCTGCCTCCTCTACATGAGGCAAGAGCTCTGCAGTTTTCCATGAGCCCTTTCCTTCTGAGTAGGATGGAGATAACTTTTGGCCTTATTAAATAAAATGGCCATTTACTTTTTCTTCCCTCACACTTCTCACCTGTCCCCAGTCTTCACCCCACCAGCCTTTTTTTTTAAAAGGAAAAAAGGAGAAAACAATTCTTTGTCACTCTTCATAATGATTATTTTATGGCATGTTTTCCTTAGCAGTTTTGCTAAGGAAAGATGTTTCCTTTGTGGAGAAGGATGAGGAATGAGCTTATCCCAAAGGCTTAAGAAAGGAGACTCATAGTGGGCTTCTGGAGAGTGGGTATTGGGATGTGAGCCTAATTGCTACCTTCGTAGGCCCTTGCCTATGTGTTTTGGCGAGTGTGAACTAATTCCAAATCATTAAGGATTCATTTACACGCCATGGGTATAGACATGTATTCTGTCCTGAATGGCCTTTCCTTGTTTTTCATCCAGGCCAGTAGCTGAAGAGTTGAGCTGTGTTCTAAGTCTGTGGAGAATGACTCCATGCTTCAGTCCTCTGGCTCCCATGACTAAGATATACTTAGTTGCATTATCAGTGGGTTGGGATTTGATCACACTGAACTGGAGTTCTTCAGCTTAGCTTTCTCTCTGGAGTCTATGCCTGTATTGCTAAATGTATACCAAACCTCTCTGAGGTGGATTTAGTTGGATAATGTTGACATTACAATGGGAATTTAGAATTTGTTAAGTGACTGGATTGGTTGGTTAGTTTCAAATCTTATACCTTAATATATGGGTTAAGAATGAATCATTCTCTGAGTATAATCTAATTATTTTTGAGTTACACAGATGTGGTGGTATCTTTACATTTTTTGTGTTTGTGATTTAGATCTGCTACTGAACTTTTTGAGGCATATAGCATGGCAGAAATGACATTCAATCCTCCTGTTGAATCTTCAAACCCCAAAATAAAGGTATGGGATATTTTTCATTTTTTTAAAGGAAGAAATAGAAACCAATGTATCTCAATAACTCTAACTCCAGTTTGCTTAATTATTTTATAGGTAGTTTTTTTTTTAATGTTTAGGATTTCATCATAGGATGGATTTCTGAGGTTGAAATTCTATAGAGATGATCATGAAACTGTTCGTTCAATATAGGATATGTCCAAGACCTTACCAAGCATCTGTCATTGTGTTGCATGTGTTGGTGTCAGCTGTTGCCATTTTCAACTTGGTTCACAGGTTGGCTTTAGCTTATAGCATAAGTAACTTCTAACTCATACTTTAAATATTTTCCTAGGGTAAATTTTTACAAGGGGATTCATTTTTGAATGAAGATTTAAATCAGCTAATCAAAAGATACTCCAGTGAAGTTGCTACTGAATCGCCTCTGGATTTCACGAAATATTTGAAAACATCACTACACTAGTAGAGGAATGAAGTCAGTGGACTTTCTTGTATATTTGTGTGTGCAGATGTACATAAAGATGAGTTGTTAACTTAGGATCTTTTCTTTTTATACAAGGAAAGCTTCCTAAGAATGTCTAGGAAGAAGAGGAAGAATGACCCTTTGCATGGCACAGGGTTCTGCCCCTATTCTGAATATGTCATTCCATCAAGGAGATCAAAAGCCTTTTTTTCTCCCCAGTATTTGGAAATTACTTTCTTGATGATGCTGCCTTTTAAAAGCTTCACGTACATTATAGTTTTTTAAAAAAATCTTTGGACTGGATCTTACTGAAGTGCAGTTGCTATATTAAAATTAGGGCATAGAGCACAGAAAAATCAAGACCATGAGAAGACATTTTACCATTTAGCTACTTTTTATAACTAAATACTCTTTAAATATTTTTATTTCAATACTGTGGATGGAAATGAGAAGCATTCTAAATTTGAGTTAATATATTTTTATGAAGATATTTGAGAAAAGAAAAAAATAGCTTGTATTCAGGTTCATTGGCTTTTGCTGGATGATCCACCTAAAGAAGTTACCTAATTTGGCCTTTTAAAAAAGGTGTTAGTGTTTATTATAGCTACTTTCAAGGAAAGTTTGAATATGATTCTAGTCTCTAAAGTTCTTCACGTTTTCTGACATTCCCTGGAGGGTGACTGGGGAAGAATTGCTCCAGGGTAGAAGAACCAGGCCCAAGACTTTACCATTCTGATCTAGAGACAAAGGATACTCAATGAGGAGCTTTTTTCCCCTCTTGGAACAGGTAAAATGCTTTTTCTTATTAATATAATTATAAAACAGTATTTTATGTAACAGCTATTCCCATATTCTAGGAGTGGCCTAAGAAATGCGTGTTTCAGTGACTAGATTATAAATATTCTCTATTGTGAATAGTTGAATAAAACAGCTGTTTTTTTCTGCTTCCTATTCTTGTGATATGATAATTTTTTGAAAAAAGCACAGCAGTCCAACTAAAGAGATCTCTTACTGTTTGAAAGTCATAGCAGCCAGTTATTTTACTCTGGAGCTTAGAGTTCTTTTTTCACATGAAGTAAACGAAAGTAGAAAATTCCTTTACCATTCCAGCAGAGTGAGAGGATATGAGCTTAACAGTGTATGTCAGTCTTTTAGCATATTATATATGATTTTTAAAAGTGGTTCTGAGGTCACATTTTTTAAGGCTTGATTATTTAATGAGAAAGGTATGATTCAGCATATGAATATTTGCTTTTAGTCCACCTTTTAGGTATAAAACAAAGTCCAGGAATGTGATAAATATTTGTGTGGATAACCAAAGGGTCTAATCCCCATCAGAGCACAAGTGACCAATACATGTCACAAATTATTTATTTTCCACACATATACAAATACATTTATACTTTACTTTGGCAGCAGAAACTATACTTCTGGTGAAAAATCAGCTTAAAATAGAAACTCATCAGCTATTTCACAGCTGTATTATGCCTTTAATTTTCTTGTTATACATATGGAGAATCACAGTGGGACTACAAAATTATACATCTATATTTGAGTATCCTATGTGAATTTGAGGAAATATATTTGTGCATTAACTTACATACGCTTATATGTAAGCTTATGTTTAAACACACACACACACACACACACACACACACACACACACACACAGGCACACACATATCCTGAGGCTATATTAAGCTACAGCCTTAATTTGTTTTTTAACTAGACAAATAATGAGCACCTACTGTGTGTTTAGCACTATGCTGGCACTTAAGAGTGGGGTGGGAAATAATGGGTGTAAGACAACCTCAGTCTTCCATGCTGAGTCAAATCATCCACATAACGCTTTTGAAAAATGCGACAGTACCCAATTCAGTGTTAGAATTACTTGTGTCAAAAGTTTAGAGACCTATGTCATCTGCAATAGGGAAGGTTTCAGAGATCTGTTTGGTGACAGGCTTGTGCATAGTATGTTTTGAATCTAAGAGATGTATAAGAGTAGGTAGGCCAGGTGTGGTGGCTCACGCCTGTAATCCCAGCACTTTGGGAGGCTGAGGCGGGTGGATCACGAGGTCAGGAGTTCGAGACCAGCCTTACCAACATAGTGAAACCCCCGTCTCTACTGAAAATAAAAAAAATTAGACGGACATGGCGCACACCTGTAGTCCCAGCTACTTGGGAGGCTGAGGCAGGAGAATCACTTGAACCTGGGAGGTGGAGGTTGTGGTGAGTCGAGATCGTACCACTGCACTCCAGGCTGGGCAACAGAGTGAGACTTTGCCTCAAAAAAAAAAAAAAAAAAAAGAATAACTTGGTAATCATAGAGACTCAGTATGTGTTTCAAAGGGACTCATTTCAGGTATTCCTATGTCAGAATCCATAGCCATCAGCCAAGGATTGCTTTTAGGAAGCTGCTACATAAGGATGGCAGAGAACACATAAATTATTAACAATGGATCATGGGGAATATTGACCCAAGTCTAGACTCTGTATAAGAGACAATCTCCCTTTTCTCTCTAACTTTTTTGGGGTCCCAGGTATATCTTTTCTGGCCTCACTGCTGATATATAAGCAACTGAAAAGGGGTCAGAGACTTTCACCATGAGAGCACTTTCCCTGCAGGCTGCCAATGTAAGATCAAAGACACCAGCCAGGAAAATCCTACTCTTCTTTACTAGCATGGGAGCATAGATGTGGAGTTTTGTGTTTTAGAGTTAATTCAATTTTATTGGGCCAGTAAGCAAGCCCTGATAACTTTCCAGAATTAAGCAAGGCCTGTGGGTCTCTGGGCAGAGGACAGAAGTCTATAGAGATATTGGAAGAGGAGAGAAGAAAGGAAGGGGACGATGTAGTTAGCAAAAGGTAAATTGATACATATCATAGAGGGCCCACTTTCATTAATGAGCTTCCAGTGTCTCCAGAGGTATTGAGATGGGAGGCATAAAAGCCTCCCATAAAAGAAAGCAAGTTTGATTAAAAACAAGTCACTTGTAACTCAACTTTTGTTGAGTCTAGACTTCATATTGACTCCCAACTGGAGAATTTGTAAATAACTTTTACTTGCTAATGATGACATGAAAAGAAGCTTTACCCCTCAAAGGGCACTTTCTACCCAGATAGGATCATTCCTACAGATTTGGCATCACTGAATAGAGTGACAGAATTCATGCTCCTTTCTCTTCACTTTCAGTGATGCTTCTTAAAATTTTGTAATGACCCCAACTTGCATATTTAGATTCTTGTCCACATCAACTTTAATGAGAAGAGTTTGCTACCCAGATTTCTGGTGGCCTAAAAAGTGTGAAATGGTAATGGGTATAGTCATAGTGGCTATTTAGGATAATTTCTTTCACTTGGCATAATATAGCTGTTTAATTCAGAAAGCTTTAAATAAAACTTAAATATTTTCAGCCAACATCAGATTGTGCTGGCCATTTGTGTATAATAGTAGACTAGACTCTTTACTTTTTTTTTTTTTTTTTGAGATGGAGTCTCACTCTTGTACCCAGGCTGGAGTGCAGTGGCACAGTCTCCACTCACTGCAACCTCTGCGTCTTGAGTTCAGGCAATTCTCTCCTGCCTCAGCCTCCCCAATAGCTGGGATTTACAGGTGCCCACCACCACTAATTTTTGTATTTTTAGTACCCAGCTAATTTTTGTATTTTTAGTAGAGACGGGTTTCACCATGTTGGCCTCGAACTCCAGACCTCAGGTGATCCACCCACCTCAGCCTCCCAGAGTGTTGGGATTACAGGCATGAGCCACTGTGCCCAGCCAACTCTTTACATTTTGAAACAATGTGTTCTTTCTGTAATCCCAAAGACTCAAATACAATGAAGTATGTACTTTCACCTCAAAATGTGATAAACAACTAAATTGGGATGCAACCTAGGCAGTAGGCTGGATTCTCTCACTTGCTAAACAACCTGGTCTCAACTTCAGTCTCAGATTTATGTTGTAAAACATACACCTGTGTTAAAGGTCATGGAGGAGGAGTGGGGCAGCGCTTAGCATCAGAATCAAATGTGATAAACCTAAAGAGACGAGTCTTTTCATCTTGTTACTCTGCACAGTTTTCATTTGGCCTCTAGCCACTTAGACCAGCAACTCAGTTTTCAACACGTGGTAGGGCAAACTGTTTGGCATGTTCACTTATAGAGGCTTGATAAAGTGTTTCCGGAATATTTTTAAAATGGAGCAGCATTGTGCATTTGTTAGAATGAATATTTGACTTAAAACTGTACTACTGTATAGATTACATCAAACTGGAATAGCCTGAATTCTGTTGACAAGAAAATGGTAGTTCTAGCCTTAAGGCTTTGACCCAGTAAGAACTTTCAATGACATGAAAGCTGTATGGTGTTTTTTTTTTTTTTTTTTTTTTTTTTTTTTTTTTTGAGACGGAGTCTCGCTCTGTCACCAGGCTGGAGCGTGGTGGTGCGATCTTGGCTCACTGCAGCCTCCACCTCCCAGGTTCAAGTGATTCTCCTGCCTCAGCCTCCCGAGTAGCTGGGATTACAGGCACGTGCCACCACGCTCAGCTAATTTTTGTACTTTTAGTAGAGATTGGGTTTCACCATGTTGGCCAGGATGGCCTCATTCTCTGTCCTGATCCGCCCATCTTGGCCTCCCAAAGTGCTGGAGTTACAGGCGTGAGCCACTCTGCCCAGCCTGTGTGGTGTATTTTTAACACTTCTGTTTTTAGAATATGCAAGAAACACATGGGGATGGTTTTATTTTTATAATTGGTTAAAAAAGTTTCTCAAAGTGAAGTTTAGGAGTGAGTTTTAGTGTTTTGTAATTTGAAGAAAAGTGTCTTAAAATTCAAAGATACCAATGGAAAGATAAAAGTTTGGGTTTTAGAGGAATACATATTTCATTTTTAAAATTCATAATTTGCTTCATACTAAGAATATGAAGAATCCTTTACACTTAATGGTTTTGTACAGCAAAGTTTAAAAATAATTTACATTAAATGGCAAGTATGACTTGGATCAATAGCTCTTCAGTTAATGAGAAATGAAGCAATTTTACTTGAAAGTCTAGCCCATTTCAGATGTTCAGAGCATATATTTTCTTTTTAGAAGTTTGTCTTCAAGTACTGAGAACTAATGCTTCTAATCCATGGCAATATCAAGAGAGCGATGTATAATAAATATATAAGTATAGTGTCAGTACAAACCTTGCAAAATAAATTTAAACGCCAACTCAATCTACTTTTGCTTTAAAAAATTGTTAGGTTTCTTGTTAAGACATTGCAATTCAGTAGATATTAAATTATACGTCATTCTAAATTCATTTTGAAAACCAAAAATGAGTAATCTAATCTATGATTAAGCAATAACCTTTTTTAAAGCAACCCTATTAACTGAATAGGCAATAACCTTAAAAAAAACCCAATATTATTTCTATATGTAAAAAAATCCTAAAGAGGAGTGCACTGTGGTACACAATACAGGAACTAAATTGAATTTTAATGACTCTTATGTTATAGGACATATTTACACTTGAAATGCCCCAAAGCTTCTAATTCTAAGCTTCTAATTCTCGGCCATAAAATGTATGGCTAAACTTCCTTTCCTGTTTTCAGATCTTTGTGCTCCTTGTTCCCAGTTCTCTTCTCTTAGTTGTGTTGGCAAATTAAGGTCCTTGGGCCAAATCTAGCCTGCCACCTGTTTTTGTATGGCCCCTGAATTAAGAATAGTTTTTAAGTTTTTAAATGGTTGAAAAAAAGTCAAAACAAGAGTATTTGTGACATGTGAAAAATATATGAAATTCCAATTTCAGTGTCCATAAATAAAGTTTTATTGGAATACAGCCACGTTCGTTCATGTATGTGTTGTCTATGGCTGCTTTTGCACTACAATGGCAGAATTGGGTGGTTGCAACATATTTTATGGCCCCCAGCCCTAAAATATTTACTGTTTGGCCCTTTACAGACAAGCTTGCTGACCCTTGCTCTAAGTCAATTCGTGACGATTTTTCCAACTGCTGACATTTATAAAATGGCAGTCCCCTGGGCTTCATTCATCAGTAAATTGGTTGGTGGCAACTAGCCCTGTGCCATTTTGCTTCTCCTCAGCATGGATCTCACATGTGTGAAGGCTTCAGTTCAGAAATCATCAATTTCCAGTTTAAGTCTGATGAAAATAATTATATTTTTTCCACCATGTTCACTCTTTAACTTCTTGCTTAAAGATCTTCACCTGTAATGTTGTATACAGAGGCTTATTAGTATACTGAAAATGAAGAAACAGAAACACTTGCGGTATACCAAGGGTTCAGAGTTTTCCAGCCACAGCTCTAGTGGCTAGGTTTGGGGAAGAGACTGTTTCCTCTGTACTCACAATGTTAGAACATGATGTTTCTAGGAAGTAGAACATTAGGTTATTTCTGCCTTGGAAATAAATATTTCACATTCTTTAGAAAGTTTGTTTTTTTAAAAAAGATCACATCAAATAAACTGTTCAACTTTAAGAAAAGGTGGAATTCCTTCAGCTAACTACTACTTCAGATAGATGAATATGTTCTTTAAAAATCTGTAGATTATTGAAACTTTAAAAGGGATCATTTTAGAACAAATATGAAATATGTTACCTAAAAAGTGGAAACAATACTAAACTAACTTTCTTTTTGCTCTCTCTCCCTCTTGTCTGGCTGGACTGCTGCCTCCAAAGTTCAAGCAATTCTCCTGCCTCAGCCTCCTGAGTAGCTGGGACTACAGGAATTTTTATATTTTTTGGTAGAGATGGGGTTTCACCATGTTGGCCAGGCTGGTCTCGAACTCCTGACCTCAAGTGATCCACACACCTCGGCCTCCCACAGTGCTGGGATTACAGGCATGAGCCACTGTGCCTGGTCCTAAACTCTAAACTTCTTTTCTTATGAGCTCTTCTTTTCTTTTACAAGTGCTCTTTCTTGAAAAGACCATTGTAAAGGAGGTCATAACATGGGATGTCAATTCACATAGATGCACCAATGACTATAAGAGAAGCCTCCCTAGCTTTTGTTTTGAGACGGAGTCTCGCTCTGTCGCTAGGCTGGAGTGCAGTGGCGCAATCTCGGCTCACTGCAACCTCCGTCTCCCGGGTTCAAGCGATTCTCCTGCCTCAGCCTCCCGAGTAGCTGGGACTACCTGCGCACACCACCACGCCCAGCTAACTGTTGTTGTATTTTTAGTAGAGACGGGGTTTCACCATGTTGGCCAGGATGGTCTCAATCTCTTGACCTCGTGATCTGCCCGCCTTGGCCTCCCAAAGTGCTGGGATTACAGGCGTGAGCCACTGTGCCTGGCCAGGCCTCCCCAGCTTTAAGCAAAGCTGTGAAGTTAACAGAATGATTCTAAATATCTGCTTGCTTAGAAAAAGAAAAAAAAAGTCATGTGAATCCATTGGTCAGAAAAAATAAATATCTACTTGCTACAGGACAATAGAATCTAAAGGCAATCATCTAAATCACTATCAATCACCCTCCCCCAGTCTCCTAAAATATAAGCAATTAGCAATGTTCATTATAGTAGGCATATTATTTTTAAGTCAAATTTCTAATGGAGTTGTATTCTTCTGTACTTAAGAAGTAATCTTGTAGCACATATCGGGCTCTTTATATGTAGAGAAGTATATGACCAATTTACTAGCTTTAGTGTAATTTCACCTCATTACAGAAGTTATAGAGGTGTGTATAACATCACACCTATGATTTATTTGATACTAACTTCTGGATATGGAAAACAATATTTAAAATTTTGACCACTGCAGAGTGTAATATAGGACATCAGTTATTTTAGGAGTTGCTCTTTAAATGTGGAAACATGATCTCAATGTATTGGGCCTTCTTTTGGGCTGTTTTAAGTAAAATTTGGCTCTGGGAAGAGGCATCACTGAGTTCTTTAATTGTGAGTTTCTGCAGTTTGGCAGTTTTATATCAGAAGTTCCTCATTGTCATAAAGGCAGATGGTGAAGCTCTGTCACATAAACAGCAATGCTTTCACTGTGCTGTTCATCTTGGGAATTTTAAATCTGTGAACTACCATGGAACAGGTGAAAAGTGGGCTTTAATGAACCCTTAGGTTCATTAGGAAACTAAGCGAAAAGGAGAGACTTACCACTGGTTCCCTCACATGCTTTTATTCAGGTCTCATGTAAATAATTTGCTTTAAGATAGAATGAAATTTGTGTGACTATCAAGCAGTCAGTTTACTGCATTTCCAAGATTGAGGCTGTTATGTTATTTTGCTTTCTTTTTAACCACATCCCGGATGCCAGATTTTTATTTTTTTAATTGAGGCAGAAGGAGATGAGGTTGTTGAAGCTACATCAAACCTAAATTAGAACAGTAATAAAACGAGAAATCCAAAAGAATAAAAGCTGAATGATCCATAGAGCCCTTGAAGAATGTTTCTGTCAGCTATTAATACTGAAGACAGTTGTCTGATGAAATAAGGCTATCAGAGTACTTTGGGCAAGTTGATTGACTTCTTGGGAGCTTTGCTTATTTATCTACAAAATAAATAAGGGGTCTAAAATTACAAAAGCTCAAGTTACATATATATATTTTTTTTTTTCTTTTTTTTTTTTTGAGACGGAGTTTTCACTCTCATTGCCCAGGCTGGAGTGCAATGGTGTGATCTCAGCTCACTGCAACCTCTGCCTTCCAAGTTCAAGTGATTCTCCTGCCTCAGCCTCCCCAGTAGCTGGGATTATAGGCATGCACCACCATGCCCAGCTAATTTTGTATTTTTAGTAGAGACGGGGTTTCTCCATGTTGGTCAGGCTGGTCTTGAACTGACCTCAGGTGATCTGCCTGCCTTGGCCTCCCAAAGTGCTGGGATTACAGGCATGCGCCACCACGCCCAGCCTCTTTCCCTTTTTCTTTATAGGCGGTGTTCAATAGCATATCATGTTACACATATCTTCAGAGCCCTTTTCCTGTTTTAAGGTCCCATTCCTACCTGCCTTCAAGGGACATCCTCCTGTTGGAAAAGATAAAAGACATTGTACTAATTATGCCTTCCTTACAAAGTAGTTTAAGTTAAGCCCTGTTCCAGGATGGTGCAATGACTTACTATACCTGGGTTAAACATGCTGCCCTTAGTCACTGTCGGTAATCCATTGTGTCACTGGAGGACAAGCCACCCACAGGTTTCTCCTCCTTGGTTTGGATACTTTCTGAGGTCAAGAGCTGAGAAGGTGATGTAAGTCCTCGGGGCTGTTTAGTTGACTTGGTGAGCTTCTTGAGTTCACTTGCGAAAGAAATGCCTTTCTTTTTATCTTCTCGAGATGCCTGTGGGAACAAAGAACCTTCCATTGGTGTTAGGTTAAACTCAGGTTCCTCTGTCACATGACACTATTTCAGAAGAGCGCTTTCCTCTTCTCTCTAGAGCTTTGGAGAGAGTAGGGCTGAGGAGCTCCCCTCTAGGACTGCTTAACCGCAAGCTCGGCCACATGTTTTTTCACACAGTGAAAACAAAGCCAAACAATTTTCTCCTAACTCCATTCCTTGACTCAGGAACTTTCTCCTAAATTTCACCAGCTTCCAGATCTGGCTACAGTGTAATTATGGGTATCAGATAACTTAAGAACAGAGCAAAATAACTTTAAACTTTACCTGCACCTGCTCCTTTAGCTTAAGGATGAATTTTCCTGCACCTTTCCACTTGCTTTGGGCTTGAAACACACACTCCTGATCCAGAAGGACCCGCTGAGAGGACTTTGGTGTGGTAGTCTTCTTGTTGGTAGTGTCTTTCACCACCTCTTCCAAAAGCACATAGTCGCTTGGATTGGGGTTGCTCAGGATGCTGTAGGAATATTTGGCTTTGCATAAGGTCTGAAAGGTAAGTTATGATCAACTGAATAAAGACACAGAATCTCCAACATTTGCATTCATTCTATATGAAACTTTAAGGTGGAAAAATGGCCCAGACTAGAGATGAAGGGGATCTTCCAGATCATTTCATCCAACTCATTTTGCAGTTGTATAGTTGTAGCTTGTAATGTAATTTCCCACGTTACCTCATTTAGCTTTGCAACAGTCTATGAATTAGGTGTTATTATCCTGAATTTCAGACGAGGAAGCTTATACTTAAGACAGGTTAAGTAGATTCCAGGATATATACAGCTATAATAGTAACAATAAAGGTCTGAACCAGATTTTCTGCATGTACCAGCGCTCACAGACATGAAAGTCAGCCAGTGAGGAATAGAATCTTGCTCTTCAGGAGCGTCTCTGTCCCACTGGGCTATCTCTATCACAGAGTCTTGGATGTTGAAAGAATTTTAGAAGTCAACTGATCTCTCTTTTCATTTAATATAAGAATGTCTTTCATTGATGCATTTGTTAATTCATTAAATGTTTAGTGAGGGCCAATTATGTCCCAGATACTGTGCTGTACTTTTAGGGGAGACAAAGATAAGTTAAAGAAATGTAAGTCTGGGCCCTTTGGAATTCAAAGTCAGTTGAATAAGATGGCTAATATTAACTAAGTTATCATACAGTAAGAACAGCAAGTAACCCTTAAGTAATGTTTACCATTTGCTAGGCATTGTATTAAACATCTTACATATACTTAACCTTCAAGGAAAGTACTATCATACTATCTCCATATTGTCTATGTGGTGGTCTATGTGGTGACTTACCATGTAGTGTTTTGCTGGAGCCAACGGGAATAGTCTGGTGAAATCAGATATGGTAGGGGCATTTACACAAAAGAAATAAATAAGGGCTTTTATCTTTCTTTTACAAAGAGCTGGTTTACCAGCACACTACTATAACTAAGGCACAGATCTGAGCTTTTACTCCAGGTCTCAGAAGTAGAGCTGGGATTTGAATCTAACACAGCTTGATCTAGGGTCTGTGCTCTTAATTGTTGTGTTGTATGTCTTCTCAAATAGGTGTTTGATGAATGGCCTACCCTAACAAGGCTATGAAGGAAGCAAACTTCTCTGAAACCATGTAAACTCTCAGAGAAGCGTGATTTAGAGGAGGGGAGAGGATCAGAGTAGGCCTCCTACTTGTCCTCTGTAGGATCCTTGAGAGATGGTCAGTACCTACTGGCTTAGGTATTTCTGGGACCATGACATTGTCACTGCAGAGTCACTTCCTAAATCCATTATTATCAATGCTTTATAGAGATCCAAACTCACTGTAGATACTAAGTGTCTGTTGAAGGAATGAATTAATATTTCCAAGATTTTAAACTTTTAAAATTTGTTTTTGTTTGAGACAGGGTCTGGCTGTGTTGCCCAGGCTGGAGTAAAGTGGCACGATTTTGGCTCATTGCAAACCTCTGCCTCCCAGGCTCAAGCGATCCTCCTATCTCAGCCTCCTGAGTAGCAGGGACTACAGGTGCATGCTACCATGCCTGGCTAATTTTTGTACTTTTTTTTTTTTTAGACGAAGTTTCACTCTTGTTGCCCAGGCTGACGCGCAATGGCATGATCTCGGCTCACTGCAACCTCTGCCTCCCGGGTTCAAGCGATTCTCCTGCCTCAGCCTCCCAAGTAGCTGGGATTACAGGTGCCTGCCACCACGCCCAGCTAATTTTTGTATTTTTAGTAGAGATGGGGTTTCACCATGTTGGCCAGGCTGGTCTCGAACTCCTGACCTCAGGCAATCCACCCGCCTTGGCCCCACAAAGTGTTGGGATTACAGGCGTGAACCCCCGTGCCCAGCAATTTTTGTACTTTTTGTAAAGACAGGGTTTTGCCATGTCAGCCATGCTGGTCTCAAACTCATGAGCTCAAGTGATCTGCCCCCCTCAGCCTCCCAAACTGCTGGGATTACAGGTGTGAGCCACTGGGTTGGTTGTTTTTTTTTTCAATTAGAGACAGGGCCTCACTCTGTCATCCAGGCTGCAGTGCAGTGGCCAGTCATAGCTCACTGCAGCCTCCAACTCCTGTGCTCAAGTAATCCTCCTGCCTCAGCTTCCTAAAACTGGGATTACAGGCATGAGCCACCATGTGAGGCAATTTCCCAGCCTTAAGAGGCACACACTCCCCTTTGAGGTCCCTGTTGTTGAGGAACTTCACTCATAAAATGAGCCATCAGTGCACAGACATTTGTTCCAATAATTTATGCTGAGGAAAGGACTCAGGTGAGGAAGGGAGAGGCTTTTACCTGCTGAATGACATCCTGTGCAGTGCTGACGCGGGGTGCTTTGATGACTGTTCGAGGTTGCTCTGGAGAAACATCATGCACTTGGACAAAGAAACTCTCCTCCTCTGAGCTCAAGATCACCTCTTTGTCATCTTGAACAATGTTTTTCTCTTCTAGGTTCTATGTTTAAAAAGAAAAAATGTGAGTAAATAATAGGTTTATGCAGAATAAAGAAAGACAAATCTAGCAAAAATCTGAGCTTGTATCTTGGTGATGTAGAAACTTCTTAGCTTAATATCTCATATACTATGTTATTATTTCATAAACTGTTCTAAAAGGATATACCTATCTCCTGAGAGGAGGAAACTACTGTGCTTCTGATGATGTTGATAGATCCATAACAAGCCAATTTATCTGCTCCTATTAGCTGTGGGTTTTTTTTTTTTTTTTTCTGAGATGGAGTCTTGCTCTGTTGCCCAGGCTGGAGTGCAGTGGCATGATCTTGGCTCACTGCAGCCTCCACCTCCTGGGTTCAAGCAATTCTCCTGCCTCAGCCTCCTGACTAGCTGGGATTACAGATGTGTGCCACCATGCCTAATTTTTGTATTTTTAATAGAGACAGGGTTTCGCCATGCTGGCCAGGCTGGTCTTGAACTCCTGACCTTGTGATCCACCTGCATCGGCCTCCCAAAGTACCAGGGTTACAGGTGTGAGCCACTGTGCCCCGCCTAGCTGTGGATTTTGAGAGTCCAAGTTGACTGTAGGTAAATTTGTAGAAAGACAATATACCATTTTGCCAATTAGCAAAAGCCAAATAAGAACACAGTAAATTGTATTTAAAAGAAAGCTCACCCATTTCCACAGACGTTGAGCATTTAAGAAATGCTAGACATCTGAAATATAAACCATGAAATTGACAGGTTGGGTGAACAAAACTGCAGTGACAAGGCTGAATGAATGGCTGGAGGTAAGCCACATTGAAACAAATTTTGACAAAATTCACAGTAAAATTATGAGAATTAGATTAATTGGCTTTTTGGTGGATTATGTATCTACAGATATATGTATCTTATTAAAAATTTTCAAACAGTACAGAAGCGTATCAATAAGAAAAACCAAACTTTTCCCATTCTCATCTTTTTTCCTTCTCCCACCTTATTCGCCACAAAATACCCCACTGTCATTGGATAATACATCCTTTTAAACATTTGCTGTGGATGTTCAAATGTATTTTTGTGTATGTGACTATGTAAAGCAACACCCTTGAATTAGGTGAATTTAGATATAATGTGATTGTCAAGCAGCTGCTGCTGTTCTTTGTCCACCACATTTTCAAATGAGGATAGCTTCCCTTTTGCAAGAGGGAGACTTAGTAAAAGGGCAGGGAGAGGTAAAGTAAGTAAACAGTAGACAACCTCATCTCAGCAAGTGAGGTCTTGGCAGGAAAACTCCCTTATCCCCAGAATTCTAGCCTCATCTCTCCAGACCAGGCTACTGAAATGGGTGCTAACTAACTAACCAGAAGAATCCATGAGTTGCTGTCGCTATCTTGGAAGTTCCAACTAGAATTGTACCCATTGATTAAAGTCAGAATAGATAACTGCCACCAGGTGGCGCCAAAACTGCAACCAGGGCCAGAAAGGACTGGCTTCTGAAGCTTGCCCCAATCATTTAATTAACTTTGCAATCATGGCCTTATAATTACATGATTTTTTGTTAAATAAATAAAGATATATAATCTATTTTAACTTTTTTCAATGAGTGAAAAAATCCATTTGATTTTTTTCCCATGAATGAATACTCCATTATATAATGGAAGGGGGGGAAGAGATGAGCTATTGTCTCTTTTTACATAAAATGAGATTGTATCCTATGTATACTGTTTTACAACTTGCTTAATAATATGTCATTGCACTGATCATCATATATTTAACCAGTCAGAGAGTAAGATTGAGAGGTAATTCACATGACATAATTTATAATCTTTGTCCCCCAAACCAGGAGGCAAGAAATCAGAAAACCAGAGTTGGCACATAAAATGTCCCAACAACGATGCATTAAGCTTTATTTTTAAGAGAGCACCCTTAGGAGGCTGAGGCAGGAGAGTGGTGTGAACCCGGGAGGCGGAATTTGCAGTGAGCTGAGATCGCGCCACTGCACTCCAGCCTGGGCAATAGAGCCAGACTCCATCTCAAAAAAAAAAAAAAAAAAAAAAAGAGCACCTTTGAGCCTCCCTCAGAGCTTATTTTAAGGTATTTCTAGCCACATTAGTTCGAAGCCACAGGTTATGAACAAAATAACAATAGCCCTCACTTATATCCCTTTTTACTAAGCATTGTTGTACACCTTGTCTGTGTACATGTTTGACATGAGTCTCATGATCATTTCTTTGAGTCAAGTAGGGTAGTTTGTATATAGATTTTACAAATTAGGGCAGTGAGGTTTACAGAAGTTAGGTGGTCTGTTCATTGTGACAATCCTGGTTTACCCAATTTCAAATCCAGTAACAGAAGAGGACACATTGACCACAGGAAGATGTGGTATCTGACAGCTTGAAAGCCCAGGAGACAAGAAAATTATAAAAGGCAGGAGAGATCAGAGGTCACAGAGAGCAACTGAAGAATTTTCATATATGGGCAAACTGCTTATATGTCTTATTAGTTCCATGGGATAAAATAAATGGAAATACTTATAGCCCAAATCTGTCTCCTCTAGTAGTGCCCTCTTACATTCAGTAATTACTGAATTCATTTATTCAATCAGCAATTATTATTTGGGTATCACTATGCACCAGGTAAACCTAGATACACTAAATTTAGTTATCTTTTGAGATATATTTCAGTCATTTCAAAAATTTCCTAACAAAGGCATATAAAGGACAACTTGCCATATTTTACTTATCAGAAAAATCTTGTTAGCCTTCCCTTCTGATTTATGCCCCTTTTTCTTCAAAATGCCTTCCTTTACCAGCCTTTTGGAAGCATATTCCTGAGGTCCCTACTGCCTGTTGTCATATACTTTTTTTTGTTTTTAAAGATGAAGTCTTGCTCTGTCACCCAGGCTGGAACACAGTGGTGTAATCTTGGCTCACTGCAACCTCTGCCTCCTGGGTTCAAGTGATTCTCCTGCCTCAGCTTCCTGAGTAGCTGGGACTACAGGTGCCTGCTACCACGCCCTGCTAATTTTTGTATTTTTAGTAGAGATGGAGTTTTGCCATGTTGGCCAGGCTGGTCTCAAACTCCTGAGCCTGCCTTGGCTTCCCAAAGTGCTGGGATTACAGGTGTGAGCCACCGTGCCCAGCTTGTTGTGGTATACATTTAAATTGCATTTGGGTGTCCCTCACCTCCCCAGCTCCTCTGAGCATAAAATGAAGCTTCCTGTGACACTCAGCAGCCAGCCTGTCTTCCCTCTAGCCTACCCACTGCCTCCTGCTCCTCCCAAGGTGCTGAGTGTGGGTGATCCACAAGGATGGACACAATTTCAGCTTGGGTAGCACAGGATGGTGGAAAGAACACTGACCTGGAAGCCATAGACTTGAGTTCTTTCTACTTCTAACCCTGTCATGATTTCACCTCTCTGAATCTATTTCCTTAAGTGTAAAATGGTTTCCATTATATCATTCAACATAGTGTTTGAGGGCTTTCAACGCTGTAAATCATACACAAGTATGAGGTTTACAAATTTACTGATTTTCTGACATCGCTTAGAGGATACATACTTTTTACATGTAGCTAATTAATAAGGCAAGACAATTTAGGAACAGGACAAAAATTTAGACATTAAAGATGGCTTCAAAAGTACAGCTAAGCCCTCTGATATTTTATCATAAAGTGATTATTATTAGGGTTGCCTGGTCTCTGTCTTAGCAATTAGTGTGTCTTAATAGGGAGAGAAGGCTGGGGAGACAATTACATTTTTTTGCTTAAATTAAATGCCCTTTCATTGTCTCAGGCAAGGTCAGGGAAAGAAGGCAGTGGCTCTGGGCTCTAGAGTTGATGCTAGAGCTCTGTAGAGGCTTTAGGTCACATTCACTCACTGTGACTAGAAAGTGAAAACACACAATGGTTAAAATTGGCTATTATCTTCACTGTGCCCTAGCAAGCATGGGCCTGAGGCACCTTCTATCAGGCAAGCACTATTACATGCCCCAAAGGAGCAGATCATGTGCCCAGAACAGGGCTTGGTACATATTAGGTGCTCAATATTTATGTAATCAAATTGTTGAATAGACTCAACTGCTTGACTATCAACATGTCATGACGCATGACTGTCTATGCTAGAGAAATGACCTTATATGTCATTCTTAAGTTAGTAGGGTTTTCTCAGTTAATTCAGGGAAAAAAAAAAGTGCTTCATCAATTAAGTCAAACAGGAGCCAATCAGTTTGGAGTCAACATGGCAGTTGTTGCATCCTTTCCTTCCCAGGAATGATCATGGGAATCTTAGCACACGTAATATAAATTGTTACTAATTCTGACTCAGGCCAAGATATTATTCTTACTTTGTATGAAGTTCTGGAATATTTTCAAAGAAATATTATTATTTTACTTGTAAGCATGGAAGCTTCTATTAGCTAAAACTTCTATTAGCTAAAACTGGAAGTCAGTCATCCCCAGAATAGAAAATACCTGCAGGTTTTGCATTATACAGTAATGTGACCCTCACAACGATGTCTTTTCACACATACAAATAAAATACTGGACCCATAGCTGATGACATGCATAAGGAATCTTTGCTTCCTTTATCTTATAAGGTATGTTTTTATTTATTTTTAAAATGGAATAGTTTATTTGTGTGAGAAAACATATTTCCTTGTCTTTTTTTTTGAGACAGAGTCTTGTTCTGTTGCCCAGGCCAGAGCACAATGGCACGATCTCAGCTCTCTGCAACCTCTGCCTCCTGGGTTCAAGTAATTCTCCTGACTCAGCCTCCCTCATGAGTAGCTGGGATTACAGGTGCCTGCCACCACGCCTGGCTAATTTTTGTATTTTTAGTAGAGATGGGGTTTCGCCATGTTGGCCAGGCTGGTCTTGAACTCCTGACCTCAAGTGATCCACCCACCTCGGCCTCCCAAAATGCTGAGATTACAGGCGTGAGCCACCACGCCCGGTCTAAGGGATGTTTTTTAGATTGAATTTCTGTACCTTAGAGATAATATTCTGATTATGTGCAGAAGAATAAAACTGTTCATCCACATTTACTTAAGAAGAATATAAACCAAGTTGCAATTACAAGAAATTCTGAATTTCAGGGAGGTTGTGAGTGGTAAATGGCTAATCACATAATGAGTCGTTACTGTGTAGGCTGCACCCAGACACACTTACTTCCTGCTGGGTTTTTAAGACAATCCTGCCCATGTATCCCTCTTCTGGAAACCAGCTGCTTAAAATTTGCATGATCTCCTCTTCTGGACCAATGGCTCTCTGGAATGGTTGTTTCCTACATTCATTCTTTTCTTTAGATATAAAATATTTTTCTTCCATCAAAAAATAGTCTGTGGTAACAGGTTTGATGTCTTGTTCATTTGTCAGAATCTAAAGAAAAAGTGAAGGCAAACTGAGGAGTGAGGCAAAAACTTAAAACAAATCAACTTTCATGGTGTTCAGATAGGTTTGCTATGCAATTTATAAGTGAAATTTACTCTAGAGTATTGCATAATTCTTTTTGGAAGATCTAAGAATTCTCTTATGTTCAGAATGGATTGTTTATGTTCACTCCGGGCAACGGCACAACTTATTCATAATCCCCAGACAGCATAACTATTTTTTCCCACTGCTGGAATGAGAGCTCCTAGTGAATTAAAAATTTTAGGTTTCTCATTCCATGAACTTAGCCCTTTGTAATCTTGCAACACAGGACTGAGGGCAAATAACCTAGTTTAGTATTTACTAAGATAATCTCTTTTTCTCACATTGGAAATACTCGGTCATCTTCTCATGGAAGGTTTGTAGGGCTAGGTTCTCATGTGGTCTAAGTTCCTGGGAATTCTTCTTTAAATAAACTTCTGACAGTGTGCTTAAAGGGCTTGTTTTCTTTGTTGGCTGCTGACCCTGTGCAGTCAAACAGGGCAGCTGAGACAAAGCCCTGGAACCAGACAGACCTGAGTCTGAGGTCTGCCTTTAATACTTGTTGGCTACGAATTATTGGGTAAGATACTTAATCCCTTGGAGACTGTTTTCCGATCTACACAATGGAAATAGTAGCAATCTTAATTTTGTTTTATGGTTGAAGCATAAATCATAACATGGGTACATTAGGTG
This sequence comes from Homo sapiens, assembly GCF_000001405.40. NCBI lineage: Eukaryota > Metazoa > Chordata > Mammalia > Primates > Hominidae > Homo > Homo sapiens. Next base: position 94,315,820 of record NC_000010.11, on the reverse strand, counting down.
AACTCAATAAAGATGAGCCATTATAGTTACTTTTTTTTTTTTTTTTTTTTTGAGACAGAGTCTCCCTCTGTCGCCCAGGCTGGAGTGCAGTGGCGTGATCTCGGCTCACTGCAACCTCCGCCTTCCCAGGCTCAAGTGATTCTCATGCCTCAGCCTCCCGAGTAGCTGGGATTACAGGTGTGCACCACCATGCCTGGCTAATCTTTGTATTTTTAGTGGAGACAGGGTTTCACCATGTTGGCCAGGCTGGTCTCAAATTCCTGACCTCAAGTGATCTGCCCGCCTCGGCCTCCCAAAGTGCCGGGATTACAGGCATTATAGTTTTACCAATGTATTTTCTCACTCATATTGTACAGGTTACTACAAAAGGCTGAATTTGAAGGGAGTAAAGGTCAGTTGCAGTGAAGAAACTCCCTTTGTTGCCTTCCCGTGAGAAGTAGCTTGGTGATGAGAGAAAGCTGCCACCATCTGGTCTGGATTAAGCAAACACCCTTCTCCTCAGGCCCCTGCCAATAAGGCAAAGCCCAGAGCGAACACATCTCACCAGGAGGAAAAGCAGAATGTGATGGACTGAGGGCAGTGGGAGTGAAGGTTCTCAGGAAGACTGAAATCTCTCCACCCCAGCCCTTGGTCTATAAATGATGAAATGCTGTTGACTCAAAAGGGGGCCAAGGCAAATACTATAGGGATAATTCAGGATGTGAAGCTTCTGGGCCACCTCCACAAGAGGGCCAGCATCACCCCCTGCTCAGTCCTGCTTTATATCTGTGTGCTGATTTGCACGGGTGACAGTAAAGCAATGGACTGCTATGGGTGGCTCTTGGTAAGTTTTCCTTTACAAAACTTCAGCAGTGCTTTGTGATAGTGGACACTAAAGTACATGGACTGATGTATTAAAACAAAACCAAAACAAACTGTTGGTAATAGCTTCTGTTTGATAATCTATGAAATGTGACACCTGAGCTGTTTTCTCTATTTAAGTCAGTTATAAAATGTTGGACAGAATGTTAGCCTGTCTATAGAGATGTGCCCTTGAAAGACAGAGCCATTTATTGACACTTATTATTTGTGATTGTTCAGTTGGTTTTTAATTCCTCCAAATGTTATGATCCCAGCTACATTTCATCATACACCCTAACTTCAGAGGGAGCTAAAGGGCCATTCCCTTGGTCATTGCTTCCTTTAGTCTACTCCTATTCAGGAGAAGGAATTCTTTTTTATCTTTTTGAGACAGAGTCTCACTCTGTCACCCAGGCTGGAGTGCCATGGTGTTATCTTGGCTCACTGCAACCTCTGCCTCCTGGGTTCAAATGATTCTCCTGCCTCAGCTTACTGAGTAGCTGGGACTACAGATGTGCGCCACCACACCTAATATTTGTATTTTTAGTAGAGATGGGGTTTCACCATGTTGGCCAGGATTATCTCCATCTCTTGACCTCGTGATCCGCCTGCCTCGGCCTCCCAAAGAGCTGGGATTACAGGTGTGAGCCACTGCGCCTGGCTGCATGGAGAAGGAATTCTGAAATGGGTTAAGGATAAAATCATCTGCAAGGATTTTAGGCCACTGTGCCAAGCAAGGATAGCGCTTCTGGTGTGGTGAAAAAAGGAATTACGCATGGGCCCTGCCTCGCCCTTTGGAGGACATGCCCCCTCCCTCTTTGGATGCTGCTCCATGTCCCTGGCTCTCTCACTCTTAGAAGTCCCCCCATGGATGGGGACCTGTCTGCAGAAGGCCACAAAGATCCTTCGGAGGGGGATCTAGGGCGGAGGTGGCACAGCATAAGGAGACTTAGGCCAGTTCTGCTACAGGGCTTGGGGTAACAGGTCTCAGGGTCTCCATGCCTCTTGCTACCACCAAAAGGAGAGGACCTCAAATGCCAAGGTCAGGTGCCAGGGGAGGGGAGCAAGGGGGCTGCTCAACATGCAAAGGAAGGCCTTAGGCTGGAGGGGCAGAAAATGTCTCCTTGGTCCACGTGGCCCATCCTGAAGCTCTAAGAATTTGATTCAGCTCCTCAGATGGCAAGAAGATTCCATTCACCTAATGTGCAAATTCTGATTGATTAATAATCTCTGCGTGAAGAAGGAAGATTAGGCCATGTCTAGGCTTAGGGCGAAAGTGTATATATGGTTGGAAGGCCACTCATTCCGGTCTTTATCATTCTAGAGCCTGGTATTTTATATAGCTTAAGAATCATTAAAAATCTTCTCTACAGGTTGAAGGTAGTTTGTCTAGTGGTACCAAGATCCATCAGGTGATTCTTGGAGTGGATCTCAATGTTGAATAACACATTTCCAAATAATCAAAAGGCATATCATCCACATGGACTTTTGCGCATTCATGTGCATCTGTGTATGTTTACACACAGGCATTTATACACACACATACATCCATACATCTTAGATTTTGGATTCTCCCAACCACGGCTCAGTGGACTTACTTGCTGCAGAAGCTGCTTTGCCTTGGTGCCTCCATTAATAGTGAAAACGGTAAAGGGCTCTGGCCCTGGGACCCCATGCACCGTGACTCTGTGAGTCTGCAAACATTTTCTTTCTTCTGTATTAAACATCTGTCAAGAAGATCACATGGCTGATCATTCATCCGTAATCACATATTTCTAAGCTCTATTTGATACAGAGGTGCTAGTACTTAGAAGTACGGATAGGAACATGTAAATGCAAAAGATGAGAGTCCATTTGTAGCCTAGTGCTACAAATGGTACCTCTTCCTCAGTCATTTAGTGAGGGTATTTCATAAGCACATCACCAAAATATTATTTTAAATTACAGTGTCTCTTTCCATCATAATTAGAGGCTGATATTATCTGAAATGTATGTTAGTTCTTACTCATTAACTGATGTTCCATAGTATCTATTGAGTTCCATCTCTCTTCAGGGTACTGGGCTAGAAATTTGGATGGTAATAATAAAATGTTCTGCCTTTAGAGAGTACATCATTCAGGCACATGAATCATTAGAATGCAAACATATATCTGTTAGAAAGAGGTCGGTAAGTGTGTAACTCAATTCTTCGGGCATTTTGTGTATTAAGATATATTCATTTGAAATAAATAATTTATGGAAGGCTTATAGTGAATCAGTCATTATGCCTGTCCCTAGAAAATCAGGGGCAAATGGGACACTATCCCTGCCAAGGGCTTCCAGTTGAATGAGATAGCTAGAGGGGAAAGTAGGCAGTTGTAAAGAGCATTTTAAGTTCCAGAGGAGGTGGCCTAGAAGAGGTAAGGGAGAAACCAGGGAGGGCTTTCTGAAAAATGGTATCTGAACCAAATCTTGAAGGACCTAGTGTAATTTAGCAGATGAAGAATGAGACAAGAGAACCCCAAATTGACGTAACATGTGTATGAAGACTTAGAAATGGCCTACAGCAGGGCATTCTGGGAACCTCAGCAAGTTCTACAACTAACCTGTTGGAGGGAGAAAGGCTGGAGATGCAGGCAAAAGCACAGCCATTCAGGGCTTTGCCTAACTGGCTAAAATTTAGACTGAAACTGGCAAAATGAGGACCTGAGGGCTGAAGTGTATTGTTTAGCATGTACTTAATTTTTATTTGGGGTGGGGAGGAGAGGTTGTCTTTGTTATGCTTGCACAATGTGATTTTTTTAAAATCAGTTTTACTGAAGTATAATTGTCATACTATAAAATGCACACATTCTAATTGTATCATTTAGCTTGCACTATATTATTAATTAAAAAGATTAAATAGTTGCCAACATTTACAAAACCCCAGATGTCCTGATTCTCTTGAAAAACCAAGAGATCTGACGACATCACAAGGCAACAAGCAGCTAGAGCTGAGAGCTAGGTGACAGCTGCCCCTCTAAATGACCCATGAGCTCCCCTCTAAATGACCCATGAGCTCTCTGCTTTCTAAGAGTCTGTGCTCAGCCCAGGTCCATGCCTGCACATCATCTTCTTGGGATCCTCCTGGCATGTGAATTTGTTACTTCTGGTATAAACTATACCCTGAAAGCAATGGAGAACTGATGGAGGGTTTTCCACAGAGGAGTGACATGATCATATTTAGATAGATCTGTTTGGGATGCCCTAGATGAGGACAGACAGAGGTGGCAAACCCAGAGGAAATGAGACCAATTAGGAAGACTCTACCACAAGCCAGGTGAGAATGAACCAGGGCCAAGGCAATAAAGACAGATCAAGATGAATGGATTTGAAAGATACTAAGGAAATAGAATGATCAAGTCTTAAATGGGGCAGAAGGCCAGGATGATCTACAGTTATTGGCTTCAGCAATGGAGAGTGATGCTCTCCATGGTCAAATGCACATTTACCAAGCACATATCCATATATGGCTGCCCAGGAAGCCCAAGGATGGCAAGGTGTGATATAACAAAAAATACATATTTGGTCTTTGTCCCCAGTTTCTGCCACACAGCTCCTAAAACCTTTGAAATCTCTGGAGTGATAAGAGTGTCCTTTGTTGCTAATGAGATGATTGGTGGCTGAGAAAGACCAAGGCATGATTAGAAGGGTGAAACCTTCAGCCCTGCTGCCAGACCTCAAGGAGGGGAGGGGGCTGAAGACTGAACTGATCACCAGTGGCCAATAATTGAACCAATCATGCCCAGGTCATGAAACCTCCATAAAAACCCTAAATGATGGGGTTCCGAGAGCTTCCAGGTTGGTGAACACATCGAGGTTCTGGGAGGGTGGCCTGGAGAGGACATGGAAGCTCTGCACTCCTCCTCCCATACCTTGTTCCATGCATCCTTCCATGAGGCTGCTCCTGAAGTACATCTGTTCTGATCAACTGGTGATAATAAGCAAAGCACTCTTGTGAGTTCTGTGTCATTCTAGCAAACTCTTGAATCTGAGGATTTATATGGATCCCCTGAATTTATAGCTGTTTGGTCAGAAGTCCTGGTGACAACCTGGGACTTCTGACTGGCATCTGAAGTAGGAGTAGTCTTGTGGGACTGAGCCCTCAATGTGTGGGATCTGACACCAACTCTAGATGGATAGTGTTAGAATTGAACTGAAATGTAGGACACCCAGCTGTTGCCAGAGAGTTGGAAAAGACACCATGTTTTTGGTGTCAGAAGTGTCGTGAGTAAAAACAGTTCATTTGTGGCATCTGTGGAATCTTCAGCTGTAACAGATATCGAGGTCACCCAGCTCAGAATTGGGTATTTGGCCCTGCTCTGCCTTTCTGAAAGCATGTGATTCCTGCTCTTTGTACCACGCGGCCCTGCCCTTGCTTGTCAATCCTCTGCACAAGGTGGAAGCCACACCTCCCTCCACTTTGGCCAAAGTGCTCTTCTAAACCTTGGACACATGGTGCAATCGCCTGATGATCCTTAAAAAAACTGATGCCTGGGGCCCACCTGCAGAGACTCTGGTTTAATTGGTGCGGGGTGTGGCCTGTGCACATGGAGTTTTTAAAGCTCCCCAGGTGATACAAATGTACAGTGAAGGTTGCTGTGGAGTGATGAAGGGAAAAAGGAGGAACACCTAAGCAAACAAGGGCAGGGACAGCGGGAGTCAAAACTGATAGTGGTGAGGGCAGGAGAAGGGCAGAAAAGAAAGCAGAAAGTGGCAGTGGAAGCCATCATGGCCAGTGCCATTGTGAGCGCAGAAGGTGCCTTTCCAAAGATTGTTAGGACTACGTTGAGTCTGAGATTGACACAGAAGTAATCACATTATTAAACATGTAAAGGGGGTAACCAATGGATACACTTTTAAAATGTATGTTTAAAGAGGAAGCATAATGGAATTAGCCAGTTAATTAAAGTAGTTGTTTTAAAAATACCTTTTTTAGAGACAGGATCTCATTCTTTGTCCATGCTGGAGTGCAGTGGTGTGATCATAGCTCACTGTAGCCTCAAACTCCTGGACTCAAGCAGTCCTTCTGCCTCAGCCTCCCAGGTAGCTGGGACTATAGGTGCTCGACACTATGCTCAATTAAAACACGTTTTTTAATAGAGATGGGGTCTTGCCCAAGCTGATCTTGAACTCCTGGACTCAAGCTATCCTTCTGCCTTGGCCTCCCAAAGTGTTGGGATTAGAGGCATGAGCCGCTGCACTCAGCCCAGATTCTTACCTAATTAAACCATCCTGCATTAGTGAGGGGGCCATGGTCCAAGTGTCCTCAAACTTTAGTGGGCACTGAGTTTCCATGAGGCACTTGTTAAAAAGCAGATTCTGGCCAGGTGCGGTAGCTCATGCCTGTAATCCCAGCACCTTGGGAGGCCACCTTGGGAGGCCAAGGCATGAGGATCGCTTGAGTCCAGGAGTTTAAAACCAACCTGGGCAATATAGTGAGACCCCATCTCTATAGAAAAACATTATCTGGGCATAGTGGCACACACCTGTAGTCCCATCTACTCAGGAGGCTGAGGTGGGAGAATTGCTTGAGCCAGGAAGGTCGAGGCTGCAGTGAGCCAGGATGGCACCACTGCACTCCAACCTGGGTGACAGAGTGACACTGGGTGACAGAGACACACTGTCTCTGGAAAAAAAAAAAAGCAGATTCTGCAACTATGGCACTTTCTACAGTGTCCTTCTTCCATTCTCAAGGGAGCAGCTTCTGCATCTGCCAAGCACTGAGGTGCAAGTTATGCATCGCCAGCAGAGCCTATTGCTCACTCCAGCCTTGCTCTGCCTGTGACATTTGCCCCTGGACTGCTGAAGAAACAAAATATTTTCCTGGTTTAACCTAAAGTTTCTAGAAGTATTGGAAATGCTTCCTACTAGGCTTCGCATAATAAGCCTCTTCCTCACTTTGTTATATTTGGCTTACTTCCCTGATAGACACTGTAATATATGGGCTTTGTTACTGGAACTTGGGTGTAAATCCTGGACTGCTGCTTGCTAGCTGTGTGACCTCAGATGTACTTAGCTCTACCTTTCTCATCTGCAAAATGGAGATGATACTAAATAGCTACTGCCTGACGTTATTGAGAGGACTGAGTTAGTATATACGTAAAGTGCTTAGTCAGTGCCAAGTGTCAGCCATTATTGTTATTAATTTCCATAGCTACCTAATTAATAACTCACACCGACCACTTTGCTGGGCCACAAAAAAGCCCACCTTCAGTGTAGCAATCCCCATAAATATGTTGAGTGAAACAGAACTTCATTACCGAAGAGGCTGACATGGTATTGCCAGAGGAATTTTCTTCCATCCTTCTGCTGTTAATGAATAAACTAGAAATCTCCAAGACTTCATTGTGAAGGTTTCGCAGCTGAAGATGTCGATATCCTGGAGTAATACAGAATTGGGAAAAGCTTGTTAACCATGGCTACTGAAAAGAAGATGCTCCTGGAAGTCGGCAAATGACAGGTAGAAAGACCTTAAAATGGGCAGGGATGGCAACAGGCATGCAACCAACAGGCGTCTTTTCGCCAAGAGAGTGCTGCCCCCTGAGTTACCCAATGGCAATTAATTTGTCCAAGTACTGTTTCCAACTTAGACTCAAACAGAAAACCTTAAACTCAGACAAAACCTGATCTAGTAGGAAAACCTGATCACTAACAGTCCCTGTGAATGAAGCACTAACAGACTAACAGTCCCTGTTTTACAAATGTTCCATCTTAGAGCAGCTTTAGTGATAATAGAACATTCCCACAATGGAAGATTGGTTATAATTTATGGTATGACTGTAAGTGTAAGTATAGAATGGAATAATACACAGCTGGTAAAAATGGTAATGTACATGTATAGTTATTAACATGAAAGGTTGCTCACTGTATACATTAGTAAGTGAAAACCAGTAAGTTACAAAACACAAAGATTAGTAGAAAGCCTGTTTGTTAAAAATATATCTGTATGCTCATGTGTTACGTACATGGGGAGAGAAACAAAGCCTGCAAGACTTATACACCAAGAGTGACTGTGTTGGAGAGATGGAAAAATGGATAATTAAAAAAAAATTGTTTTTGTTTCTATGTACTTTCTCACATTTCTATAATAACAGTTATGGGTCTCCCCCGACCCTATACTCCCCATTCTTGTGTAGAAGTCCTAACCCTCAGTACCTCAGAATGTGACTATATTTGAAGAGAGGGTCTTTAAAGAGGTAACTAAGTTAAAATGGGGTCCTTAGGGTGGGCCTTAATCCAGTGGGACTGGTGTCCTTATGAGAAGAGGGGATTAGGACACAGACAACATAGAGGGCTGACTGTGTGGGGACCATCTGCAAGCCAAGGAGAGAGGCCCTAGAAGAAACCAAACCTGCCAACACCCTGATCTCAGACTTCCAGCCTTCAGAACTGCGAGGAAATACATTTCTGTGGTTCAGCCACCTAGTCTGTGGTATTCCATGATGGCAGCCTGAGCAGACTAATTAAATGACCACGGGCTACTTGCACACAGAAGAGAAACAGGAAAAGATCACAAAAGTAGGAAACTGTAATGTGTTTGTGAGCTCCAAGGATGGCAGCTTGAGTGTAGCTGGGAGAGGAAGTGTGTACTTAGAATATTGGTGCTCAAAGGAGACCATCAGAGCCAGCACACCTGGAAATATGTTAGAAAGGGAAACTGTCAGTCTTCACCTGAGGCCACTGAATCACGATCTGCATGGTATTACCAGTCCTAGCAGATTCCTGTGCACATCAAAGTTTAAAAACAATGCACAGGCTGAAATTCATCAGAGTGCCACAACAAAGCCAATCTACAAGCAAATAGCTCTAGCCTTTGCCCAGAATTCTCCATTCCCCTCTTCCTGCACCTGAAACCCAGCCCCAGCTTCCAAAACTGGACTTCTGCCAGGCACCGACTCCAACTGCACGGTCACTTATGCCACCACCACACCCGACCCCTCTGACATGTTTCCTCTCCTTATTTCAATCCCTGCTTTCAAACTGCCAGCAGTGCCGTGGGTAGCAACAACCACTGCTCCTGACATCAGCAAGCATGGGTGAGGCTGTACTTTACAAGGGATATTGTTAATACCTCAGATTCTTAAAAAATGTAAAAGAAAAACTTCTTTTGAGATGTGCTTCAAAAGTGCTCCAATTTGTATTTCCTTTTGCTTCTTAATTCAACTTCTTTATAGGAAAATGTCAAACAGAAAAGAGAGAAGAGTATAAGGAAATTCTGGCATCCATCACCTAGCTACAACAATTATTAACATTTGGACAATTTTATTCTACCTCGTTTTAAAGCTTTCAGTGGAATGATTCTCTGAGCAGTTACCGCTGAACTATTGTTTTCCACAACTGCAAAACGAAGAAATACAAGATCTTCGAAGTGAACGTGGAACAGAAACTGCTCGTTCCACATGGGGTTCAGGGTGTTTCGATGGATGGGCTTTGTGCGGAAATGGCAGCTGTCCAGAGGCATGCCCAGGACGTCGACTTCAATGCACGGGCTTCCCATGCTATTACTGGGGCACACATTCTGACCAGAGACAATCTAGGGTGAGGGAGACAAAAGGGATCAAAGTCACCGAGGATAAAAAAGAAAGACAACCTCTGCACCTCACTGCTTCCCTCTGCAAAGGAATCCCAAGAACACTGGAATGGACAAAGTGAATGATGAATAAAACTGTTTAAAAAGTAAGTGATTGTAGGGCTGGGCGCGGTGGCTTATGCCTGTAATCCCAGCACTTTGGGAGGCTGAGGTGAGCAGATCACGAGGTCAGGAGATTGAGACCATCCTGGCCAACATGGTGAAACCCTGTCTCTACTAAAATACAAAAAATTAGCTGGGCATGGTGGTGTGCGCCTGTAGTCCCAGCTATTAGGGAGGCTGAGGCAGGGGAATTGCTTGAACCCAGGAAGCAGAGGTTGCAGTGAGCTGAGATCACGCCACTGTACTCCAGCCTGGTGACAGAGCAAGACTCCATCTCAAAAAAAAAAAAAGTAAGTGATTGTAACTGGGTAATCACACGACTGGAATCATATGAAAAGCCTATTTTGTCAACATCATTCACTTAACTGTAAGCTTTCAACTATCAAAATGTTCAAATATCTTCAAAAACCAAACAAGATGAAGTTAAATTTCTCACAAGAGAAGACTTTATGCAATATAATCATAAATTTGTTACTAATATTCTGTTCAAAATGCCACAGGATTTTATAACTTCAAAATCTTTTTCTTGAATAGTTTCATTTTGGAGCAAGTCACAGACGTGTTAGGAACTAATTCACAGCTTTCTGTAAACAGATAAAACTACCCTCGCCTCTATCTAAAAAATAACAAATAGGAAAGGGGCTACTGCCCTGCTGTCTTAGGGAAAGAGAAAAAGCAGTTTGGGTGGTAGGAAAGTCTGTGAATGGGGTTATCCCAGGGGTTTGGGGGTGTCGTACTTGGAGGGCTGCCTGGCATTCTTCCTGTGGAGAGAGAGAGACAAGATCTAAAGGTGGAAAGAGATGACCAGGTCTCTGTTGTTGTTTTGTTTTGTTGAAACGGAGTCTCACTCTGTCACACAGGCTGGAGTGCAGTGGTGCAATCTTGGCTCACTGCAACCTCCGCTTTCTGGACTCAAGTAATTCTCCAGCCTCAGACTCCCAAGTAGCTGGGAGTACAGGTGTGAACCACCATGCCCAGCTAATTTTTTTTGTTATTTTTTTGTAGAAACAGGGTTTTGCCATGTTGCCCAGGCTGGTCTCGAACTCTTGAGCGCAAAGCGATCTACCCACCTGGGCCTCCCAAATTGCTAGGATTACAGGCGTGAGCCACCGCACCTGGCCAGGTCTGTTTTTAAGAGGAGTCTGTGGAGTTTTGACAATAAGTTAATTAGGTGAAAAGGAATAAGGAAAGGCCCAGGAATGATAAAGGTTAAATTATACGGAGGAAATATACTTAATTGTATTTATATATTGACATGAGTTTGATCTTAGAGCTTTGAAGCCTAACATGAGCTGATCTAACAAAAAGCTCAACTTCCATGGGCTATACTCATAGTTATGATTCTGTGGGCCCTGGAAGACAGAGTTACCATCATCAGAACATCAGGTGAAACAGGGACCTCATATGCCCTGCTCCTGGGCTCTGGCAAACACAGTGTCTGGCAACAGCTTGTCTAGCCATAGCTACTGCTTCCTGGAAAATAAATACATTATTCTGGGAACTAAATCTGTATGACCCAAATTGTGACATGACAGCTTTCCAATGCCTTGAATTCAAAACCAGTTCGTTTTCAGGAAGGCTTAAACCCGACCTTATGTTCTTTCTCTAGGGGCCGTACTTACAGTTAAAGAATAGACTGCAGGATCCATGCTGTCCAGATCTCTTTCTAGTGGAGAAAACTTCTGATACATGGGGCAGTTCTTGTCCCACAGAACTGGAGGTTTCAATACATAACCACAACCACCATTTGCCTCAAACATTGCAGCATTTAAATGTAAAGGGAGATCTGTAAAACAAACAACAAAGAAAGCCAATATAGCTTGTTACTTTGTCGCTTAAGTATCACCTTATAAATTGAAAGTTCAAAAGAACTTTGCATCAATTTTCCCTAAGCTCCAGCATGAAAAAGAGATAATCACCCATTCGTCCCACAGATTGATAAATGACTACTATATGCCAAGTTGTGTGAGGCATCAGATACAGCAGGTAATAAGAGAAAAATTCCTGTCCCTCTGGGGCTTACAGTCTATGGATATGCCCAGTGTTACCACTCCAAACTAGGTGAAATCACTTAAAAACTCCTTTGCAAATATTTGCTACATCTGTCTGAAAAATCTTGTGAAATACAGTTGACCATGGGGGATTGGTTCCAGGACGAGAAGGTACCAAAGTCCACAGATGCTCAGGTCTGTGATATAGATGGTGTAGAATTTGCATTATAACCTATACCATCCTTCTGCATACTTTTTCTTTTTTTTTCCCCTGGGAGCCTAGATTCAAGTTGCCCTGAATATATTCTCCCCCTTCTGTATACTTAAAATCATCTCTAGATTACTTATGATACCTAATCCAATGTAAATGCTATGTAAATGGTTGCCATACTGTATTGTTTAGGGAAAAATAACAAGGAGACAAGGCTGTTATATGTTCAGTGCAGATGCGACCATCCATTTTTTTTAATGAATATTTTCAATCCATAGCTGGTTGAATCCACAGATGTGGAACCCAAGGATATGGAGGGGCAACTCTACTTATTTTATACTAAATTTTAGAAAGGAATAATGGCTTATCTCTAAGCCATGCAGACAATTGTATGGACAATTCTTGCTATTTCAAATGTAAGATAAAATCTTAATTATACAAGAAAGAATAGGAGAATAGCCAGAAAAACATGCTTTTCCTTGAAATCTCAATTTCATCCCATAAATTACAATACACCTATTTCTTTTTAAAAAATCGTAAACAAGAAAAAAAATAATCACATCTGATTCACATCATGTCCACAATCCCCTCAATCATAAACATCAGGAACCTTCACAGAGGCTTTTTTGTTGCCAAATTTTATTTGGCACAGTACTTTGATGAACAATTGGATTCTTGCACTGTTTCTGGGCTCTTACACACTCAAATGCTCACCTGATGGTGCAAGTCTGTATAAAAGTTACCCAAATGAGCAAAAAGTTGATGAGACACACCTGATGAATACTCCCTCTGATAGATTCCTTCCATGTGTAAGAACGAACTCTGTACATGGGCCACATCAAGGCAAAGTGCAGTAAACGCCCTGGGGCAATGAGAAGTTGGCCTCTACTTGTCCTGTCTGTAAAATGTTTCCCTGTCTGTGGGGTTGGCCAGTATTTTGTGCAGGAATTCCTAGTGTAAGATGTCTTAGACATATGAAAGCTCCTTATCTGTAAAATGATTGCAGAGGACCTCATCTCTCAGGCCCCTGCCAGTCCTGATGTGACTGGTTCATTGTGGCCATGCTGCCTCACCTGCATTGGGAGAAAATTCTCTTCTCAGGCCACTTCATGACAGAGGAACACAGACATGGTGAGGGTAGCAAAGAGGGTGAAGCCAGCTAGCTCATATGGGGTTGGTAAAGGTGAAATGGACATACAGTACTAACAACAGCAATGGCAGCTCGCACTCTGCACTCTTACTAAGGACCAGACACCATTCTAAGCACTTTATGTGCATCAAGTACCTCCCAATAATCTATGAAGCAGATCCTTTTAGTATCTCCATTTTTATGGATGAGGAAACTGAAGCAGAAAAAGTGAAAACACCCAAGAAACATAACGAGTAAGTGGTGGATGCTATAAATCGAGCCCAGATGGCCTCACCCATTGTTCCCAATCTTAACTACTGAGCCATATAATGTACATCTTATAGGGGTGTGGATACAGTAAATGAGATTTGGCACATGCAAGGTGCTCAATAAATGGTAACTATTTTTTTTTTGTGATCATGACATCAACCTCAAGTGATTTCAGTAGCACCGTGTCTACCCTAATAGTTTTCCAAAACTTTAAAGCTGTAAAGCCAAAACTCTAAAGCTATTATTAAAACTTTGAAGCTTTTAAAAAATTATTTTATTTTACTGTTTTAAGTTCCGGGGTACATATGCAGGATGTGCAGGTTTGTTACATAGGTAAACATGTGCCATGGTGGTTTGCTGCACCTATCAACCCAACCCCTAGGTATTAAACCCAGCGTGCATCAGCTCTTTCCCCTAATGCTCAGTTTCTTAACTGAAATCTAACTTGGTGACCAAACATGTAAAAGAGATCCACGTAGAGCCGCACGGTTTGAAATAAAGGTCGGACCTCAAATCTAGCCCTCTTGCTGTCCCCTGGACATGGTCCCAGAACTTCATCTGGGGCTATAGTTTAAAAATCATCATTCCAATCAAGTGAAAAAGTGTGCACAAATCAGTGTAACCCTGCTACACCTCTGAAACAATGCACATAATGATAGATAAACATACCATTGCCTTGATGGTCTTCTACCCATTAAAATACTCTGCATTATGTAGACACCATTCACATAATGTTTATCCTTATATTTGAGGATTGGAAGTCTGTCATTCAAAAAAGCTTAATAAATTCTTTAAAAAAAGAAGTTTTTCTTTTGACTAGGGTTGCATGTTTACACATTGTAAGTCTGGGTGTGAGGCGGTATTGTTCTGCCTCAGATGCAAAGAACTTAGAGGGTCTGTTGCCAGCAATAACCAGGGGTTTGCATACCAGCCTCACGTCAGTTTCTAAACTCAAGAGTTGGTTTTATTGAGTGTTGATCTGGGAAACTCCTGGTTCCAGATCACTTCAGACCTTCTTGGAGTTGATGGAACCAGCAGAAAGCTTGGGAAGGGATGGCCATAAGTCCATGGACACCCACTTGGAGCGTTAGAATCCCCTGAAATCCAGGAAGTCACAGAGCAGATGATCCATGAAACCTCTTGGGAGGCTGGCCCTGGGAGGGTTTCTCTGCTATTTAGTTGGGATGCTTCATGGAAAATCAAGCACTTTCCAGCCTGGAAATTCTTTTCAACAATTGAAAAATGGTGCTTCCACTGTTGACTCTTATCGATCTATTCGATCTATCTATCTATATATATAATTTTCTTTTTCTTTTTTTTTTTGAGATAGTATCTCACTTTGTCGCCCAGGCTGAAGTGCAGTGGCGCGATCTCGGCTCACTGCAACCTTTGCCTCCTGGGTTCAAGAGATTCTTTTGCCTTAGCCTCCTGAGTAGCTGGGACTACAGGCATGCACTACCACGCCCGGCTAGTTTTTGTATTTCAGTACAGATGGGGTTTTACCATGTTGGCCAGGCTGGTCTTGAACTCCTGACCTCAGGTGATCCATCTACCTTGGCCTCCCAAAGTGCTGGGAATACAGGCATAAGCCATCGTGCCCGGCCCCTAGCTATGTATTTTTTGAGACAGTGTCTCGCTCTGTCACCCAGGCTGAAATGCAGTGGCACAATCTTGATACACTGCAACCTCTGCTTCCCGCTCAGCCTTCCGAGTAGCTGGGACTACAGGCATACACCGCCAAGCCCCACTATTTTGTTTTAATATTTTTAGTAGAGATGGGGTTTCACCATGCTGGACAGGCTGGTCTCGAACTGCTGGCCGGAAGTGATCCACCCACCTCGGCCTCCCAAAGTGCTGGGATTACAGGTATGAGCCACTGCACCTGGCCTTATCTATCTGTTTGAATTTGCAATTCAGAGAAGTAAACACTTGGAAAAGATCTTGACCAAAAATCAAGAACCACATGTTCATATTGCAGTGGGGCTGACAGAGATAATCTGCCTCAACTCAGAGTAACAAGCATTTACTGAGCATCTACTGTGTGCAAAGTATTAATATTAAATCAGGCTGTACCCCCAGTTTGCAGAAATGAAGACCATTTTTACAGATGAACACACTGATACTGCATGTTGCTTGTATTTTGTCCAACATGGGGAGATGTTTAATCAGCACATTGAATGGAGAGAGGTTATATGATAGCACCTTTTCCCGGTTTGGAAGATTATGCAGAGAAACTTGAGGATGAACCACACAGCACAGCCATTTGAGTGGGACGGCTTAAAGACGTACTCTCAATCCCAACTTGATTTGGAAGAGAGGCAAAGCCTTTAAGGGTCAGTGGAGGACAGGCAGCTTTAGTTTGTACTTCTGGACTGCAGGATGGCCCATGGAGTGGCAGCTCCCTGTGTCCCCTTCACCTGTTGCTCCCTTTTGCTATTCAGTGGAGCCAGTGTGTCTATACCAGTCCTGGCACTTCCAGAGAAAGGGCACATCCAAAACCAAATGCACTTCCATTTCCTTGAGAAAATCTTTTGATAGTGACTTCAGTTTACTTAAAATATGCCGGGATAATAACCAATGGCACCAGGTGGACACAGGACTACAGACAGGGCTGGAGATGTGAACCCACCAGCCACTCAGGAAAGAATGAACAGAAATAGAAAATAAAGTTTTTACAACTTTGAAAGTATTTCACAATTATTTCCATTTGTGAGCCCAAATCATACTGTTTTCATAACTTATCAAACACAATCAATGATAGTTAACCTTTGTAGAATGCTTTCTATGTGCCAGGCACTATGCTAAATATGGTACTTCACCGGCATCATCTTATTTAATTTTAACTGAAAGAAGCACATATAACAAGGGCAGAAATGTGACCAATATCTCTAATCATATGTCTTTGGGGCATCCACCAATGGGTGTTGTTGGCACCAGTGCCAGGTAGCTAGCTGGTCCCAGAGCTAAAGCTGTGGTTTGACCTCAGCTGGAGACAAGGCCATACTGTGGTTTGTGGTTCAGCATGGTTAGATGAGATTGGATTCAGTTCACGCGAGATGAATGATAACAGCTGCCTGCCGCTTGACTGTTCAAAGGAAAAACTGTGGTTTATGAAAGAGCTTTTAGGAAACATTTATCTACTCTTACCTTCTGTAGCTCCTCTCCTCCCCCATAACCAAGTGGAAACATAATGCTTTATCCTTTAAACTTCCAGACTCCTTGAATTTATTACTACAAGTCATCCTGCAACCTTGAACAAATTAACCAATTTGTGCCTTGATTTGCTCATCTGAGAAATGGCGATCATAAAGGTACACAACTTTAGGGCTGTTGTGAATATTAAATAAGATAATAGGGGGTCAAAAATTCAGCGTACTGCCTAATGCACAGTAAGCGTGCAATAAACGGCAGCTTCTACTCTGGAGTTTTAGGCGTCATATCAGAGTCTCATTGACATTGGAGAAACATGATCACTACTTACTCTGTTCATGTACTTCACATAGTTGTTTTCCTTTTGCTAGCTACTCTTCGGGCACTGACCATTATTCTCCATCTCAATTCCAAAAGGATAAGACGCTAACATGGTTTTAACTTGCAAAGTGGTTGGAGTGACACTACCTTTTGACTGCAAGAACAACTGCGTAGTGAGACAGGTTAACTGGGCAGTGTTAGGAAATCCCTGCTCCAAAAAGAGCTTTAAACATAAACCGGGCATGGCTTTGTCAAGAGCAGCTTGGTATTTGAAAAACTGCATTAAAAAAGGGGCAGGACCAGGAGACCTTACAGGCCCCTTCAAGATTCTTTTCTATCACCTTAATCTGAAACATCGGAGGCACAATTCAGTATCAAATTCACTTCTGTTTTCCATCATCATATTTTTACTCTCACATATGGTGTGCCCCAGTCTGGAATCTTGCCCCTTTGAAAAAATGCTGTCAAACTGCATTTACTGAAATGTAAGATGCAAAGGAGCGAGGTGAGCATGCAGGCCCCTTACCATCAGTCTGGTAGTTGAGTGCCACAAGCTGTATCCCATGGAGCCAGAACATGAGGGGGTTCGGGTTGGAAGAGTCGATGCGGGTGGCAGCAGGGTAAGTTCTCAGCAGCTGACAGGCGGTGTGCTGGGTCAGTTTCTGAGAATACCTGCGACACAGACGTTTGGCGGCATTTTCATTCAGCGACGAGATATGATAACATTTGGGAGTTCTAATGATAGCACTGAGGGACGTGGTTGGGTTGAGAGGGGAAGAAGATTCCTCCCAGGTCTGTCGAATGCCTTCACAGGAACCTAAACCCCCCAAGAAATTAGCCGCAGATTAGTGTAGAAAACTTTAAATATTTTAGAAAGATAAACCTGAACAACATCCCAGTAAACAGTCATAGCATATAAACCACATCAGAATACCTCTTGGATTTTACTTGTGAGTTAGTTCGCCACTTTAAAACAACATGGTGGCTACTTAGTTTTAAAATGAGTGTGGTGGCTGGGTGTGGTGGCTCATTCCTATAATCCCAGCACTTTGGGAGGTCAGGGTGGGAGGATTGCTTGAGCCCAGAAGTTCAAGACCAGCCTGGGCAACATGGTGAGAGCCCATCTCTACAAAAAGTAAAAAAATAAAATAAAACCAAACAAAAAACCCCACACAAGAAACAAAACAAAATGAATGTAGCAACATCAATTTAAATTAAAAGCCTAGAAGTCCTTTGCCTCAGTACTTCATTTGGGTTGTGGTATATTTGCACAAATAAACAATATATGTACAAGGATATTCACTCCAGCATTGTTTTTCATAGGAAACAACAAAATCAAACCAAACCAAGAAGCAACCCAAATGTATCAGTGAAGAAGTGATTCCATAAATGACAGTATATCCATGCAGTGGACCACCACACAAGCATTAAAGAGAATAAGGAAGCTATATGTACAGAAAATTATGTGAAAAGTTATAGCAAATATAAAGTTATACATGTATGTTTGGTTATACAGGCATACCTTGTTTTATTGTGCTTTGTTTTATTGCACTTTGCAGATACTGCACTTTTTTTTTTTTTTTTTTTTTTTTTTTTTTTTTTTTTACAAATTTAAAGTTTGGGGCAGGCCTGCCTCCAGCAAGTTTATTGGTACAATTTTTCCAACAGCATGTATTCACTTTGTGTCTCTGTGTCACATTTTAGTAATTCTTGCAACATTTCAAGCTTTTAAACATTATTATTATATCTGTTATGGTGATCTGTGACGAGTGATCTTCGATGTTTTATTGTAATTGTTTTGGGGTGCCATGGACCATACCCATAAGATGGTAAACTTAATTGACAAATGTGCGTGCTCTGACTGCTCTACCCACCAGCCCTTCACCCATCTCCCTCCCTCTCCTTGTGCCTCACGATTCCCTGAGACACAACGATACTGACATGAGGCCAATTAATAACCCTACATTGGCCTCTAAATGTTCAAGTGAAAGGGAGAGTCACACGTTTCTCACTTGAAATCAAAAGCTAGGCTGGTCACGGTGGCTCATGCCTGCAATCCCAGCACTTTGGGAGGCTGAGGCGGGTGGATCACCAGAGGTCAAGAGTTCGAGACCAGCCTGGCTAACATGGTGAAACCCTGTCTCTACTAAAAATACAAAAATTAGCCAGGCACACGCGCCTGTCATCGCAGCTACTCAGGAGGCTGAGGCAGGAGAATCGCTTGAACCCGGGAGGTGGAGGTTGCAGTGAGCTGAGATCGCGCCACTGCACTCCAGCCTGGGCAACAGGGTGAGACTCTGCCTCAAAAAAAAAAAGAAAGAAAGAAATAAAAAGCTAGAAATAATTAAGCTTAGTGAGGAAGGCATGTCAAAGGCCAAGACAGGTTGAAAGTTAGGCATTTTGCGATAAACATTTAGCTAAGTTATGAATGCAAAGGAAAAGTTCTTGAAGGAAATTAAAAGTGCTACTCCAGTGAACACACAAATGATAAGGAAGCCAAACAGCCTTATTACTGATATGGGGAAAGTGTTAGTGGTCTGGATAGAAGATTAAACCAGCCACAACATATTTTAAGCCAAAGCCTAATTGAGAGTAAGGCCCTGAACTCTCTTCTGTTTTATGAAGGTTGAGAGAAGTGAGGAAGCTGCAGAAGAAAAGTTGGAGGCTAGCAGAGGTTGGTTCATGAGGTTTAAGGAAAGAAGTCATCTCCATAACATAATATCAGCAAGTACTGATGGAGAAGCTACAGTAAGTTATTCGTAAGTTCTAGCTAAGATCATTGATGAAGGTGGCTACATTAAACAACAGAATTTTTTTTTTTTTTTTTTTTGAGATGGAGTCTTGCTCTGTCGCCCAAGTTGGAGTGCAGTGGTGCGATCTTGGCTCACTGCAAGCTCCGCCTCCCGGGTTCACGCCATTCTCCTGCCTCAGCCTCCTGAGTAGCTGGGACTACAGGCACCCGCCACCATGCCCAACTAATTTTTTTTTTGTATTTTTAGTAGAGATGGGGTTTCACCGTGTTAGCCAGGATGGTCTCGATCTCCTGACCTTGTGATCCACCTGCCTCAGCCTCCCAAAGTGCTGGGATTACAGGCATGAGCCACCACACCCGGCCAAACAACAACTTTTTATTGTAAATGAAACAGCCTTCTATTGGAAGAAGATGCCACCTAGGACTTTCATAGCTAGAGAAGATAAGTCAATGCCTGGCTTCAAAGAAAAGGCTGTCTCTCTTGTTAGGGGCTAATGCAGCTGGCGACTTGAAGTTGAAGCCAATGCTCATGGACCATTCTGAAAATCCTTAGGGCCCTTAAGAATCATGCTAAATCTACTCTGCCTGTATTCTATAGATGGAACAACAAAACCTAGATGACAGCACATCTGTTTACAGCATGATTTTTCATGTCTGCTAACACAGTATCCAGTCTGCAGCCCATGAACAAGGAGTAATTTGAACTTTTAAGTCTTATTTAAGAAATAAATTTCATAAGGCTAAAGCTTCCATAGGTTGTGATTCCTCTGATGGATCTGGTGAAAATAAAATGAAAACCTCCTAGAAAGAATTCACCATTCTAGACGCCCTTAAGAGCATTCATGATTCATGGGAGGAGGTCAAAAGAGCAACATTAACAGAAGTTTGGGAGAAGTTAATTCCAAACTTCATGGATGACTTGGAGGGGTTTAAAACCTCAGTGGAGGGAGTAACTGCAGATATGGTGGAAACAGCAAGAGAACTAGAAGTATAGCCTGCAGATGTGACTGAATTCCTGCAATTTCGTGATAAAACTTGAATGGATGAGGAGTTGCTTCTTAATGGATGAGCAAAGAAAGTGGTTTCTTGAGATGGAATCTACTCTTGGCGAAGATCCTGTGAACATTGTTGAAATGACAACAAAGGATTTAGAATATTTCATACATTTAGTTGATAAAGCAGCAGTGGGGTTTGA
This sequence comes from Homo sapiens, assembly GCF_000001405.40. Taxonomy (NCBI): domain Eukaryota; kingdom Metazoa; phylum Chordata; class Mammalia; order Primates; family Hominidae; genus Homo; species Homo sapiens. Next base: position 94,295,248 of record NC_000010.11, on the reverse strand, counting down.
GAGGTCTGACCCCAATTTTGAAAGTTCTACCATGGCCGGGCGCGGTGGCTCACACCTGTAATCCCAGCACTTTGGAAGGCTGAGGTAGGCAGATCATGAGGTGAGGAGATCGAGACCACCCTGGCTAACATGGTAAAACCCCATCTCTACTAAAAATACAAAAAAAGTAGCCGGGCGTGGTGGTGGGCTCCTGTAGTCCCAGCTACTCAGGAGGCTGAGGCAGGAGAATGGCGTGAACCCGGGAGGTGGAGCTTGCAGTGAGACAAGATCTTGCCACCGCACTCCAGCCTGGGTGACAGAGCAAGACTCCGTCTCAAAAAAAAAAAAAAAAAAAAAAAAGTTCTATCATGAGTAAAATGCTATCAAACAGCATTGCATGATACAGAGAAATCTTTTGTACAAGGAAGAGTTGGTTGATGTGGCAGACTTCACTGTTGCCTTCTTGTAAGAAACTGCCAGACACCCTAGCCTTCAGCAACCACCCCCCTGATGAATCAGCAGCCATCAACGTTGAGGCAACACCCTCCACCAGCAAAAATATTACAACTTGCTACAGGCTCAGATGATTGTTAGCATTTTGTATCAATAAAGTATTTTCTATTGAAGGTATGTACATTTTTTTGACATAATGCTATTGCACACTTAATAGACTATGGTATAGTGTAGACATAACTTTTATATGTACTGGGAAACGAAAAAATTAATGTGACTCATTTTATCGTGATATTCACTTTATTGTAGTGGTCTGGAACCGAACCTGCAATATCTCCGAAGTATGCCTGTATCCCATTTGGATTATCTTAAAAAGGATCTTATTTTTCTTGAACAAAACACAATAAATTTAATAGTGGTTACTTCTGGAGAATAGCACCAGGACATTGAGTGGAAAGGAATTTTAATAATACTCTGTATTGTTTGAGTTTTTAACTACAAGAATTTATTACTTTCATAATAAAAAGTAACTAGAAATAAAATAGCCATATCTTCTGGAGTTATAATGGTGAAGAGAACAGCTCCAAGAAACCACTAGAATGTTCCAAGAATGTTCCAAGGTGCCTCTAATTTTTACTCGTGAGGCAAACACTGTTCAAACATCTTCAGTGAAATGTTATTTTTATTTTTTAATTTTTTAATATTTTTTTGAGACAGAATCTTGCTCTGTCACCCAGGCTGGGGTACAGTGGTGCGATCTCAGCTCACCACAACCTCTGCCTTCCGGGCTTAAGCGATTCTCTTGCCTCAGCCTCCCTAGTAGCTGGGATTACAGGTGTGCACTACCACACCCGGCTACTTTTTGTATTTTTAATAGAGATGGCGTTTCATCATGTTAGCCAGACTGGTCTCGAACTCCTGACCTCAAGTGATCCACCTGCCTTGGCCTCCAAAAGTGCTGGGATTACAGGCATGAGCCACTGTGCCCAGCCTGAAATGCTGTTTTTAGTACGTTAAAAGTGTAAGTTAGCAATTACAAAAATTTATACTATACTCAGACAATATTAATGTTCAGGAAAAAGAATTAAAAAATTCAAGGGAAGTGCTTAGACAGTAAAATATCTAAATCATCCAGCATGCAGAATCAAGCAAAGATATTGTAAGAAAGTGACTTTACTTTTTCCAGATGTTTTGTTAAATGATGCTGTCTCCCCTGGGCTCATTCTGCCCGGATTGTTGCCAAAAATGGACTTCCTGCTTTTCCTTTCTTTTCCTCTGCTAGAGCCAGATGCATTTAGAGTTGACAGTCCTGTTCCCATAAAATGAAAATAAATAAGCCAAAAACTACAAGCAAGGCAACTCAACATTTTCCATCCCCATTAATATTTATTTTGAAGTCCTACTACTCCCTTGGAACCTAGTACAGAAACCCTACTGGCAGTTTTTGTTCTGTTAATAATAGCATTGTAGGCAATTAAAGCAAAGTTTTAAAAATCTCTATAGGCAAATGCAACAAGAACTGCATGCTTATCACAGAATGACCACAAAATCACACACACACTTAGCTGATTGTGCATCAGAAAGATTTTGAAAAACTGCATGAAAAGAAGGTGCTGTGGCCAGAAATGATCAGTGGCTAATTATTTAATTTGGAGAGATGAAGGAATGGCTATTACTTGGGTTTTAGTGTCATAGTGTCTAGGTTCAATTCCTGCTGATATTAGCCTTGACATAACACCTCCTTCTTTGGTCCTCAGTTTCCTTATCTACAAAATGTGTGTAATGATAGGAACTCACTCATATGGTTACTCTGAAGATGGGAAATATGGTGATAATGATGTTTATGGCTTCTCTTTCTCACTCCTGGTCTAACAACTCCCTGGATGCTTCATGCCTGGCACAGTGCCTGGTGCAGAGCAGGAACTGAATACATATTTGCTGAAAGAGGAAATGAATGCAAACCACATAGACCTGGCTCCAATGTAAAAAGAGTGAGCTGAAGGCACCAGTGAGGCCAGAATTGCCTCCAAATTGTTCCCACTGTCATAACTGTACCTTTGGAGAGTAATTCCCTAAGCTGAAGCAGCATTCAGGAGGTCGTATTTCAGATGATAATACACATTCCAAGAACATCATCAGAGGAGACAGGATAGAGTAGTGTTTAAGAGCATAGACTTTGGAGTGAGACAGCTGGATTTAAAATCTGTTCCTAGCAGGGCAATCTCACACAAGTTACTTAACCTCTCTAGAACACTCCCTCCTCATCTGTAAGTGGGCTGTGGTTAGGAATAAACAAGATAATATACATATACAGGCTGAATATCCCTTATCTGAAATGCTTGGGACATGAAAGTGTTTCAGATTTCAGATTTCTTCGGATTTTGGAATATTTGTATCATACTCACCTGGTTGAGGATCCCCAGTCTGAGAATCCAAAATCCGAAATGCTCCCATGAGCATTTCCTTTGAGTATCATGTCAGCGTTCAAACAGTTTTGGATTTTGGAGCATTTTGGATTAGGGATGCTCAACTTGTCCATACTTAGTAGTGTGTCTTGTTCAGGGAAGTGCTCAGTCCATAGTAGCTGTTATTATTATAGCTTAATGTGGGGCTTCTAAGGTTTTCTTTTACCTCCAAAGTATTCATAATAGCAAACATGCACAAACTTAGACTATTGAGTTCTCATACCTTGATCTTAATATTTGTGTACATTTTGCTCTTGACACAATTACTTAATAATGGATTTTCTCCCAAGTAAAACTGATGAGGGACCAGTGGGGAGGGGCTCTGTTCATTCTGGACTTTTGCCTGTATCCTGCCACATGTCAATATCTTCTACCAGAATGTGGGTACTTCAGTGAAGAGCCTGGTTATTCTTTTGGGATGGGGAGGGGAAGAATGTAAACAAGGGCTGAGTGATCAAAGAAGGGGAAGGATTTTGAATTGTGAGAAGGGGCCCAGAAAAATAATGAAGAAGCAACAAAGAACCTTCATCTACCCCGTTGGCTCACTTACCGATAACAACATTTCCAGAAAGCTGGGATTACAGGTGTGCACCACTAATTTTTGTATTTTTAGTAGAGACGGCATTTCACCATGTTGTCCAGGCTGATCTTGAACTCCTGACCTCAAGTGATCCACCCACCATGCTCCCGACGATGTGCTAATCACACTAGATACTTTATTGCTACTTTTTACAGCAATCCTTTAAGTTAGGACTGTTACACCCCTTTTACAGATAGGGAATCCCAGGTGCAGAGCAGCTATAATACATAACTGTTCAAGTCAAGGTCATGGAGAGACAGAGCTGGGATTTAAATCCACATGGTTAGCCTGGTGGCTGCCTCTCTTCCTCAGCTGAGTCTCTAGTTAATTTTAGGGTCTTCCTCTCATCTGTGTTTTTACTTGTGATTGTGAATAAGAATGCTTATTTTAGATATAGATGTTGGAACATCTGACATGACTAAAGCTTCGAGATGGAAGTTTGAGCAGAAGCCATCTAGGTATTTAGGAATACACCAACTCCAGAACCAGATGCAGTGGTGCACACCAGTAGTCCCAGCGACTTGGGAGGCTGAGGCAGGAGAATCGCTTGAGCCCAGGAGTTTGAGGCCAGCCTGGGCAACTTAGCAAGACTCTGTCTCTAAAAAGAAAAAGAATTACTTAAAAAAAAAGAATAAATTGACTCCAGTGCATATGATGGTATCTTCCTTCAGAAATCCTAATCTGTCTGGAAGCTTTGAAATCAACTCCCTAACTAGACAAGCGATGTACAGTCATTAGCCATATAGCAACATTTAGGTCAACAGACCACGTATATGATGGTGGTCCCATTTAAGATTGTACTGGAGCTGAGAAATTCCTATCACCTTCTGCTGTCCTAACATCCATAGCATAACACATTACTCAAGTGCTTGTGATTAGATTGGTGTAAACAAATCTGCTGCACTGCCAGTCATATAGAAGTCTAGCACATACAATTATGTACAGAACATACTTGGTAATAATAATAAATATGTTACTGGTTTATATATTTACTATACTTTTTATCATTATTTTAGAGTATACTCATTCTACATTACATGTGTATATATGTGTGTGTGTATATATATATATACTTTTTTTTAAGTTACATATATATATATATGTTAACTGTAAAACAGCCTCAGGCAGGTCCTTCAGGAAGTATTCCAGAAGAAAGCGTTGTTATCATGGGAGATGATAGCTCCATGCTTGTTATTGTCCCTGAAGACCTTCAGTAGGACAAGAGGTGGAAGTGGAAGACAATGATATTGGTGATCTTGACTCTGTGTAGATCGAGGCTAATGTGGGTGCTTGTATCTGTTTTTAATAAAAAAGTTTAAAAAGTAAAAAAATAAAAAATAAAATGAAGTAAAAAAAATTAAAAATAGAGAAAATCTTACAGAATAAAGAAAGAAAATGTCTTTGGCTGGAGTCACAGAATGGGAAAAAAAAAAAAGGAGAAAAATAAGAAAGAAAATGGCCGGGTGCGATGGCTCATGCCTGTATTTCCAGCATTTTGGGAGGCCAAGGCAGATCAGTCCAGGAGATCAGCTTGGGCAACATAGTGAGACCCTTGTCTCTAAAAAAAAAAAGAAAAATTAGCCAGGTATTGGTGGCACATGCCTGTAGTCCTAGCCACTCAGAAGACTAGGGTGGGAGGATCACTTGAGCCTGGGAGTTCAAGGTTACGGTGAGCCATGATTCCACCACTGCACTCCAGCCTGGATGACAGAGCAAGGCCAGGTCTTTAATTAAAAAATAAAAATAAGATAAGAAAGAAAACATTTTTATACAGTTGTACAATGTGTTTGTGTTTTAAGCTAAGTGTTATTACAAAAGAGTCAAAAAGTTAAAAAAATAAAAATTTATAAAATATAAAGTTACAGTAAGCTAAGGTTAATTTATTTTTGAAGAAAAATTTTTATTTATAAATGTAGTGTAGCCTTAGTGTACAGTGTTTATAAAGTCGATAGTCATGTACAGTAATGTCCCAGGTCTTCACATTCACTCATCACTCACTCACTGATCCACCTAGAGCAACTTCCAGTCTTGCAAGCTTCATTCATGATAAGTGCCCTATACAGATGTACCATTTTAAATCTTTTATGTCATAATTTTACTGTACCTTGTCTGTTTAGGTATGTTTAAACGCACAAATACTTATCATTGTGTTACACTTACCTACCGTATTCAGTGCAGTAACATGCCGTACAGGCTGGTAGCTTAGGAGCAACAGGCTACACCATCTAGCCTAGGTGTGTAGCAGGCTACACTGTAGCTTTGTCTAAGTTCACTCTATGATGTTTCACACAATGACAAAATAATCTAATGAAGCATTCTCAGAATGTCTCTCCCTGATTAAGTGATGCATTACTGTAAATATAATCAGTGCTAGGCTTTCTTCTGGATGCTCTCCCAGAGACATCAGAGGATTCAACATATTGGCACTGCTAAAATCAGGAGAGAAGCTGAGTCTGGGGATGGTCCGAGAGCCACTCAGGGTCACACGGCTACTTTTCCTTCCTGAGTGCCTTGCCTGCCATGCTCTGCAGGGCCTCATCTTACCCAGTCACTATAGGTCCGAAAAGCTGTGTTCACTGGTTTTGCAAGATATTGGGAGGCACCGAGGGTAATTAAGTTTCAGTGAACAGGGCTACCTCTCAGTGGTGTGTTGGTTGACATTCTCCCGAGAGTTCTGTTCCAAGCCCTCTCATTTCTTGAAATGCATCCCTTTGCCCTCCAAGGTGTTCCAACCTGCAGCACTACTGTGGGTCTGAGTAACCCAGAACAGCCATGGGGGATGGCCAAGGCTCTCTGTGGGGGAGGCAACTCTCAGTGCCAGGGACCTACACCCAGCTAGCCCAAAGCTGTCCAAGGCAGCAGGGTTCTACTTTTGTCATTCAAATGGCTTGTTAGCAAACCACTGTTTGATGAACAAAGCTTGTCTCTCAGTGCTGAGAAAATGACAGTGTGTGTCCAGGGAATGGACTGACACTTGCAAGGCTCTCCCCATGTGGCTCCTTCAGTGTAGGAATAAAAATGAGCCCTGGAAGTCACAGAATCTTCCGGACGAGCCTCACCATGGAATCCCTGGGCACCTGCTCTGTGGACTGTGTGGTGGATCCAAAGGAGAATGAGGCAAAATCCCCCTCAGAATCAGACTTCCAGATCATCTGGCTCTACCTGCTCCTGAATTGCCTGCCTTAGAAACCCAGGGACCAGGACCTCCCAGTGCCTTCCAAATGTAAATCCCTGGTAGAGAGGCCTGAGACTGGGTATGTTAATCAAGTGGCCTGGGTGATTCTGGAGATTTCAGCAAGTGTAGTAAACAAGGATTCTAGTCAACTCCACTTTTGAGTGAGAAAGGCTCAGAGAGATTTGCCTTGGCCAAATCACAAAGCATGGTAGCCAAGAGCCCAGGTCTCTGACCCACGATCTTATCTGATGATCTTGTCACCACTGAATAATTTTTGTCTTACAGGGTTGTAATCTTTTAAGCTATGGGTATGTCAAGGCATACAGAGCAGCGTAATGGACATTGGAGACTCAGAATGAGAGTGGGAGGGAGGTGAGGGATGAAAAACTACCTGGTGGGTATGACTTACACGACTTGGGTGACAGGTGCGCTAAAATCCCAGACTTCATCACTATACAATTCATCCATGTAACCAAAAACTACTTGTACCACTAAAGCTGTCAAAATAAAAAAATTCAAAATAAAAGAACAAGGTTGCACTCCTAACTGTGGAACAACTGGGTATCTAGGAGGTACCCAAACATATGCCTATAAATGAAGGAGCTCCAGAAAGGAGATGTCACAATGAGTTGAAGAGTCTCAGATACTTTCCAAGGACCCCGTCCTTGGAATTTGGAATGGGGCCAAGGGGAGAAGGAAGGCCAGGCAAGGTTGAGAACACTCTGAGCAATGGCCTGGCACTAGAAAGACGGCAGTGTATGTAGGTGCCTGAGGAGAGTGGGGGATGCAGGGGAGCTTGTGGGAAGATATTGGAAACTAGGTTGATGGGGTCATAAAATAAAAATACCATATCCTTTTTTTTTTCTATTAGAAGGAGAAAAAAACCCAGGACAATAGAAGTACTAAATGCAACCGAGAAATAAACCCTAAGAGAAAGCAGGTCGAAAAAATTCAACTACTTCCATAGTGTGGTGCAAAGAGCCCACCCCTGGGAGCTGACAGGAATTCTGGCTCTTGCCCTGCCACTGACCTAGCTTCTGATGGTGGGGAAGTTCCTTCCTTTCTGTGGGCCTCATACCACATGATTGTTGAGTGCCTCATTGCAATGAAGGGTTTTTTTTTTTTTTTTGCATATGGCTTGTAAGAAGGGACTTGGGATGATGAAAGGTGACATACACTGAAATTGATAATGTAGCAAAATTAAAATAAACGGCATAGCAAAATGAACAGTTTATAGTATTTTCCTCATGTGCATCAAACAAATGATTGTAAAAAGAAATATTTAGAAGGTATTATAACAATCATTCTGGCAATCCAATTTAGCTATTTTGAGACAGGAAATAAAATCAGGGAAAAAATGTAAGAAATTTCATTTTTCTAAAGAGAAAATACACTATACCTATGAAGAAATGTATGCTATGTGAACACTTTTAAAAAACAACATACTTGGAATTTTTAAAATAAGCCGAACAACCACATGCTTAGAAGCTCTATCACATGACCTCCTGATCTTCCACGATTCTCTACTGGTACAGAGACTTTATCTTTCACACAGACTTCAAATATCTTTGGGAATTTGTGCTCCTTATTTACTGAGTGCTTGAGAAGAAAAGACAAAGCCAGTGGAATGGTCCGAGTGTGGCATCCGCTGCATTTATAAAGAATAAGAGCTGCAGTGGGTGTGATTCTTGGACAGAGTGGCGCTCATCCTTGTTCCTGCAATGAAGGACATGCCAGCCTCCAGGCTCTTTGACAGGTAAAGGGTTTTACTCCATCAGAAAAAGAGTTTTGCCAGTTGCAAATAATGGTCATATTGTACTTATATGCCATGAGGTCATGGTCTGTGAAATTAAACTTAAATGGCCAGGTTCCTGCATTTCTCTGAAATCTTTGCTGGCTACTTATTGATTCATATCCTCCTCAACAGGATTTGCTAGCAGACAAGCAGTAGCAGCTGCCAAAAGTTTAAAAACAGCTTATAGGAGAAAACTTACAATTAAAATGATTTTAATATCATGAAATATATGATTTTTATCATATCATTAAATAATATGATTTTTTTTACTCTGATGTGTGAAAAGCTCACTATTACCTAACTGTGATTTTAAAAATTTAATTATTATTTTTTAGAGATGAGGTCTTGCTATATATCTTGCCCAGGCTGGGCTTGAACTCCTAGACTCAAGCATTTCTCCTGCTCAGCCTCCCTGGTAGCTGGGATTACAGGCACGCACCACTACACCCAGTTTGCCTAATTTTTAAATAGCCCAATGCCTCTGGCCCATTTGTCAGGCACTGTGTGAGACCAGGTGCTTAAGATATGCTCTGGGAGGGACCTGAGTTCAGCCCATCTTGAAAAGATGAGGGCATTTTAGTGCCTCTCTCCAGGCCAAGTCTATAAATCCTGTTTACTAACATTTAGACTGATCCTCCTATCTCAGCCACTTTCCTGTTCTCAGAAATTATATTCAAGAGAATCCTTTTTCTTAGTATGAGGAGATGAATTTTTCTGAGTTCCATGTACTTAGGGACTTTCTTGTTTGTCTTCTACCCCCTGGTGCCCCATTTGTGGGACACATAATTGAGTACCTCATTGAAAACAGCCCGAAACAAGAGAGGCCAGGCAGTATAACGGGTAAGGGCAGGACTTTGGAGACAGACAGGCTTCAGAGCCATAGGTCTACCATTCATTAATTGAAAAGGACACTGTTTTTGGAAAGTGGTTCATCAGCCTGTCCACTGTACTTCTAAAAACGGTCAATTGGGGGAAATCTCTCCTTCCACTTCAACGCCATCCTTGGTCCTTGTGGTTTGGGTGGGGCCTTGCTACCCAGCTCAGAGTGGAGAATGTGACATGGGATCCAGACCATCAGAGCACTGCATCTCCTGGCCACAGTGATTGGTAAAGGACCCAATGAGAAACAATGACACTTCTGCGGGAAGTTCTGGAAGAGACTCTTACACTGAAGCTGAAACTGGAAGCATGTAGTGCTGGCCTGCTGTAGCCGTCTCGCAACCAGAAGGGAATAAAGGGGAGAAAGCCAACATGATGGAGGCGGAATGAGAAATGAGGAAAGAGAAAGCATGTACCTTGGTTAAGCTATACCTGAAACCTGTGTGTCTTCATTTTTAAGCACATGAGTCAATAAAGTTCCCTTTACTTAGGTCAATTTCTGCCACTTTCAAACAAAAGAATCTTGACTGATATACTCTGAAACTTGGGGCAAATTACTTCATCCCTCTCAGACTTTATTTTAAAATGGAGATAATACCGCCTACCTTGTAGAATCATTATGAACGGTAAAGGAGATGTACGTAAAATAGCACAAATCCTAGTACTTAAGTATTTAATACATTTAGCAATTAGAAATTATGAGTATTATAACTTTTATAATTATTAACTATTATAAAAAGACATTGTGTGACCTGAAAAATGAATACTTTATGGTATTTTTCTTCATGAGCATCAAGGCAAATTATAATAATAAAGATATTTAGGAGGTATTATAACAATGATTTCAGCAACACAATTTAGTTATTTTGAGAGTGTTCACAATGCCCAATTAAATAAATGGCATATTTTTAACCTTTGATATCTTTAAAAGTTATAGATGATATTGCCTAATCTTACCTGGAAATTTTACTGCTTGACAATAGATTACAAGGTCAGAAAGCTCTGGTGCAATCTGTCTGCTTTCCTTTTTATTCTGATCAAGATAAAATTCTTCTCCCAGTTCCATATCATAAACCTGGTAAGGGAAAAATGATACCATTTTACATGGAAGGTATATGCTACTCACCTCTGGATTCCCAAAGCTCTTTTATCTGTCCTCCTCTGGTGTTATTACTGTATTTCCCCTTGCATGGTAATTATCCATATACATGTCCCAACAGCTTTCCTAGAGTAAAAGCTTTCTGAGGGCAGGAGGTGAGTCTAATTCATCCTCCATCTTCCCTCAGTGCATGGTCCACTGTCTTACATGTGGAATGGTCAATAAATCTTTGTTAAATAAATAGAGGATTGACTATGTATCTTCCGTGGCTCAAATTTTTGACATATCTTACAATTCCATTGTCCAACAATGTCACTGCAACTGCGTCTAAAGATTTGCTCAGAGTCTATAAACTGTGAGGCACTTGAGGATAGGGTCTGGGTATCTCATTTATCTTCCTATTCTCAGTGTCATTCCTCTGCTATCTGGCCCGTTTATCTTCTTGGTCATCCCAAATGCCTTTAAAACTTCTTGCAATTCCCTGGACATACCAGGCTGCCCTCTTGGCCCGAATGTTCTGTTTTTGTCTGTTTAGCCAAATCTTCCTTCTGAAACCTCATCTTCCCTGAGAGCCTGTCCTTGATTCTCTGATAACACAGTATAATCACTGTTCTATGCACTTACATTCAACACAGTTGACATGTCTGCCTTCATCACTAAACCACCTCTGTGCCACTTCAGTACCTGCCACACATACACCATTAGTAGGTATTGGCTGGATGAATCAGTGACTAACTTTCCACAAATGGAAGGTGGGTGTCTTTTAATATCACCAAGTGAACTTTGGCAGGTATCTAAGGGAAAGTGAGGGGAAAGGTGAAAGGGAGGGACAGGGAGCAAGTGGAATCTCATCTGAAACTGACAAGAGTACCACATGGTCAAAGTGTCATTTAACAGAAACCGTTCACCCACCTTTCCTTTGTTGCAAGCAGAGTTATCTGCTTTCTTTATCCTCTTTGGGATTTCTTCATTATATTCAAACTGAAGCTTGTCATTACATGATTTATTTTCAGGTCTGTCTTCCAGAATGTTGTCTGAAAATAAGTTAGCAGACTTCAGTGAAAACGAACCCAATGCTTCACTTAAGAGCTACATGTGCATCACTGTGAGGACATCCAGATACTTGTACTTATCTATAAGAATGAGGCTCTAACTATATAGTATGTTAACAAAATGATGGCTTGAAGCATAACTGTAAAAATTGGGTTGATGCAGTTATTTTCAATTTAATTGATTTATTTACCAGTAGTTTTTGTCACTTATATACATAATTTAAATGATTCAAAATAATCTGGCATATAGACATAATCTAAATGAAGATGCCAATTTTCATACAGATGATTGGAACTGTGCAAATATTATGGAAGATACCCCGTGTCAAGAAGCTGACAGCACACACGTTTGGGAAGGATTTAGTGGCTGAAGCACTTCTAGAAGGTACATACATGATTGACTCACTCTCACTTTGAAATGAAGCTATTTACTTCTTTTACCTTGAGAAATGCCAAAACCTAGGGGGAAAGACTTATTATTGGGTGCAATGCAAAGTCTTCACAATTATAATTAAAAAGTAAAGTTTTCATGATTGTTATTAATTTACTAAGTGATAATCATAACAGAAAATAAAATATATCTGAATATTATATCATAAGATATAATCTTATATTTTGCTCTTTTTTTGCTTTTCTATTTGGAATGACTCTAAAGGTATTAGAAGTGTATCGTGATGATGACCTTTTAAAATGAAAAACAAGAAAGCTAATTTCTCACTCAAGATTTAGTATCGCATCATCAGAGCACAAACGATTAGACCAAAAGGACCTTATACCAAATCAGGGCCATGCAGGCTGACAAGAAGTAAATGAGATAAATCATTTCATTACATTTGTATTCACAGAAGTATCACAACGTCATGCTAACCGGGCCCAAGAAATTGGAAACAGAATGCTGACATCCATGCAGTTAAAATGCCCCGTTCAAATGGCATTTACCTTCCTGACCGTTAGGAGCAGGGGAGGCAGTAAGGACATCTGCTACAGAAAAACAGAATCAGAAAGGGGTAAAGGAAGGAGAAAATTAAGACAAACACCAGATAAATTAAACAAAGGCATGAAGCAAAGCACAAATAACAGCAGCTTAGATTATAAATAAATGAAACAGGAAATGCTCTATAGATTTAATATTTTGACTGTGGAACAATGCAAGGACTAGCAGTAAACGAAATGTAAACATTATTAATGTGAATCATGCCAAGGGCTGACACATTCATGTTACATATTTTCAGTTACTGACTGCTGTAATACTCCCAATATGACTTCATTTCAAATGTACAGAAACAGATTAATTTCTTGGAATTGTGCTGTCATTGTCATAGAATATGTCTGCGTTAAGTTGTAAATTCAAATTTGTCTGCAGTGTATGTTCAAAACTAGACACAAGGTAAACAACAAGGTTGGGAGAAAAATATTAAGAATTTATTACCCAAAAGGCAGAGTTACAATTTCTCAGATAAATAACTCTCATTTGCAACTTCCTTAGCGTTTTCTTGCAATAATTCTGTGGCTAGGCATTATCTCATTTTTATAGCCCAAATGGTGTTAGATTAATTCCTTTATTTAATGGGCATGAAAACCAAGGATGAGAGATCACAGAGATAAACCGGGCACCCTGACTTTAGAGATGGGTTCCTAATCTAGGATGCCTATGAGGGTCTCAGGAAACTTGTGAAACTCTTGCAGTTGTGCAGAATTTTGAGAGCACGTTTTATTTTTCAGAGGTGATAGCTTTCATCTGATTCTCAAAAAGACCCATTATTACGAGAAGCTAGGAAACCTTTTAGGCCCCCTAAGAGGCTGGTAACGGTGCTTCCCACAGCAGGTAGATTTCTGTTCTCTATCCCTGCTGGAGAAAGTGGAGATGGTCACAACAATAATCAAAGGCATGTGGTTAGTAAGGCATCTAATAGTCACATACGGAAGCCTTAACTGGACAAGCTTCAACAAGTCACAGCATAACTACAAGGCCTGTTTGAGAATCATCCAGTCAGAGCGATCTTTCAATGAAGGGGGAAATACTCATGTAGTGGTAGTGGGCTTAAGTGGTCATACATTACAGATCTTAGTGCTGGAAGTAGAGGAAGAACATCACCAAACACTTCGCAGAACTTTTGATTACATATCTGAGGCATCTAAGGCCTAAGGTGGTGAAGACATTGCCCCAGGTATCACAGTCTACTGGAACAGAGCCTGGTGTGGTCCCCTTTTCCAATGATACTCCACCTCTGCATATGTGGATTGTTAAAAATACATGCAACTATCTTAGAAATTCAGTGGTATAGGACTAAATTTCCCAAATGAAAATAAATCAGAAAATCCTTCTCCCACCTGTTCATTTTGTTACTTGCAAATCAAAACCATCTATAATAATTTTTTGTTATTTCTTTATGTGAAATCTACAGTATAATAATAATTTCTAAAAAGGCTTTTCCTTTCTTATTCTCAGAAGTACAGAAAAAGCACAGGAGTAATTTATGAAAGAGCAAATTTGTTTTCTAGTGGACTAACTACTTATAGGGGCATATGACATCTAGATTAGTTGATTTCTTAGGTGTGATTTTTATTTCATATCTGAATCAATTAGTTCTATGGGGCATTACTGCAACTGTAATGGGGAAGAAAACCATGGGGAAGAATAAGTTAATATAAAAAATTCACATTCCCATGACTTTGCAGAGAAATTGTCTTGACTCCTTTTAATTTTTTCCCCTCTTACTATCTGATGAGATATGTCTCTCATATTAGCTCATGGGGTTTCAGGTGTAGCAAACTGGCTTTTAATTGGTGGTATGGAGCAATCAACTATTACTAAGGACAAATACTAAATGATGTAGTTTGGTATTATATTTGGGGGCAGACAGTTTGGTATTATATTTGCAGTATAACCAGTGATGGAGGCTCACAAAACTGAACTATGACTGGAGACAACTCAAATTTCTGCTGAGGAGCAGATATTTGGAGGAGGGGGCTCAGTTGTCTTAATGCATGAGACAACTTAATGGTAAATGGTTTCTGGTCTGGGCATATCTGCATATTTAGCAAAACAATTATTCTACATAGAAAGAATATATTCTACTATATAATGTTTATAGAAATAGGAACCTTGGCATTTTCTTATTATTATATTGTTGCCTTTCAGACATCACCAAAATGAAACAGTCTACTATCAGCAAAGGTACCTGAGTAAACATTCTGCAATCTCTAACAAATGTTTAATGCAAATGAAACACACTGAAAACCTAATTCTCATGTGAGAAGAATCCTTCGCTAGTAATCTGTAGTTAACATCATTCGTGTGACTTTTTGTGTTGCGTCATTAGCATTGCCTATGTTTTTTCTCTTTGGTGGGGCCAGAAGGAAAGATCTTGTTGGCTTAGTGGTATGAAAACCAGGGAGGGAGGGGAAATGAGGCTCCTCTCCTTTCTTTTCACTACTAGAATGCCAGAGCAAGAGTGTGAAACAGAGAGCACAGAGCCGTGATGCTGCCCCCTGCCGGTGGTGCAGGAGAAAGGACGCAACCTCAGTCTACGACTCCTGCCAAGATTATCAGCCACGCTAGAAACTAAAGGGTGAAAACAGGGTTTCTCTGCTGCAATTCCATCTCTTCCTCTAGAAACTTGTCGTAGGAATGACTCCCTGTAACTTCCCACACCTGCCTCTTCTTTCTGTAAGTGTTGGCTAACAGAATCCCCTCCTTCCTCGGTCCTTGCTAAGTGACTGAATTCAGAAACTCCTGGACAATATTACAACCATCCGTATTACTGGTCTTTGGCGCTCTAGACTTATTTTAGAAAGAAAAATGTGGCAAATCATCCAAGAATTTTCCTGTGCACAGCATAGGGATCTGTTTCTCTTACCATCAGAAAGGGATTCATAGTCATAATCATATTCGTCCTCCTCATCTTCCTCTTCCTCATTATTGGCAGGTCGGGGGTTGGCATTCCCACCATTATAAGCCTGCACTTGCATAGATGCTAACTGATGAGCCTGTAAAATAGCAATAATTGTAAACTGCAGATGCCAAGTTAATGAATTCATTTATAACCTTTAAAACTACCCCTGATGTTTAACACAATCGTTAAAAGTGGCTTAACCTATTTTGATACATTTGGGAGAGGAGAAAAAAATCTAGATTCCCTCGAAATGCAATGTCAACACTTGGGTGAACGTTAGCATTCCTACAGGAAGAATCCTGGAGCTTTTATAAACAATCTCCAGAAGACTGTGTGCAGTGCCCAGCTAGCCAGGTTCCCAGGACAACCCCTCCAAGAGAAAGCTTTGGTGATTTGGAGAACCAGCATCAATCCCAAGTGACTGAAGAAGTGAATCACCCATCAATTTTTCAGAAGTATGTCTCTGTTAAGAAACCATTTTTTCCCCTTCTTAAAATAATATCTACAGGCTCCTGACCTTGAGAACAATATTAGAATCCCTATGGACAAAGAGGCCAAAAGAATTGTTGTTGGTTTAAATAAAATTGTTTTCAAACGGCTTTCTGAACCATAAATCAGATTAACAAAACAGGCCTAGAAACTTTAGGAAACTTGATGTGTGCAGCCAGGGAGGTCACATACTCCGTGTTTACTGGAATTACTGTGAAGTGATAAGCATCAGTACAGGTCTGGGAACCTACCTAGCTTAAGAAAATCATCTGAAATATAGGAAACGTTACTTGCATGAACTAAATGCAGGAAACAATCTAAACGGGGTAGAGGAACGGGGTCAGTAAGCAATGGTTGTCTGCTGGAGAGAATGAGATATGAAAAAATAATTGATATATATTTATTGAACAAAGGAAGTGAACAAATTCTTTTATTCAATATTTATGCATTGAATATACTATATAGATTATATATACACACATATATAATTCTGCATGTGTATGTGTGCATACATGTGTGCTAATATATACTATATATAATGTATGTGTGTGCATACAGATAATAGCTATACATGTAAATATATACACTATATAAATATACATATAATTCTGTATTTGTTTTATATATTTAAAGTGCAATTATATAAAATGACAGTCACGAAGTCCTAGATATTAAATGTTAATATGGCAGGGGTTCTTCACTTGTTTTTGCATCACAGACTTCTCTGGTTGTCTGGTGAGACAGGATCCCTTCTCAGAATGATGTTTTAAATGCATAAAATGAAATGGTTACAAAGGAAATACTGTTGAATACAGTGATCACATGTTATAGGAACAAATTTGTGCTATTAGAATATATGTGTTTATTAACACAGTAGAAAACATAGTAGTAAGTTAATTAACATTTTTGAAAATATAAATTGAGCATAAATAATTCTTGGAGATATTAGCGACAACTGTGAAGTATAATGAAAAAGTTGCCATTTCTATTGATGACAATAGGTATTGCCTATATTACTGTAGTTTATTCCCTACATTTATGATCAGAGGAAATGCTAAATTTCAGCTAGAGGTTAGTGAAAATAAAGATGTAATTTTTTTCCATTTATATTCGTAGACTCCCTAAATTCTATTTGTGGATATTACCAAGGTTAAGAACTCGTGTAATACAGTTGTGTTTGACCCTGGAATTATGTATGTTTTAAAATAATTCTCTATTCCCTAAATTTTTGAAATGTGGTTATATTACCTTTATAATGAATATGTATACATAAGGAAGATACAATTTAGGCTGTGTCCATATCCAGATGAAATGTATTACAAAGCAGTCCATTCCAGATAACTGGACATGGTCTAGGCTGCGATTTCTCAAAGTGGGTTTTATGGAGCTCGGTGGGTGTTAATAGGTGTTATGGAAAAACTGACAATTACAGGAACCACAAGATACACTGAATGCCTGGAAGCAGCAGCTTAACCAAACCTGAACACATTCCTACTACAGGGTTTCACACAGCCTTCATTTAATACGCTAAAGGGCATCACGAGTCTTCAAAGATCTCCAGTGCAGCATTTCCCATGCTTACTTAACCAGGAAATTTTTTTCCCCTGTCTTTCTCTTCTCAGAGTCTCTCATAGGATTAGTGTTCTTCAAAACTTTGGGAAATCTGTTGTAGGCACAAGTGAGCCACAAAAGCAGGTCTGTTTATCGCTGATAAGAGAAGGGCCTTGACTCAGCGAGCACTCAAGGTAATGCCAAGTGCTGGGAATGATGACGCCAAGGGCTGGACAGACCCCACTGGCAGGGAAGCATGAGAACTGTATGGGAGAAGGACACTGCTCAAAGAACCACGAATAGCAGTGTCTGAAAGTGGAGTGCCAAGGCCCCCAAGATGCTCAAGGAGAAGCATGGGAGAGGTAGCCCAACAAACGGCCAACAGCTGGGACCCTTCTATGCAATATCCTACTTATTCTAGGGTAGAAAAATGGGACCTCAGCCCCTGAATAAAAGTAACTCGGATATAGGTTGTGGTTGGAGGTATGGGTCAGATGAGGAGACTGGCCCTCATAGGGCTAAGCAGGAGCAATGTCTTACACTTCTCTGTTTCCCCAGTACCTAGCCGCAGTGTCTGTCATTTAAGGTGAACTGAGTTTTTTGGGTTCAAATTCAGGAGAGGAATGTCAGAATCCTGGAGGATCCTGGTGGGGTATAGTTAGGAGACCTCAGGATGCATCTCAGTACAAGCCAGAGGCAGGTGGAGGGCTTCAGAAATCCTGCTCTGAGTCAATCCATCCTTGCTGAGGGTGAGTTCTTTGTATGGGAAATGACTCCGGCCTTCTATGTTAGCGGGTAGGTCTGAGCCCACTGGAGCTCTGGATCACCTGGTTTATTTGAGGTCAGATCATCACTAGGTCTAGACCCATGATCTACCAGAAAACAGAAAGGCCTTACGGATGTGACTGTGGAATCATTGCTGGTACCCCTTGGGAAGTCATCATGAAAGGTTGCAAGCAGTCTTAGAAAACTGGCAATAGGGATTATATTGTCCCATTTTTCCAAAATAAGGAACAAGTAAGTTGTGGAAATTATACTGTGGGCAGTGTCAAGGTGATAGCTGACAAAATTTCATGATGGGGTATTAATCACTTGGTTTGTGAGAACTTAGAAAATAAAGAGGTGATTTGCAAGAGTTAGAGTGGATCTACTAAGAACAAGTTTACCACACAGTGACCTCCTTAGCTGTTTTGGATAAGATAATTCACTTTATGGGAAAAACAGCAGATAAATAGTGTTTCTCAAACTTCCAGGATAATAAGAATTATTATTGTTATTATTTTTTACGCAGACACCATGGTGACTTAAGGAATTATTTTTATATAAACAGATGACCAGGCCTTTCTTCTGGAAATTCTGACTTAGTCAGTCAGATTTGTGACCTTAGAATCTGTTTTTCAAAGTGCTCCAGCGATTATTCTTATTAATGTACTCTGACTTCTGTATCACCTTTGAAAAGGGCTTCTCTAAAGACCCAAGTCTGAGACTAAGCTCTATTGCTATGAGCTGGGTGGCCTTGAGAAAGTCACACAAGTGGCCAGGTTTCAGTTTTCTATTTTATAAATAAAGAAATCAATAAAGAAGTCGAAGCACACTCTGGGAAATGCAGGCTACAAGAGAGGAGAGCACCAGACGGGGGCAATAATCATCAAATGCCAGGGGGCTTATTTAAGAAGGGCACAGGCCTCTCCATGTGGCTGGCTGACTCAAGGGCAACTTGGGATGAAGACACAGTTTGAGAAACTGCTAATAAATGTACCAGATGACAGAAACAAAATTCACAAAGAACTTTGTAGGACGTAATAATATACCAAAACCAAGAAGAGCAGAAATAGAGATAAATGTGAGGCTCCCATATACAAAAGGTTAAAATTCATTGTTAATCTGGAAAAATGGGAACGCTGGGCATAAGAACAGTCTATATGAAAATAACTGAATGCTTTTTGTTTTCTACAAGCTCAACATGAGCTCAGTGTGTGCTAAAGAATTTTTTTTTTTTTTGAGTCAGGGTCTTACTCTATGGCCCAGACTGGTATGCAGTGGCACAACATGGCTCATTGCAGCCTTGGCCTCCCAGGCTCAGGTGATCCTCCTGCCTCAGCCTCTCCAGTAGCTGGGAATACAGGCACATGCCACCATGCCCAGCTAATTTTTATATTTTGTGTAGAGATGGGGATTTGATATGTTGCCCAGGCTTGTCTTGAACTCCTAGATTCAAGCAATCGACCTGCCTCGGCCTCCCAA
Source organism: Homo sapiens (assembly GCF_000001405.40). NCBI lineage: Eukaryota > Metazoa > Chordata > Mammalia > Primates > Hominidae > Homo > Homo sapiens. Next base: position 94,275,591 of record NC_000010.11, on the reverse strand, counting down.
AGTGCTGGGATTACAGGCGTGAGCCACAGCGGCTGGCCAAGAATTTTTGAAAAGCAGACAGTCTGAGGCTGTATTAACAAAGGTTTAAAGTTCAAATTAGGGGAGGTGATGGTTTCACTGTTCTTGTGCTGTAATATACTACCTAGAATACTGATTTAGTTCTGGAAATCACATTTTCAGATTGACGAATTCAAGAATATCCACAAATTTAAGAATATCTACGATATTCTTAATGGTAAGTAAAGAGTCTTAGCAACCATATCCTGTCAGGAACAGTTGGCACAACAAGAATTTTTAGCTTGGAGAAGAAAAGCTGGTGGGGAAACACATGATAGCTTTCTAAATATAAAATTAGTCTGTACAGCTGCAGAGGGAAGAGGGAGGGCCAATGAGAAGGAGGAAAAGGAAGGAAGATTTGGGCTCAACATAAAAAAGACTTCTGTTCATTAGTGGAATGAAGGCCTTATAAGTAACTGCAAATGACTGTGCACAGAATGGAAAAGGCAAGGACATTCACATTTATCATTTATCTTGAAGACCACAGTGGTATGTGTGGTTAGCAGCTTTATCTGCTTGGCAGTGAGGACTGGGCAGGAATTGTTGGATAAAGAAAACAGCACAGATGAACAGGGCTCTAGAAGAAAAAGCACCACACTGGGTGGTCAGTCACTGATGTGGCATTTGAGGAAGGCAAGGTAGAGTATACATGCTAACATTTAAATAACTTTGTAACAAGGCCCATCAGCATAGGTGCCATGGCCTCTGAAACCCAAGCAAAAGCAAGGTCACCTGGAGCAGATTTGGAAGTGCAGATCTGGATAAAGGTAGACCTACTGGAGGTCTCCAACTGGTGGCCCTTGGGGCTGACTGCACCTCCAGACCTGACTTGTTTGGCTGGTGCAGTGTTTAAAAATAATTGAATTAGAGCTGTTCTTTGACACGGCGTGCACACTCCACTCCTGTCCTCACCACTTCCAGCTGTCCTGTATCCAGCTGGCTCCTCACACTGATGTTTCCTGCTTAGCCCCTGAAAGTGGCTGATTTTGCAACTTTTGGCCCAGAATCATGGGTGATCTTCAAATTGGGTAATGTATTACCTTCAGAGGACACAAACACTTCAAGGGAATATGCAGGTTCGGATGTTTGTAAAGAAACTGGTTTCTGTATGTTTAGCATCTGTGTGCCTGTACTCTTTGAGCCAGCCTGAGAGCAAGTCTGTAGCTGGCTAGTTTCCAAAGTGATGTTTTAGGACCAACAGTGCCCTCCTAAGTAGGACAAATAGTTTTGTCAGCTGTCATCCTGTGGGATAAGTAGGTGCAGACTGGAAAATGGACTCAGTGTTCTGTACCTGAACTTTTTCACAGACCTTTGAGCCGAGGGTCTCCTACACAGGTGGGTTTGTCGTGCTTGGGCCCAGATCTCTGTTGTCCGGATCTGGGCCCAAGCAGCATAAACTAGTGATACGCTGGGATCACAGGGCTATGGCTTTTGGGCTTCTACTACAGGCCCCATGCCAAGGGCTCCCCTAAGGGGACTCTCCCTAAAGGGGACTATAGCAGCCATTATGGGATGAACAACCCCCTAAGCTCAGTTTCAGACACAACAGTCACACTTCATCCCACTCAGAATAAATTAAATAACGGAGGTATATTCTATGTGGGAACTATTCCACAAATTAAATCTTGGGTGAGTGAGATGAGAGAATTTATTGGTCTATGGAATGAAAAGCCCAAAATCAAACTTATCATTTAAGGAAAGTCAGTCTTGAAAAACTAGTAAACCAGCAGGTCATCTGAAAGGTTAGAATGATGTTATTTTTCTTTGTTCTAGGCACACTGCCTTTTCATAACTGGTTTAACAGAGGGGAGTACCTTTTGCTTTAAGATATCCACTGGCGTCTGATGGGCTTTTAGCTTCTTGTTTTTAAGAAGAACTTTCTTTCTGAGTTGGTCAGGTGAAGGAAGCATTGGATCATCTGAGAAATCAGTCTCAAATAAGAATTTAGTCACCAGCTTTTCTCCAAACACAGTCTAAAAAGAATGAAGGAAAACATACAATCAATGCCTTTTATCTATAATTGATAAATATATGTACACTTCATAAACATAGTAGATATTTTAGACTGGTTGAATTATTTAAAAAGTCTTAGGAAGAGGAACTAGGAAAGAAGCTGTCCCCTGCTCCTGCCCCCTTCACAGTTTCTTACTGAAAGGAAGGGAGGTGTTTAGAAGGACAGGAGGAGAGGTCGAGGCCACTCTGCAGCTGGTGTCAGTTCTAACTATTTAGGAAAATATTCTGTGGTCTGATGTATTAAATAAGAAAACAGAGAATCAGTTAGAGGCTGTTGTTTGTAGAATAAGGTTAGTTTCAGATGAAGTCAAGTCAAAAGGATAAAACTTTGGAGGGGGTAGGGAGCAGGGACAAAGACATAGGTAGAATTTGCGTCCACATAGTGTAAAGAACCACAGACACAATTCTCACAAAGATTTTGAGCATGGATCTCCAAAGCAGAATGTGTGTCTGTCAAGGAGGTGGGTGGAGGGAAAGCAGACACAATGCTTATATCAACTCCATTGTTGCCCAGGCTGGTCTCGAACTCCTGAGCTCAAGCGATCCACCCGCCTCAGCCTCCCAAAGTGCTAGGATTACAGGTGTGAGCCACTGGGCCTGGCCTTGAGTTATTTTTTAATTGAAAAAAAAAATCAAAGCTTAGGCCAGGACAATATGAAAAGTTAATTAGTTTTGTTGGCATTAATATTTGGGGACATTTTGTCAGTGCCCCTCTTTCCCACTGAGAGCCTCATTTCCACAAATGCCTCTACCATTAAAGGAAGGGGGAAGTATAATGGAATATCTGCTTCTAAATCTGGGTGCATTATTGTTGTGGGAAGTCAGGGATCCCGAACGGAGGGACCAGCTGGAGCCGTGGCAGAGGAACATAAATTGTGAAGATTTCACGGACGTTTATCGTTCCCAAAATTCATACTTTTTAATTTCTTATGCCTGTCTTTACTTCAATCTCTTAATCCTGTTATCTTTGTAAGCTGAAAATGTACGTCACCTCAGGACCACTATTGTACAAATTGATTGTAAAACATGTGTGTTTGGACAATATGAAATCAGTGCACCTTGAAAATGAACAGAATAACAGCGATTTTAGGGAACAAGGGAAGACAACCATAAGGTGTGACCGCCTGCAGGGTCAGGCAAAAAGAGCCATATTTTTCTTGTTGCAGAGAGCCTATAAACAGACGTGCAAGTAGGAGAGATATTGCTAAATTCTTTTCCTAGCAAGGAATATAATATTAAGACCCTAGGAAAAGAATTGCATTCCTGGGGGGAGGTCTATAAACAGCTGCTCTGGGAATGTCTGTCCTATGCAGTTGAGATAAGGACTGAGACATGCCCTGGTCTCCTGCAGTACCTTCAGGCTTACTAGGATTGGGAAACCCCAGCCCTGGTAAATTTGAGGTCAGACCGGTTCTCTGCTCTTGAACCCTGTTTTCTGTTAATATGTTTATCAAGACAATACGTACACCGCTGAACGTAGACCCTTATCAGGAGTTTCTGATTTTGCCCTGGTCCTGTTTCCTCAGAAGCATGTGATCCTTGCTCTGCCTTTTGTCCCTTGAAGCATGTGACCTACTCCCTGTTTGTAAACCCCTTTTGAAATCCTTAATAAAACTTGCTGGGTTTGCGGCTCAGGTGGGCATCATGGACCTATCAATATGTGATGTCGCCCCCAGCAGCCCAGCTGTAAAATTCCTCTCTTTGTATTCTTTCTCTTTATATCTCAGACTGGCTGACACTTAGGGAAAATAGAAAGAACCTACGTTGAAACATTGGGGGCAGGTTCCCCTGATACATTATCATACCCTTATATAAGGAAGGACTGACTGTTAACACAGCAACTGTTCTGGCCAGTCTAAGCTCTTTGCTAACTTGGATCTTTGTACTGTGGTATAAGAAGATCTTCTTGGCTGGGTGCGGTGCCTCACGTATGTAATCCCAGCACTCTGGGAGGCTGAGGTGGGTGGATCATGAGGTCAGGAGTTCGAGACCATCCTGGCTAACATGGTGAAACCCCATCTCTACTAAAAATACAAAAAATTAGCCAGACGTGGTGGTGGGCGCCTGTAGTCCCAGCTACTCAGGAGGCTGAGGCAGGAGAATGGTGTGAACCTGGGAGGCAGAGCTTGCAGTGAGCAGAGATTGCACCACTGCACTCCAGCCTGGGTGACAGAGCGAGACTCCATCGCAAAAAAAAAAAAAAAAAAAAAAAAAAGATGATCTTCTCCTATAAGATTTGACTTACTTGCCCTGAGATATTTTCAGCTTTTCCACATACAACTGACAGATGACATCCTGGCATCCCTGACTTGTGGTACCAGAAGTGTTGGAGAGTTGGTCTATCCTAATCTCCTAAGGCTTTCTGGAAAGGGTAAGGAGACCAGAGAGCAATACTTATATCACTCCAGCTGAAAATAGGGACCATCCCAGAGAGGGCCCAGGCTCTAAGAACAGCCCAATTTCTCAGGTTTGTGGGACCCTAACTGTATATGCTTCACAGCCAAGGTCTAATTGCAGCATAGTCCACAAAGGCCTCATTTAAACCTAATGACGGCTGGGTGCAGTGTCTCACGCCTATAATCCCAGTACTTTGGGAGGCCGAGATGGGTGGATCACTTGAAGCCAGGAGTTCCAGAGCAGCCTGGCCATCATGGCGAAACCTCATCTCTACTAAAAATACAAAAATTAGCCAGGCATGGGGGCGCATGCTGGTAATCCCAGCTACTCGGGAGGCTGAGGCAGGACAATCGCTTGAACCTCAGAGGCAGAGGTTGCAGTGAGCCAAGACTGCACCACTGCACTCCAGCCTGGGTGAGAGAGCGAGACTCTGTCTCAAAAAACAAAACAAAACAAAACAACCCAATGACAATTGCAAAACAAGGGCCAACATACCATCCTGCCTTTTTGTTGAGAGCTCACCTTGAAAATTTCTGCCATTTTTCGTTGCTGAGGCAATGAACAGTGGTTCTCAATCGATATGATGATTGGCAGGTCAGAGTTGATGAAGGCACTGCGATCAATGGCTTCAACCACTTCCTATGAGAGCCAAAACAGCTCATTAGAGTCCAGATATCTGTCAAGGTGGTCAGAAGGCAGGGTAGTTATAGCCACAGAAAGCATCTCAATTGTTACATGCAGCAGACTCTGGCCAAAGATGGTTTTCGTATTTTCAAATGAAGCATGAGGATAAGGCCATTTTGTAGAAAGACATTAAACTTTATAGTGAGTATTGTTCACATACTATAAGGAACAACTATCATATTGAATTTAACAAATCTATTTATATACATATACTCTCTCTGTATACATATATAGAGTATATTGCAGGTAAAAGACACTGTCCTAGTTATAGCAGCAAACATAATTAAGCATAAAATACTTTCTTGCTTATAAAGAGTTTATAATTTATTTGAGGCAATAAGACATATGTCACATATATTTATGTGTATATGTAAACACAGTTATCAACTCATGCCCATGCCAATATAGCATACAGGAGTTTTAGGAATGCTAAATAGGAAACCAAGTTGAGGAGAAAATGCATTTTAGCCACTATTTCTACATGTAAAATAAAAATAATATTCCTTCACAACCTGGCCACAGTTCAGAGAAAAATTATGTTATATAGCCTAAGACCCTCTGAATGAAGGTAGTAATTGCATAACTCAACTAATAAGCTACCCAGAATTTGAAACACAAATCCAGTGAGATCAGTCTTCCTGGGTGACCAATCTTCTTAGGTGGAACTGATGCTCATTACATTATAATGCTAACTATTTAACCATCTCCTAACTCCTGACATTGGCCTTTGTCAGCATGACACTAGGACAAATGACCATTAATTCCTATAGCAGGAAAATAGACCTTGCCTTTATATATCATATTACGTAAAAATTGCAACAATATTATTACATGCTAACTAATGTAAGGTAATGGTTACTAACTTGGGTTGAATGGGGAATCTAATGAGAGTTCTAGATTAACTCCAGAAAAATGAACATGTGCACATTCCACATGATACAGCAAACACTTTTGGGAAGTCTTCATTTAGACCCAGCATAAAGACCCTTGATCTAAGGTGTAATTTGGTCAAGTCACTGATTTAAATAAAGAATGAAGGCCAGGCACGGTGGCTCACGTCTGTAATCCCGGTACTTTGGGAGGCTGAGGGGCGGGCGGAGCACTTGAGGTCAGGAGTTTGAGACCAGCCTGGCCAACGTGGTGAAACCCCATCTCTACTGGAAATACAAAAATTGGCTGGGCTTGATGGTATGGGCTTGTAATCCTAGCTACTTGGGAGGCTGATGTAGGAGAATCTCTTGAACCTCGGAGGCAGAGGTTGCAGTGAGCCAAGATGGTACCACTCTACTCCAGCCTGGATAACAGAGCGAGAACCCGTCTCAAAAAAAAAAAAAAAAAAAAAAAAAGACAAATGAAGATAATGTCTCTTTGTGATTTGATTTAAAGAAAGTTATGAAGGATTACCTTGAAGGGGATCTTGGTTGTCAGCGTATGTCCATGATAAATGATGGGCATCCCATCGTCTCCGTCCCAGCAGTCCAATTCTACACTTCGACAGCCTTGCAAAAGGACCTGTGTGATCAATGAGCGAATCCACCCCAGGTGAGCACCTGGAGATAAAGCCTCGAACTAAACCCAGCATGTAGTTCTACATATCAGGCAGTGTTTACACTCAGGACTAAAGCAGAAGGGCAAATGGTCTAAAACAAACATGGCATTTTTGCCAAAGGCCACAATTAATCCAGAGTGGGGAAGGAAGGGAACAGATTAAGGTAGAAAGAGTGTTTACCAGAGCTGGATATTAAAGGAAAGTAAAATTTGATAGCAAAACCATATGGCCATTTTCCTAGCAACTTTGGCCCCTTGAAAGGGCACGTCTTCAAATTAGAGAGCCAGGCAAGTGCTCTCTATCTGGGTAGACATCAATGGAGGTGAAAATGCTGATGCCACAGCCCAGAGAAAATAAGGCCACTGAGTCCTTAATGAACTGGCTAAACATTTACAGCAAGCCAATCAGGATAAAATCACTTCCATTAAGACCCAAATTAAGCCACGATTAAACATCTTTGCTGTGAATGCATAACATGTAAGAAGAGTGGAAGCAGAGTTATCAAGGATTTGCCTGGCTATCTAATTCCAGAATAGCAACTAGAGCAGGGATGGCAAATAATCCATAAATGGTTCCTTTCTCCCATACCCACAGCAGACATCAGTAATCAAGCTAGGCACACTTGTCCTTTAAGCTTTAATATGTTAGCTCATAACCTCTTTATTAAAGTGCTCCAGAAAACACTACCAAAGAATCAGATGAGCTGATACCTATTTGTTATCCTGGATCTGAAGTGGGAAGCAGAGCTCAATACATGTGCTTGGGTTGCAACTCTATAAAGTTTGCTTGAAGCAACCTCTTCCTCCATAGATCTGTACATCATCTTAAAAAATTATTACATACTGGAATAGTGACCCAAGCCAAGAAATTGATACATCTGTAAATGTGCCTACCCACTGATTTTAGAATGCACATAACTATTTCTGTGTGACAGCAATCCATTACTGGGGCTTAGTGGCCACTAGAGTTTCTGCAACTAAGCTCAGATAGTGGAATGATTCTCATTTTAACACTTTTATATGGGATAAGTGCTATATTCTTCCTATTTTACAGCATAGTCAGTGGCCTAGAATCTCAAGGCTATCTGCTTCTTTCAGCAGCTAGAGTATCTAGAGGTGCAGTGCCTTGGGCTGGAAATTGCTATGTAAAATGGTGGCTGGAACACCAAGCTGCTTATCTCTGTGGTGCCCCTGCCAGACCAGGAATAATGTTCAGCAACTGGCAACAGATGAGATGGCTTTTCAGCATTGAAGGACTAAAGGTCTTCACCAAAGTCTGTGTAACCTTAGATATCCACATATGGCTAGAAGAGGAAAACCTGGGCTGGAAATTCTAGATGAGAAGAACAGGGCTTATTCTCACTTCCCATTTGCCCCATGGAGTAATGTTAAGAGGTAATTAGGAAGGGCTAAGGAAGAGTGGAGAGGGGTTAGAAATGAAGTAAGAGGGATCCACCTGCACACTAGGTTTAGTCACATCTCTGAGTCTATTTGAGGGGTTCTTGTGCCTTATTCAAAAGCTGTGAGAGTCTCTCCTTGGGGTGTGATATTAAGAGGTTTAAAAACTGTTTGAAGTCAAACAGAGGAATGAAATAGAAATTAAAGCCAGGACACTGGTCCTTGTTTATTTCCCTGGGATAAATGTGGATACACACAAGTACATAAATATACATAGATATGTATATATGCACTTACACATATATGTACACGCATGTATATGTGTGTACCTACAAATGTGTATATGAAATATATATAAGTATCTGTATTTATATGTATATTTAATTTCATTCCTATAGAATAATGGATTTCAAACTTCTTTTAACTTTGGCATTCTGTGTGCGAAGGGAGGGCCAGTATGTAGTGTGTAGAGGAGTAGTACATTACCTGAAATGGGGCAGCGTATGGCACCCCTCCTACTCTCTGGCTTCCTCATCTCAGTGTGGGGGGCTGAGGCCCCATGACAGAACTTCTATTTTGAAAATCACTGCTCTAAGAACACATCTTCATTCATAATAAAGTTTCCTTAGAAAATAGAGTTTAAAATACATATTCCCGCTAAGCAAGCTTTGGGACAAAAAATTGCCCCATGCTTTGAGGAATATCTGGACTAATCTGGAGAACAAAGAAACCTCACTGGTGCTGGGGTTATGTAAACAATACACCTGTAGTTTTCAAACCTGGACCCACGTGTGCACACAATGACACACTTATATTCCCTGCCTGGCTCCAACCGAATTGACCCTTCTTGAAAGAGTTAAGAAAAAAGGCAGAATAGATGAGGAAGCTGCAGACCATCCAGCAGAGAGGCAATGGACACGCAGATCATTGCAAGTTGGATGTTTAGGTCAAAAGGATGTACTTTTTCTAGTCTAGAGAACCTACTGAGTTTCAAAGAACATTCTGATGAATTTAATGTGTAGGGACAGTGCCTAAAGTCTGTGTAGATTTTTTTCTGCATTTTTTTTGGTTACCATAGGGATAGATTGATTATTTAACAAACTGAAAAGCAAAACAAACAATATTTTGGGAATAAGTACATAGGAAGTTGCATTTTCTACTATGCTTTCCCACTACAATATATTATTTAGCAGTTAGAGAGACGATTAGATAATTTTCCCATGGGAAAATCTAATTTTAGTGGGAGTAGGTCAGACTAACTAGGATCTAAAAGCTATGAGTCTCAAACAAACACTTTCATTTTGGCCCAGAATAAAGGTTAAGTATAGATGGGGGAAAACAAAACAAAAGAAGTAAAGAAAACGACTGCTGTAGTATAGCCAGTTTTCCCACACATCATGGTTCCTCACATTTGACATGTAATAGCTTACTCTATAAGCTCTTCAAAGGAGTCTGGGGTCAGGTTTTTTTGACTTTGGGGGTTACATAAATAATTAGGTTTAATAAAAACCACATTCCAAGTGGCATTCCCTGTACCTGGCTGTAGAGTTCTACCGAGGATTCTCCTTTGAGCTGATGGCCCGTGAGGTAGGTATTGTGCGAAGATTCGATGTAATAGTATGAGAGGGGTAGCTGCAGTTCTTTAATGTTCTCCTGTGACTCATCATTTTTTGAGGCAAAATTTTCTTTATCCATCAGAAACCTAGGTGAAACAAATTTTCTTAAGACTGCATGGGAAAAATGCATCTACTCTTAAAAGATGGGCAAAAGATATTTTAAAAGTTACCTGGCAAACCCTTCAAATGACATTAGTCCCTGATGACACATACTGATGCTAGGCTCGAACTTCTGCAAGGGATTAAAAAAAAAAGTGTTATTTAGGTTAAGGAAACTAAGAGGGGGAAAGAAACCACCACATCATTTTTTAAAGCTGTTCTGTTTTCATCAGGAAACATCTAAACCAAATATTTGAACTAATTTAGTAACGTAGTGGTAAGAAGTAGTTTTTAGTCCAAAAGAAAACATTTATTATATGTGAGTTTATTATACTAAGCATATTTATTTAATAGAAAAAAGAAGAGAATGAGAAAAGAAGGCTGATTTCTATGAAAACAAAGTGTATCAGTTTATCCAGGTGAAAATGGGGATAATAATAGCAGCTACCATAAAGTTGGTGAGAGGTGAACTGAGATGATTCACATAGAGCACTTAGTGCCATGCCTGTATTTAGTAAAATCATAATGAGCACTCAACAGTGTGATAGTAATCTCACAATTTTAGCATTTTCGGTGATCAAATCCAACTGCTGGACAACTAATACACTGATACCCAGTCAGGTGATAAGGGAGGTTGAAACCTAGACTCATTTGTTGCATGGAGCCACACCGCTCCTCTCTGCTGACACCCTGTAGTGTAAACCTTCACCAGCTATTGCTGGTTACTATGATAGCTTCCTAAGCAGTCTCTCTGCATCTGTTCCTTCACCCACACAGTTTACAATGGGGCCAGAGTAACCACTTAAAATTTTGTTTTAGAGACAGGGTCTTACTATATTGCCCAGCCTGGCCTCAAACTTCTGGGCTCAGGCAATCCTTCTGCCTCAGCTTCCTGAGTAGCTGGGACTACAGGTTTGTGCCACCATGCGTGGCTCAGAGTAATCTCATAAAAAATAAATCAGCCAGGCGCGGTGGCTCACGCCTGTAATCCTAGCACTTTGGGAGGCTGAGGTGGGTGGATCACGAGGTCAGGAGTTCGAGACCAGCCTGGCCAACATGGTGAAACCCCATCTCTAGTAAAAATACAAAAATTAGCTGGGCATGGTGCTGTGTGCCTGTAATCCCAGCTACTTGGGAGGCTGAGGCAGGAGAATTGCTTGAACCTGGGAGGCGGAGGTTGCAGTGAACAAAGATCGCGCCACTGCCCTCCAGCCTGGGTGACAGAGCAAGACTCTGTCTCAAAAAAAAAAAAAAAAAAAAAAAAAAATCAAATCATGTTACTCCCCTGCTCAAAAATTTCAGTGGTATCCCATTTCACATGGACTAAAGCCAACCTCCTTATCAAGCTCTAAAAGGCCCGGATGATTGGGCCCTTGCACATCTGTCTGACACCATGCCTGCCATTCTCTGCCTGGCTTGTGCAGCTCACAGTACACCAGCTTTTTGTGGTTCCTCATAAACCCCCAGCTTGCTGCTGTCTTGGTCTTTGACCTTGTGGCTCCCTGTGGGGAATGCTCTTTCCCGAGACCATCAAACTGGTTATTGACTTAGGGCTCAGTCCAAATGCCACCTCTTCCAAGTGGCCTTTGCTTACTCTCCTCAGCCCACCTCCTGTATCATTCCATTCCTTTACTTGACTCAGTTTTTCCCCTACCCCATTATTACCTGAAATTACATCGTATCTTTGTTGTCTGCCTCACCTTCTAGAATGTAAGCTGCATTGAGGACCAGAACTTTTATCTTATTCTCTGCTATATTCCCACCTCCTAAAACTGAGCCAGCATAGTAGGAACTAGTGCATGTTCATTTAATGACTAATGAGGTTGAAAACCTAGACTAAATCTGTTGCATGTTCTAGAATAACAACAAAAAATTATGTACCAACTCCTTATAATAGTTACTGAGTTAGAGAAAGCCTGGGACCTACATTAATATGTAATAATACACTAATAATATGTTAATATTATTACACTAATAATGTTAAAGAAGAACATATAATATGTTAAAGAAAAACATATTATGTAATAATACACTAATAATATGTTAAAGAAGAACACTTACATACTTGTTTTTTGTTTGTTTTTTTGAGACAGGGTTTCGCTCTGTTACCCAGACTGGTGTGCGGTGGTGTGATCTTAGCTCACTGCAACCTCTGTGACTCCTGGGCTCAAGCGATTCTCGTGTCTCAGCCTCCCAGGTAGCTGGGATTATAAGCGTGGACCACCATGCCTGGCTGATTTTTCTTTTTCTTTTTTTTTTTTTTTTTGAGATGGGGTCTTGCTCTGTTGCCGAGGCTGGAATGCAGTGGTGTGATCTCAGCTCACTGCAGTCTCTGCCTCCCGTGTTCCAGTGATTCTCCTGCTCCACTCTCCCAGGTAGCTGGGATTACAGGCACGCACCACCACACCTGGCTAATTTTTGTATTTTTAGTGGAGATGCAGTTTCACCATGTTGGCCAGACTGGTCTTGAACTCCTGATCTCAGGTGATCCACCGGCCTCAGCCTCCCAGAGTGCTGGGATTACAGGCATGAACCACCACACCCAGCCCATACTTGGTATTTTGTTAAAAAACATACTTGGTATTTTGTTAAAAAAACAAAACAAAACAAGGTCGGGCGCAGTGGCTCACGCCTGTAATCCCAGCACTTTGGGAGGCCGAGGTGGGCAGATCACGAGGTCAAGAGATTGAGACCATCCTGGCCAACATGGTGAAACCCCATCTCTACTAAAAACACAAAAATTAGCTGGGCGTGGTGGCGCACACCTGTAGTCCCAGCTACTCAGGAGGCTGAGGCAGGAGAATCGTTTGAACCTGGGAGGCGGAGGTTGTAGTGAGCCGAGATCACACCACTGCACTCCAGCCTGGCCACAGAGTAAGACTCTGTCTCAAAAACACCCAAAAAAACAAAAAAAAAAACAAAACTGTATATCTGTCCCAGATTTAAAGGCTTTGGAAAGAAGTATAGAAAGAATAAACATTTAGCAGCAAATTATTAGAATAGCCAGAGGCATCACACACACATGCACACACAAAACAGGCACAAACCTGGATGATGCTGAGGATTTCATCATAAGTGCAGTGTTCTCCTTGGCAATTCACGAGGAAATCGTTGAGCTGAAGTATGCCCACCCCAAAAATGCCCAGAGATGTGCTCTCAATCCCAGTGCCATTTGTCACAATGCTTGCAGCAGCAATGGCATCAGATATCTGCCTCTGGTTGTCCGATAGCTGCTGTTTACTCTTAATGAACAACCCCAAATCCGAGACATTTCTGGTCAACAGATCTGAAACAGAATCACCACAGTACATGGACAAGATAGCCAGCATCTTTTGCAAAGTTCATTTTGGAGATAATGGTGTGGAGTTATTAAAATGGAGAAGCTCTTTACTAATGTACCTAAACAAGCCATCAAAGAAGTGTTTATTTCTGGCTTCACATAGTGATAGGAATAAAAAACAAATCAATGAATAAATAAAGGCTGAGCATGGTGGCTCATGACTGTAATCCTAGCACTTTGGGAGGCTGAGGCAGGTGGACCACCTGAGGTCTGGAGCTCAAGACCAGCCTGGCCAACATGGTGAATCCCCGTCTCTACTAGAAATACAAAAATTAGCCAGGCATGGTGGTGTGCACCTGTAGTCCCAGCCACTCGGGAGGCTGAGGCATAAGAGTTGCTTGAACCCAGGAGGCGGCGGTTGCAGTGAGCCAAGATTACGCCACTGCACTCTAGCCTGGGCAACAGAGTGAGAGTCTGTCTCAAAAAAAAAAAAAAAAAGGAAAAGAAGACAGAGCTAGGTTGATGATCTTGATATCCCATGTGGTATTACATGGCAACTAAATGTAGGTTCAGCTGGGGACTTAGGTGAAATTCAGGCTTTGGTTTTAGGGAGTAACTACTTGCACATTTTTGTTTGTAGAGATTGAAGATATACCCTTAAAATTACAGTTTTACTGTTTAATATAAGCATTTGTTTACAGATTTTTATGTGAATATAAATTTTTCAACTCATTTGGGTAAATACCAAGTACTGTAATTGCTGGTCACATGGAAGGAATATGTTTAGCTTAGTAAGAAACTGCCACACTGTCTTCCAAAGTGGTTGTACCAGTTTACATTCCCACCTGCAATGTTCCAATTGCTTCACATTCGCACCAACTTTGGTATGGCCATTTTAATTTTAGCCACTTTGGAAGACAGTCTGGCAGTTTCTTATGGAGCTAAACATAGGCTTACCATATGATCCAGCAATTGCACTCTTAGGTATTTACCCAAATGATGGAAAAACTTATGCCCACACAAAAACCTGAATACAAATGTTTATAGCAGCTTTATTCATAATTGCTAAAACTTGGAAGCAACCAAGATATACTTCAGTAGGTGAATGGATAAACAAACTGTAGTACCTCCGCAAAATGGAATGTTACCCAGGGTAAAAAGAAATGGGCTACCAAGCTGCAAAAAGCCACGGAGGAAGGAAACTTAAATGCATATTGCTAAGTGAAAGACGCCAGTCTGAAAATGCTATGTACTGTGTGATTCCAACTATATGACATTCTGGAAAAGGCAAAACTATGGAGATAATAAAAAGAGCAGTGGCTGCCAGGGATTTGGAGGGAGGTCGCGGGGGGGATGGAAAAATGAAGCATAAGGAACTTTCAGGGCAGTGAAACTGTCCTGTATGATACTGTAAAGGTGGATACATGTCATTACACATTTGTCAAAACCCATAGAATGCACAACACAAACAGTGAATCCTAACGTTAACTATGGACTTCAGTTCATCATAATATATCAATATTAACTCAATTGTAACAAATGTACTACACTAATGCCAGATATTACTAACAGAAGAAAGTCTGTGTGGGAGAGTAGAAGAGAGTATATTGGAACTCTGTACTTTCCACTCATTTTTCCATAAACCTAAAATTGCTCTAAAAATAAAGTCTAAGCTGGGCATGGAGGCTCATGCCTAAGATCCCTGCACTTTGGGAAGCTGAGGCAGGAGGATTGCTTGAGGCTAGGAGTTTGAGAGCAGCCTGGTCAACAGAGCAAGACCCTGTCTCTACAAAAAATTACATTATTTTAAAATAATAATATTTTAAAATAAAACAAAAATAAAAAATACATGAAAATCATGATAAATAATAAAATAATAAAATATAATAGAACAAAAAATAAAGTCCAATAATTTTTGAAAAATGTAACTACTTGACTAATCCATGGTTATGGAGATTTTATGACTAAAGTTGAACAATACTTAATAGTCTTAGCTCAAGGACAACATAAACTTATAAATAATTATGAAGCAACTGCATAAAAGAGGAAAGTTTTTTGTTTTGCTATTTGTGTTTATAGTTTCCAGGAAGAACAGAGGAGGAAAATGATAGGCTGGAAATGCATAAGTGGTTAGAAAATGCATGGGTGGTGATAGTAATGGTGGTGGTGGTGAGTGAGATAGAAGAATGAGACATTCTTGTTTATACAGTAGGAAATATATCCTGGACAATCATTCAGACAGAAGTACCCTGTGGAAGGCGCTAAAGACTCTCCTTGTCAAAGGGCAGGAGACTACTGCCCTGTGATTGAACACACAACTGTCTGTAGGTAGGGAAGAGACTGGGGGTTCTCCACTGTGACACACACCACATACCTAGCAGACATTTGGAAATGGTCAGTGATATGGTTTGGCTGTGTCCCCACCCAAATTTCATCTTGAATTGTAGCTCCCACAATTCCATGTTGTGGAAGGGACCTGGTGGGAGGTAGTTGAATCATGGGGGCAGGTCTTTCCCATGTGAAAATGTTCTCATGATAGTGAATAAGTCTCATGAGATCTGATGGTTTTATAAAGGGGAGTTTTTCCTGCACAAGTTCTCTTGTCTGCTGCCATGTGAGACACGCCTTTCATCTTCTTCCATGATTGTAAGGCCTCCCCAGCCAGGTGGAACTGTGAGCCCCTTAAACCTCTTTTTCCTTATAAATTACCCAGTCTTGGGTATGTCTTCATCAGCAGCATGAAAATGGACTAATATAGTCGGGAAAGGGTTTTTGGTTGTCAGAATGACTGGAAGGCTTTATTGGTTAAATAAATACATGGGCAGAACCACACAATGATGAATTTCTTTGCTCAAAATGCCAGTAGCACCTGCTCCCTCAACACCAGATGACACCTTAAAATAATTCTCTAAGTGTTGGCCAGGTGAGGTGGCTCATGCCTGTAAACTCAGCACTTTGGGAGGCTGAGGTGGCAGATCACGAGGTCAGGAGATCGAGACCATTCTGGCTAACATGGTGAAACCCTTGTCTCTATTAAAAATACAAAAAATTAGCCAGGCATGGTGGCACATGCCAGTAGTCCCAGCTACTCAGGAGGCTGAGGCAGGAGAATCAATTGAACCCGGGAGGTGGAGGTAGCAGTGAGCTGAGATTGCACCACTGCACTCCAGCCTGGGCTACAGAGTGAGACTGCATCTCAAAAAAAAAAAAAAAATTCTCTTAAGTCTTTCCCTACACAGCAGTAATAGCACACTATGTGGGACAGGCTCAGAGTTTGTGTGACTGGACCTCTGACCTTAAGTTTTAGACAGATTGATCCCAAAGGGAAATCCTAAAATGTTCAACAAACCTAGGTCAGGCTGAAGATCGCTGGTGTTTTCATCAATTGTCAGGTTGGTGTAGAGTGGGGCTGACTCGGAGCCAGATCGGTTGCAGGGCACTGCATAGACATCAAACAGATCCTTCAGGTCCTTGCGGCTCCTGACACTGAATGAGGAATGGAAAACACCTCTCATTGAGTATCTTTATAGAAATGGGGGGGCCTGAGAAAGAATAAGAAGGAAACATAAGACTGTACCTGAATGATTTGAACAGCTCAACAAATTCAACAAAACTCATGTTGCTATCTGAAACCATGAAGCTCTGAAATCCCTTCATGCCGCCTTTGATCCGCCCGTGCCAGCTACTACTGCTCCAAGCACTGCAACAAAGACAAGGCCTTCATGGGCACAAGGGCAGGCCACTGTTGTGATTCTGTCCCACCAGACTTGCTCCAATTAGCAATATGAGCAAAAGGATGAGTGCAAGTTATTTAAGATTGAAGCTATTTTCCAGTACTCTCTTTTCACATCTCTTAACCTATATTGTATCAGAGGAAATAAAACATGTTCTATGTGAAAAAGAAAACATGTTTCTAGTCTATTTAATAAGGGCCCAGGGCTGAGGTTAATATTCCTCTATTAATCAAATCAGTTCTTTGAAATTGCAGATCAATGGGCAAAATAACTCAGTGTTTCTGAAGATGTCTATTAAAAAGAGCCCCAAATTACTCACTCTTAATCTATGGGAAATAATGCACGTTCTTTTCTATATTCTAAGTTATAGAATTACATTTAAGAAGAAACCTTTGAGTGTATTGTCTGATTCCTTTCTTAACCAGTCCTTAGATGAAAACAGAGAAGAGCTTTTAAATATTAATGAAAAATGTGAACCGGAAAAATGTTAAGAATGGAAAGGGCTGGGTGCGGTGGCTCATGCTTATAATCTCAGCACTTTGGAAGGCTGAGGTGGGAAGATTGCTTGACCCCAGGTGTTCGAAACCAGCCTGGCCAACATAGTGAGGCACTGTCTCTAATTTTAGAAAATTTAAAAAAGAATGGAAAAAAGCCAGCTTTGACTAGGATTATATTTGCACCTTCCAAGGCTGCATCTATTCAATGTAGAAATATCAGTCAACTCAGAACAGACTTACTGTTTCACAACATTTTTTATTTTCTATACTGATTTCCTGACACAATGGTATGAGAGATGTTTTGATTATGGTTTGTAGTCAAATTAATGAACAGGATCTATTTTTTAAATTATACTTTAAGTTCTAGGGTACATGTGCACAATGTACAGGTTTGTTACATATGTATACATGTGCCATGTTGGTATGCTGCACCCATTAACTCGTCCTTTACATTAGGTATATCTCCTAATGCTATCCCTCCCTCCTCCCTCCACCCCACAACAGGCCCTGGTGTGTGATATTCCCCGCCCTGTGTCCAAGTGTTCTCATTGTTCAATTCCTACCTATGAGTGAGAACACGCGGTGTTTGGTTTTCTGTCCTTGCGATAGTTTGCTGAGAATGATGGTTTCCAGCTTCATCTATGTCCCCACAAAGGACATGAAGCTCATCCTTTTTATGGCTGCATAGTATTCCAATGGTGTCTATGTGTCACATTTTCTTAATCCAGTCTATCATTGATGGACATTTGGGTTGGTTCCAAGTCTTTGCTATTGTGAATAGTGCCGCAATAAACATACGTGTACATGTGTCTTTATAGCAGCATGATTTATAATCCTTTGGGTATATGCCCAGTAATGGGATGGCTGGGTCAAATGGTATTTCTAGTTCTAGAGGACCTGTTTTTTTTTGTCTTGGATTTTAAAAGTTTTTTTTGAAATATTTCAAATATATAAGAAAGTATAGAGAATATCATGAAGTCTATTTTATGTATATTAAATATATAATCTAAAAACTATATATTTAAGACTATAAATATAAAATATATAGTTTGTTGAAGTGACTCTCAACCCTGCTAACAATGTTCACTCATGGAAAATTAATTTGTGCTGACATTTGAAGGTCACCTTCAGCAATGAAAGAGCACTACAAATTGATAGCTTTTTAGCATTTTGTAGTCATAGGTTGTAGGTTGTCGATCCCCAGTGTAGTGCAGGAAACATAGGGTAGAGGTGCAGGAAGAGGAAAAAGGTGACTTCATCATTTGCAGCTAAAGAAGTAAATTTCCTGTCTTGCTTCTTTCTGGTTGCAGATCCAGCTACTGTCTGTAGGAACCCATCTCCCTTTGATTCTAGGAAACTCTGTTTGTCCACTCTTCCCACTATCAGACTTAGGATTCAGTCTAGCTTTCTCCCTTAATAGCATTCAAGCTGATTTTTCCTCCTGTCTTGTGTTTTCTTTCTGTTTTAAAACACTTGAGTGGGTGCTGATCCCTGTCCTCCTGGGGTTGGCCTTCTGATCTTGCATCTGGCATGTTAATTTCTCTTTTTAAAATATTTTCCTCCCTTACTTCGTCCTTTCTTTTCCTGCTCATGAATGATTGAAATAAACGGGAAATGCCATTTAATCCAGGTTCCTTGCTGTTTACCCAGGATACTACACAGGCTGAAAGTATAATAAACAGGATTCTGATTTTTGTAACTTTTAGTTTTGTTATGAATCTAAATTTACATAAAAGTTGCAAGAGTGGTACAAAGAATTCCCATATAACCTTGACCCATGCTCACCCATTGTAGAATGTGAATGTATAAAGCATAAATTATAAGTTCATTGCTCACATTGTGAAAGAATTTTTATTTAAAAGATAATTTACTGTAGGATTCTTTTTTCTTTCTATTTTCTGTTTCTTTTTCTTTCTTTCTTTCTTTCTTTTTTTTTTTTTTTTTTGAGACAAGCTCTCACTCTGTTGCCTAGGCTGGAGCGCAATGGCATGATTATGGCTCACTGCAGCCGGAACCTCCCAGGCTCAAGTGATACTCTCACACCTCAGCCTCCTGAGTAGCTGGGACCAGAGGTGAGAACCACCACACCCGCTAATTGTTTTACTTTTTGTAGAGATGGGGTTTCTGTTGCTCAGGCTGGTCTCGAATTCCTGGGGGCTCAAGTGATCCTCCTTCCCTGACCTCCTAAAGTGCTAGGATTACATGTGAGAGCCACCGTGCCCAGCCAGGATTGTTAATAAGAAGCTTCCAAGAGAAAGAGAGAGAAAGGGAGAAAGAGAGAGAGGGGCGTGGGGAGAGAGGGAGGGGTGGGGAGAGAGAGAGAGAGAGAGAGAGAGAGAGAGAGAGAGAGAGAGTGTGTGTGTGTGTGTGTGTGTGTGTGTGTGTGTGTGAGATAAAGTAAAGAGTTCCTGTTTTAGCTTGGTTCTGTCTGGAACCTCCACATCTCTTAAACTTTAATGTGGGATACAGGAGGATGGAGCAGCATTCTGGTTCCCTTTGGAAGTCTGCCATTTTAATATCATTCCTTCTTCTGAGAGGGAAGATATTGTTTCAAATATGTAATTTGCATGGAACTTATAAAGTAATTTATCCAGCTTTAGATTTATACTTAAACATATCCAACTTGCTGTGATACTTGAATTCATTCCTCTAGACATGCATAACTTACATATGAGAAAAGTATTAAATATATTTCATCGATTAGCAAAGGGGCCAAATAGTTTACATTAAAACAATCTATTCTCTCTTCTTCGTTTAGAGCAGTGCTATCCAATAGAACTTTCTGCAATGATAAAAAGAAATGTTCTCTATCTACACTCTTTGGGATAATAACCATCAGCTTCTTGTGGCTATGGAGCACTTGAAATGTCACTACTGTGACTGAGGAACTGAATTTTAAATTTTCTTTAATTTTAATTAATTTACATTTGAATTTAAATACCCACATCTAGTTAGTGGCTAGTGTACTGGATAGTACAGATTTGGAGAATCATGGCTTAGGTTTTGTTACTGCTACTGACCTTTGAAGTAATATGAGAAGGTAGGAGTACAAAATTGGGAGAATTAGGATCATTTAAAATTTTGGGATTTTTCAGTTTTCAGTTCAACTATACATCAAAATGTGAAATAGTCTTTCCATAGACAACTGTAAAGATATGCCCTTCCACACAACTGGAATAATGTGAAGGGTCCTTCTGTTTTATCATGTTAAGGCCCCACCTGGATGGGCTCTTGTTTGAAGAAGACAGCACAGGGGAGGACACTGGCCTGATGGGAGATGACGTCCCGGCAGCCAAGTTGGGGGACCCAGCTGTGGTCAAAGAGTGGGCTCTTCTGGAAGGGAGGGGGTTTGGAGGGTTAGCGATGGCATTCACCTCTGTGAGGATGAAAGACAGAAAAGAGAGAATGACTCAGATTATACTTTCCCTCAGAACCAAATACAAACCAGAGAGGCTTCTGGATGTCTGAGCAAATCAACCTATGCAGCTGGTTTCTATACAAGCAGCACCAAAATATCTTTATGAATGGGCTAATCTGGTGGGGTCTCAACTGGCTACATGTTAGAACTGTCTGGGAAGCTTCAAAAATAAATAAGATGTCCAGGTCCCAAGGTCCCAGCCAGAGAATATCTGAATCAGTTATTCTTAGATGTGGCCAGAGGAATCAGATTTTCTTAAAAGCTCTAATATGCAGCCAAGGTTGAGAATCACTGGTTTAATCCATCAAATTATACCATGTATATCTAATACTCCCTGTCAGTAATGGCAAGTTAATTAATGGGGATTTTATTCCAAGCACACTATGCTTGCAGAAGTACCTTTAGGTTTCATTGTCTGGTTAGGACAAAGAGTTTTGTTAGAAATGTTTGCAATGCTTAAATCACAATTTAAAACCAAATGTATACTTTTTTTCCCACAAAAATTAAAAAACAAAAATCTCAGATGTAAACATGCCGCTTTACCTGATTCTTCTTGTTCATTAATGTCTTGAGGATCAGAACCACTCCGGCTTCGACACTCTTTGTGCATCTTGGCCTTTCGGGTTGCCATCTCATCGTCAGTTACCTCTCCACTCTCACCCTGGGAACACAAAGCTCACGATGGTTCCAAGCCTGTATTTCTCTCCCATCACTGCTTTAGTTCAGGTAGGTCTCTATTTTCTGACCTACCCACCTTCAATACTGCCTCTTCCTGGTAAAACCGGTAAAGACCTACATTAAGGCTGACCGAGTATTCTCATGTCATATTATTTCAGTTGTTCTTTACTATACAGCAGTACTCCTCAGGGGAGGGAGGCAGACAAGAGGCGGCACAGAACCTCCGGAACCTCTGTGTACAGAAAAAAACTGTGAAGCAGATAAAATTTGACATGAGCATCAAAGCCTCCCATAAGCAAAGAGAGTGGCACTTTTTCTAGATAGATGATATGGTTTGGATGTTTGTCCCCTTCAAATCTCATGTTGAAATGTAATTCCCAGTGTTAGAGGTGGGGCCTAGTGGGAGGTGTTTGGATCATGGGGGTGGATCCCTCATGAATGGCTGAGGATCATTCCCTTGGTGATGAGTGAGTTCTAGCTCTGACTTCACACAAGATCTAGTTATTTAAAAGTGTGTAGGCTGGGTGTGGTGGCTCATGCCTGTAATCCCAACACTTTGGGAGGCTGAGACAATAGGATTACTTAAGGCCTGGAGTTCGAGACCAGCCTGGGCAACATAGTGAGACCCTGTCTCTATAAAAAATAAAAAAAATTAGCCAGGCATGGTGGTGTACACCTGTGGTCCCAGATACTTGGCAGGCTGAGGCAGGAGAACAGCTTGAGCCCAGGAGTTTGAAGCTGCAGTGAGCCATGATCACACCACTGCACTCCAGCCTGGGTGACAGAGCAAGACCCTGTTTCTAAGAGAAAAAAAAAGTGTGTGGCACCTCTCCCCTTCTCTCTCACTCCTGCTCTTGCCATGTCATGCGCTGGCTCCCGCTTCACCTTCTGCCATGACTGTAAGCTTCCGGAGGCTGTCACCAGAAGCAGATGCTGGCACCATGCTTCCTGTACACCTGCAGAACTGTGAGTCAATTAACCTTCTTTCTTTATAAATTACCCAGCCTCAAGTATTTCTTTATAGCAACACAAACAAACAAATAGCCATGAAGCAAATATATTATCACTTCATAGTGATATTTCATATTATATAGTTTATAATACACAGTGCTAATATACTTTACATTGTGTTCTACACACAGTATTTGGGGCCTCTGTGATCTCTGTTCTCTTCTAGCCCTTCCTTGCCCACAGAGTGCTCATGCTCTAGCCATCCAGAACAGCATGTGCTTCCTTGAACAAGCTGTCTTTTATGCCTCTATGCTGTCTCCTCTGCTGGGGATACTTTCTCCTATGTTCTTTGCTTGGTAAAATCCTACACGTTCTTCAAGACCTGCGTGTCAGTTGCTCTGTGGAGCCCTCTGTGCCTGCCCCTCAGCTCTCTATTTTCCTTCTCTCTGCCCCCACAGCACTTTGTGGGTGACTCAACGATGTCTCTTTTTAGCTCGCACTGTGTTTGTTTACATGTCTATGTCCTTCTGCGGACCTTGTCTTTTCCCTGGTGTTCCTGGCACTAGCATGGCACCATGGAGGTATGTGGTAAGCCCTTGTATCTTCTATTTTATACCTGACTTTGTCCTCAACCCAAACAACCTTAAGTGTTTTATGGTGATGTTCACCATACAGCGGTCCTGGAAGATGGGTTTAATGCTTAATAAACAAATAACACTCTACCCTCATGAGGATTTTCTTCTTTTTCTTGGTAGTGCTTATGCCCAGGGTATTGTTTCTCTGCATATTGGGCTTCTCAGCATTCTTTGCTGATGTTCCGGGGCTGGGGTTTCGAGCACTCCACCGTCTGCCACCAAACAACTCCACAGCGTGAGCCAAAGTTGGGCCTTCATACCGTCCATCCTCCTGTGAAAGAGCCACATGGTGAACACAATAGGAAGCATCAAGCAATGGGGAAGTAAATATATTAATGTCTCCCAGAAAATTCCAAGAGGTGGAAGAGCACAGACGGCCACAGAAGAATAATGATCTGGCCACCCAAGTGACTGTTTTCTAACTCACAAGATTCTCTGTCAGGAATTTCATCATGTCCCCCGTTGTCCTGGTCACATCACTGCTGAGTTCCAGTGACATGCTTTAATACATCAACTGGGGAACAAAAACTTCCCATCCCATTTACAGAGGTTAAATTGCAGAACTACCACTGTAGGAAAATTCATTTAGACTTACTTTGCAAATTAGGGCCTTGGACATCCTGGAAGGGAGAGGGGCAGGGTATCAATCTAAGTAAAATCAAGTTGTATTTGTCCATTATTGCCAGGTAGGTTTTCAACTAGTTTGATGCTTGGGACAGTCGGACTTGAAATACAGGGTGTGTGTGACATGCATGAAATTCCCTTTGAAGGGCCCCAGGGAGCTCCTAAAATAGTTGGGCTGCCATCCCCTTGAGTGGCTGAAATCTAAAGATAGGGAGCCCATGGGACTCAGAACACCATACATATTAGGATGCTCTGAGCAGCAACAACACACTCAAGGGGCAGGCAATTGTTCACAGTAGCTACTGCTTCTAAGGCAACTCTGTGTAGCATCCTGTAAGTAACAGCAGGGATCTATTAATTAAACAATTGTCAATGATTCTCCCCATAAGTCAGTTAATAAAACCACAAAAAGTTGCCTATGAGCTAAAGATGATATTGATATTTCATACACTGTATAAGCGGGCTCTTTAAAAATTAATTTCCATGTACTGTGTTTACTCTTCAAAAACATTTCAGGCTGGCTCTCCTTTGCAGTTCCAAAGAAATGCTTATGGATAGATTTTGCTTTGTTGCAGATCATATGCAAAAAACAAAGAAGCTTTGTGTGTGTGTGTGCTTGCTCCTTCAGCCTAATGTTTAATAACTATCTGATGTTATGACTTGTGCATTCCCACTTCCTGCATCCTGCTGTGGATCCCAGGATGCTGAATAACTTGGGTACTTGACAAAGAAACCTTTGGGTGACCTCTTATAGTGGGACATTGTGACTTATGGCTGTCCATGATCTGTTTCTCCCTTCTCTAACCATACCCCGATTTTACTTTAACTGTCTATTCTCCACTGGATATAGTCTCGATGGGTGTGTCAATCAAGATGAAATATCCTCCTTTGACCAATGATTGGCACATGATCCCAATAAGCCAATCAGAAGCCCCTTCCTGGAGCAGGGTTCTTGAATGCAGTGATACAGAGAATGAAAATGGTTGGAGATCAGTCCATCTGCTGGAGGCCTGCTGAAGAGAATCCCTGCTAACAAGTCACTAGGAGTGACTTCAAATTGGAATAAACATTTCATGAATGAAACCTAATGGATACGTTTTAACTACCATTTTGAATAACATACTCTGAATCTGAAAGAAGAGTAAAACTTTTATTTATGGATTTTAACCAATACATCTTTAAAAGCTTAATAGGCCCATTATAGTTTACATGTAAAATAATTGGCACCATTAACCTATACTGCTTTGATTTTTCTAATTTCAGAACATCCCAACATGGGTCAAACTTTACCACTAACAGAAATATGTTTAGGTCAGGAAAAGGAAGGATACCTTTGTTTAGTCTTTAAAGGAAGCTTTCTGGGAAGTAAAATGTAGTTTTAATCTTTCTTTTGTTTTACACAAAATAATAAACTTGTTTGGGATGGATGAAGGATATACTTTCTTCTCTTTTTTTTTTCTTGGAGATGGAGTCTCCCTCTGTCGCCCAGGCTGGAGTGCAGTGGTGTGATCTTGGCTCACTGCAACCTCCGCCTCCCGGTTTCAACTGATTCTCCTGCCTCAATTCCCAGGTGTCTGGGATTACAGGTGCGTACCACCACACCCAGCTAATTTTTGCATTTTTAGTAGAGATGGAGTTTCACCATGTTGGCCAGGCTGGTCTCGAACCCCTGGCCTCAAGTGATCCACCCACTTCGGCCTCCCAAAGTGCTGGGATTACAGCTCTGAGCCACCGCACCTGGCCTACCTTCTTTTTTTAATGTGGGAGATGGACTACTGTAAGTGAAGGCACATGTTCAATTTTAGAAAACAGTTTTTTTTTTTTTTTTTTTGAGACAGAGTCTCGCACTCTTGCCCAGGCTGGAGTGCAGTGGAGAAAACAGTTTATGTGAAAGTTGAAGATTAGAAAATAGATTCCTTAAAAAATATCCATGCACTGTTACCTCTTGGCATATCTTTGCATGTGACATTTTGAAGACCATTAAACTAATCTACATCCTTTGAATGAATCTTTTTTTTTTCCCCCACGTAAAGATAGCCAGAATCTTTTTTGCTTATAACCAAAGATATTTACCTGGTAATTCCATATTTAACTTTCTTAGCCTCCCAGAGCACCTTCCAAATACCCAGGATTATGGGCCATCAGTTCTGTCCATGATAACCTTGGGCCAAAGCTCAAGACATTGGTCTTTCCTCCACACCCCACATCAACATCTCTGCAGTTTACTTTCTTGGATTTTCCTGTATTTTTCTAGGCTTCTCTACAAATGTTATTACTTCTTCTTGTCTTCTGTGTTATCTCTTGTTACTACTTCCATCAGTAGTACTCAAATACTTGTAGTATTTGAAAGTAACTTCACTTACATTTACTACATAAGGAAATTCTAATGTCAGAATGATTATTTTCCATATAAGCACTTCCCAAACTAGGGATTAAAAAATCCTCTTATAGAGCTGTTAACAGAAGTTTGGAAAAACCCAAACATTGTTTCACAAATTTCTTTAGCTTATAGGTAAATTTAAATAGTTTTTTTTTTTAACTTTAGGGCATCTGAGAGAATTTAATTTTCTAAGAGGTATTATAAATCACCAATACAGCTATTAAACATTAACAAAAGATTTGATCTTTTGTTCTCTGAGTACTAAGTTAGCATCTTTTTGGTGATCCCTGAGTCAGTTTGGGAACTGGTTTATATGATGAGAAAATGATCAGTCCATTGGTCTTTCCAACTTTTTTCTTTCGAAAGAAATCTTGAGTGTCTGTTTCTAAGGCACGTTGCCTGACTTCATAAATGGCTCATGTAGAGAGAGCAGTGTCAAGGAATAACATCACCTATATTTCAGAAGTGGTTGAGTATGAGCTGTTTTGCCTCTACACTGTAACATCTTGGTTCTGTGCAGGGGTGGTGGGGGAGGGTGGAGCTGTGTTTGCAGCTGGGTAGGACTGAGTCTTCTCTAAGTCACTTCTGTCTCTGTTCTAGCAGCAACTCTTACCTCTTCACCTGCCGTTCGTGGTCTCAGCTGGTGCCTCCTTCAGTAAAAGCTGAAGAGTGCCAGGGTAAATGAGAAACCAAGTACCTCTTATGTATTAATTCAGTTACCTATGCTATAAGCTTGAGAAGCAGACAAATGGAACAACTAAACCACATAGACTTTGTGACAGGAATTGTAATTGAGCTCAAACACTGGTCTATGTCCATATTTGATGAATTTTCCTGATTCTAGAAGGCCAAGGAATAGCTGTAATTAAAAACTGACATTCACAATAGCTCCTGAAGACTTTTTTTTTTTTTTCCAGCTGAGTACACTGAAAGCTCCCTGTGCCCTGTGGAGTACACAGGAGGCGGGTATTTTTTGTTTGTTTGTTTGTTTTTTTGAGACAGTCTTGCTCTGTCACCCAGGCTGGAGTGCAGTGGCATTATCTTGGCTCACTGCAACCTCCATCTCCCAGGCTCAAGCGATTCTCCTGCCTCAGCCTCATGAGTAGCTGGGATTATAGGTGCATGACTAATTTTTTGTATTTTTAGTAGAGGCGGGATTTTGCCATGTTGGCCAGGCTGGTCTCGAACTCCTGACCTCAAGTGATCTACCGCCTCAGCCTCCCAAAGTGCTGTGATTACAGGCATAAGCCGCCACACACAGTCAGGTATTTGTTTTCCATTTTAGACGAGTTAACTAAAACTGGCTTTGTTCTGTGTAACATTAGGATAATTGTGTACATAGGCCTATCTGCTTATTAATCAATTAATCAAGTTAGTCACTCAGGATATGGTCTCTGCTCATAATCGTGACATGGGTGTAGGGAAAGAAGAAAGAAGGGGCATTACATGTGCCTTGTCTAACTTCCTGGGGCGAGAAATGTTTTTAATTGTCAGAAATGTATTAGAACTGTGACAAGTACATGAAATCAGGCATTTGAGTAGTTCAAGTGGTAGTTCTATTTGTTCTGTGACAATACAAAAGATATTTCTTTTTGCCATGAAGATAGAAAAGCATAGCAAAGAAAAACTGAATACTTTGACACAACTCATTTGAGAATGACACTTCAAGTGTCACCTGCTTGTGGAGTTTAAGATTTCCAAGCAATCTGTATCCTCTTTTCCCCAAGGGATGCTACTCTGGTTATGCCTGTGTCTCTTCTATCTCATTCAGCCCAGCCCTGTTGCCACGCTAAACTATAGTGTTAGAGTACCTGATAACGTAGGGTTAATGAAAGACTAATTCACTCAATGTAAGCAGCTGACTGTGAAAAACTGCCCACTAAGGGCTGCCACCACTACAAACCTAATAAAGAAGAACTCCACATAAGAATTATCCCACATTTGGAAAAATTTCTTTCAACCTTAAAGAAATTAACCCCTCACCTCTACAATTAGGCAGCAATATGCAGTAAGTTAAAGAACTCTCCAAAAGTCACATAGCATGTTAGGAAATGAACCAGGATTTTAATTTCAATAGGGACAGTTTTCAGTGAATCAGCTAGTCACTAACTAATAATAAAAGTATTCAGATAACAATGCTTTCCATTGAAACCTGAGTAAGTGAAAATGCTTATATTAACTGGTTTCTTTGCAGATGGGAGAACTACAATGATCCTGGGACTATTTTTATGTAGTATAATACAATATATAAATATAATACAAAATAAAAACCGCGACCAGGGTCATTATAGTTCTCCCATCTGCAAAGAAACCAGTTAACATAAGCATTTTCAGTTACTATAAAATCTAAGTAAAATGTATTTCATACAAAATACAAATAGGACCACCTATGAGTGCAGATACTATTCTTCATACTTATGAATTATACTGTGGCTTTACACATATTAACTTTTTTTTTTTTTTTTTTTCCTGAGACAGAGTCTTGCTCTGTTGCCCAGGCTGGAATGCAGTGGCACGATCTTGGCTCACTGCAACCTCTGCCTCCTGGGTTCCAGCGATTCTCCTGCCTCAGCCTACTGAGTAGCTGGGATTACAGGCATGTGCCACCATGCCCAGCAAATTTTTGTATTTTTAGTAGAGACGGGGTTTCACCATGTTGGCCAGGCCGGTCTCAAACTCCTGACCTTGGGTGATCCACCCATCTTGGCCTCCCAGAGTGCTGGGATTACAGGCGTGAGCCACAGCCTCAATTAATTCTCACAGCCACCCTGTGAGCAGGTGTTATTATTTCCATTTTATAGAAAAGGGGATTGGGGTACCAAGAGGTTAAGTAAAAGCTGCCCAAGGTCACCACAGGTAGTAACTGTCAGAGCTGGGAGCATGAACCTGGTGGTCTGGTCACCCAGTGTGTGCTCTTGAGTATTATGCCAGTGAGGAAAGAGGGATGGCTGCACCCCTTACCTGATAAAGGCTGACGTACTGTTTCCGCAGCCACTGCTGTCTTTGGTCAGGGAATTTCCTCATCTTTCTCACAGCTCTAGTGAGTTCCAATAATCCGCTGAAGAGCATTTTAGCTGTGTGCTTTGGTGCCACGAAGTGCAATAATCTGTTGTCTGTGGTCTGAAGCCCATAGAGCAATGTCACACCAGTCTCTGACAGGAACATGCTACCCAGTTTGTTCTGAACACACACAGTGTGTATATCAATGCCAGGGTGGCCCATGTATACAGCCTTCACTGCAAAAAGATCCAAGACCCCTTCCGTCAGGCTACTTAATCCAGCATTACCCAGTAGTGGGAATTTTCCAGGCTCAGCTGTGTTATTAAGTACACCAAGTTTTGCTTTACTGCTGGCTGGGGAGGCAGTTGTGGGCTTTACCCAGGTCAAGGTGCTATTGTCGGGCTGAAGCTGGAGGAAGCAGCGGGCAGAGAGGTGTGTGTCCTGGTCGTAGTGGATGACCGTGGCCCCCTGCAGCAGGAACTGGTGCACATCGGCTTGGATGGACAGCACGTACCAAGGGATGAGCTCCGTCCCATGGTCGAAGGCCTTCTGTGAGTCCTCTGAACCATGAGAGTCGTATTCTTTGGATTGCTCAAAGATGTCATTGTCTGAATCCAACAAATCTCCAATTATAAACCTTAAGGAAAGAAACACCAATTTGGTTTGTCTTATAATCAAGTGAGAACAACCCAAAGACATTTTCACTGACACTGGGCTTTATTTTTCATCGCACTATGAATTCAAATTAGCATAGGAAATACAAAATACTAAATAGCACACAGTAACTTCTAATAACCGAGGCCAGGTGTGGTGGCTTACGCCTGTAATCCCAGCACTTTGGGAGGCTGAGGGTGGACCACTTGAGTCCAGTAGATCAAGACCAGCCTGGCCAACATGGTGAAACCCCCTCTCTACTAAAAATACAAAAATCAGTCAGGCATGGTGGCATATGCCTGTAGTCCCAGCTACTTGAGAGGCTGAGGCAGGAGAATTGCTTGAACCCGGGAGGCGGAGCTTGCAGTGAGCTGCGATCGTGCCACTGCACTCCAGCCTAGGCGACAGAGCAAAAAAAAAATTTTGAGTAACTTTTTATAACCGTATTCTAATATTCTTTATAACTGTATTCTTATCTTTAGCAAGGTATCTGACCATAAGCATAAGAAAACAACTACTAGATGAGTTATTGTATTTTTATTCTCAACAACAATAATCTTTATTATGTATTAGTTTTCCTTCTTGTGTCAGGAACCGTGTTAAATACTTTATGTACATTTTTTGTACTAAATCCAATCTACTTGCAAGGTAAGTTTTATTATTCTTTTTCTACCTATGAGGAAACCGAGGTTCAGAAAGGGAAAGTAATTTGTTCAAGGTAACCCCTCTCAGAGGAGGCCAAGCCAAGGTGAGATTTTGGTCTAACTTTATACCTGGGATTTTCATTGTTAGGCTTGTTTGCCTTCAATTAAATCATAAACACAAGTCATGATCTGAATATACTGGGACTTTAGTCCTTTTTAGGTTTTTTTAACCTTTTTAGGTTAAAAAAGGACTTAATAGGCTGGCTTGAGAAGTACCTCTGTTAAACTGTTAAAAATAAAATACAATTAGTTCAAAGATACTCCTTGGAAAGAAAGTAGGCAGACTGCTTGAGCCCAGAAGTTTGAGACCAGGCTGGGCAACATGGTGAGATCCCATCTCTACAAAAAATACAAACATTAGCTGAGTATGGTGGCATGCCTATAGTCCCAGCTACTTAAGAGGCTGAGGTGGGAGGATTGCTGGAGCCTGGGAGGTAGAGTCTGCAGTGAGCTGTGATGGCATCGTTGAACTCCAGCCTGGGCAATAGAGCAAGACCCTGTCTCAAAAAATAAAAATAAATGACATTTAAAAAGGACACTCCTTGGGAAATATGGTCACGGTGGCCAGAAAAGCATAACAGTTCTCCTGGACTCAACCTTAGATTTCTACTCTCTCTGTGCATGTGTGTAGGTATACACAGAAAAGGCTAGTTTGCATAGAAAATTTAGCACGTTCCCTCCGCTGAGTCAGGAACCTGGATTATTTGAGCCAAGAGGATCAGAGAACAGTGAAGGCAAGCGATTGCTTCTTTCTTACATGGCCACCTTGGCAGGAACCTGCCCAAGAGTCTCATTCTTTTCAAAGCATAGGAAGTTGTTAGTAAGATCAAGGTTTCTGCTATTTGGTCCACAGACATCACCAGCAAAGTGGTGAGTAAAATTGTGAAGGAGCTGGTACATAGGCTGGTCCACGCGTCTCTGGGAAGGAAGGCTCTCATGCTCAGGAGACACTTGGGCCACCTACTGCCTCTTGATGAGGCAACGACAGTATCATGGGGCTTGTTGATACTCCTCAGTTTAGACTATGGTCCCTGAACAAGATTACCATTCTTGCTTTCAAACAGCAGGTTCTACATCCTTGCCCCACACGTGGATATTCTTTAAAAAAAAAGTCTACCACAAATATTGAATTTTAGTGTCTCACAAATCTGACGGTGAGAAAATCCATTTCAGAGCCCCATACCAGAAATAACCAAAAGTCCAGCAACAATAAAATGTATGCATAGATTTTGGTGTATTCATGCAATGTAATTCTGTACAGCAATGAAAATGAATAAGCAATAGCTAACTACATGGAATAACACAAATTTTAAGCAAGACACACAAGAATGCATATGGTATGTATTTGTGATACATAAATACATACATTTCTGTAAATGTCAATTTCAAAACCAGGCAAAAACTATACTGTACTATTTAGGAAGGCATATTAGTAGAAAAACTACAAAGAAAAACAAGATGTTATTGTAAAACTTATAATAGTAGTTTTCTCTAGGGGGAGGCTGGTAATAATTCAGAAGGGAAATAAGAAGTTTAGGGGTGCTGGCAATGTTCTAACCCTGGATGCTAGTTATGCTCAGTCACCTGATAATTATTCAAATACACTGTTTCGATAAACTTTTAATTTTAGGATAGTTTTAGATTTATAGAAAATTCCAAAGACAGTGTACCTCACACAAAAATTTCCCTATTAACATCTTACATTAGTCTGGTATATGTGTCATAATTCATGAACAAATCCTAACACATTATCACTAATTAAGGTCCACACTTTATTCAGATTTTCTTAGTTTTTAATGTCCCTTTTCTCTTCCAGGATCTCCCATTACATTTACTTGTCAGGTCTCTTTAGGCTCCTCTTGACTATGAGGGTCTCTCCTTGTTTTAGGTGCTCTTGACAGTTTGGAGGAGTACTGCTCAGGTGTTTTCTTGAAGGCCCCTCAGTTAGGACTTGGCTGATATTTTTTCCATAACTAGATGCAGGTTATGGGTTTGGGGAGGGAAGACCATAGAGGTAAAGTATCATTCTTATCACATCATATTGAGGGCACCTACTACCAACATGACTTCTCTCTGGTGATACTGATCACCTGGCTGAGGACCTGTGTGTCATGTGCCACTGTACAGTTACTACTATTATTATTTTTAACTCATTTCCATACTCTACTCTTTGGGAAAAAGTCACCATGCCCAACTCACTCTTAAGGAGTGGGGAGTTATGTTGCACTTCCTTGAGGGTGAAGAATCTGCCTAAGTTATTGGGAATTCTTTTGCACAAAAGATGGATCTCTTCTCCCCCATTTGTTTATTTATCATTTACACATATCATTTACTTGTATCAGTATGAGCTCATGAATATTAATTTAATACTTTGGGTGATTTATAATGTGATACTACTTTATTTATTTTGTTGCTGTGGCTATTGGGAGCTCTTCCAGTTGGTTCTTGTATTCCTTTCACAGCTCCCATCACTGTGTGTTTCTTTTGAGAACTTCCTTACTACAACATGCTCCAGGCTCACCTTGTGTATTTTCTGCCCCAGTCCTCGAATCAGCCTCTCTAGGAGAAACCTTGCCTCCCTTTACTGAAGAATGGTATTAGAAACCAAGATCTGGGCCATGCGCAGTGGCTCACATCTGTAATCCCAGCACTATGGGAGACCAAGACAGGTGAATCTCTTGAGGCCAGGAGTTCAAGACCAGCCTGGCGAACATGGTAAAACCCCGTCTCTACTAAAAATACAAAAATTAGCTGGGCGTGGTGGCAGGCACCTGTAGTCCCAGCTACCTGGGACGCTGAGTCACAAGAATTGCTTGAACTTGGGAGGCTGAGCTTGTAGTGAGCAGTGAGCTGGCATTGTGCCACTGCATTCCAGCCTGGGCAACAGAACAAGACTCTGTCTCAAAAAAATAAAAATAAAAAATAAAACAACAAAAACAAAAAAAACACAAGATCTGGGGTTACATGATATTTTATGCTCTTTTCCTAATGTTACTTCATAATAAAAAGTGAAATAAGAAAAAAATCATTTGTGTCTTATTTAGCTCCATCCCTCTGAAATTGCTCTCGGTAACACTGGAAAACCAATACTTATGTCCTCTTACACAATGGCTTCATACATGCCTGCTGCAGTCATCCTGGGTTTAATGTTAAACATCACCACCTGTTTCCTGTGTGACCTCATCAAAACACTCAACCTCTCTGAGCCTCACTATTAGATGGCAAAAAGACAATGCTCATCTCATAGAATAATGGTGAAGATCAAATAAGATAACAGTTGGAAAGCACTTAGCACAGCGCCTGTCTTGGTAAAGTACACTCATTAAATATAGGAAGACCAATTCTTTGCACTTTTCCTTTCTCACTTCCTCTTCTCTAGGCTACCTCAGCCCAGCCCAGCTGTTCCTCTAGAGGGGCTTTTTTTTTTTTTTTTTTCTGGAGATGGAGTCTTGCTCTGTTGCCCAGGCTGGAGTGCAGTGGCACAATCTCAGCTCACTGCAACCTCCGCCTCCCAGGTTCAGGCAATTCTGCCTCAGCCTCCTGAGTAGTTGGGATTACAGGTGCCCGCCACCACACCCGGCTAATTTTTGTATTTTTAGTAGAGACAGGGTTTCACCATCTTGGCCAGGCTGGTCTTGAACTCCTGACCTTGTGATCCACCTGCCTCGGCCTCCCAAAGTGCTGGGATTACAGGGGGGAGCCACCATGCCCGGCCAAGGGGCTTTCTTTTGGGACCATTTCCACATTCTCCATGTCCTACTTCTTGTTGTTTTAAGAGCAAAAAGGATTCAATTGGTGAGTGTTAGTACCCATTAAAATACAACATGTAAATTTGTACATAGAACTTCTGATTTTAATTTAGCAAGATAAATGGTGTTTTCCATATTCCATTTAAGTTCTGAGTTAAGTCAAGCATGTTCCAGTGAAATACCACAAGCATTATAAAAAAATAGTGTCTGGAAAGAAAAATTATAAGGCTTTTCTGGAGCCTGTTTCTGCTGCTCAGAGATGATGTAAGCTGGGAGAGAGGGGACGCTGTCTTTCTTGGCGTCAGTTTTTATTTTAGAATGCAAAAAAGAACTAATGCCAGATGGTAATAATTCCATTAAAAAGCAATCTTCCAGGGACTAATGCTCAAAATAAAATTGACAATTGTTTGTAATGAAATAAGTTCATTTCAAGCAGGAAACTAGTAGCTTTTGTCTCTTACATGATATAGTGAATGTTATGCAATTTTGTGCCTGATTCTCTTAGAAGATAATTTCCTGTGGGTTTACAAGAAGGGATAAGGTGGAATGTTAAGACTTATTTAGGAACTAAATAATGTTAACCGAAGATCAAAGATGTGGTTTACCAGCAAAGAAACTATCTTGTCAAACTCAGGTTGTATGCCTTAAGGAGAGGACCAAGGAGTAAAAATAGAAGAAAGGTTTTTATCCTGTTCCTAAAGAGCTTCCATGGTATCATTCAGTTAGAAACCGTAGACAGATAAATACTTGTCTAATGTTCCCTGATGAAAATTTTACATTGGGTGATCAACAGGTATTTGTTAACCTGGTTAAATATTTTCTTTGTAAGTGTTCGTTTGCTTCCTGCCAATTTAACATAATCCCTTGAACATGAATTACCACGTGACAAACAAGCGTAAATTTAATTTTTTAAGATAGAAGTAAATCTATGTCCTTTCCAAAGGACTTGCCACAGCTGTTCTCTCTAATAAAATCTAGCGTTTTTAATGCTCTCTTCTGGAAAATTCTTGCTTTTAATTAACCTAGCACCTTCCTTGACTATAAGCATTCTCTTATTATATGTGAGTAGTCTGTGGGTTTTGGAACCAGTCTGCCTGAATTTAAATCCTGGCCCTGCTAGCTATGAGAGTAAAATGGAACTGTTGTGAAGATTAAATAGTTTAATATATGGAAAGAATTTAGAGCAGTGTTTGCTTAAAGATAGGCTCTCAATAAACATTAGCATCTTAAATATTGCTAATGTTATTGTTGTCTGGCTTGAGTTTAAGTTAGTATCATAAAACAAAAGACATCCATACAAATAGAGCTTCTCTGTAAAAATGGTGTCCAAGTTTCAAGTTGAGATTTAAGTGAGAAAAAAGCCTAAGGTGAATGTTGTGCAGATAGTGGGAAAATGGTCTCTGTTACAAATCATGTTGGGTCTCAGGTGTTGGCCAAAGAAGCAGAAAGAGAGAAATACAGGATCCCAGGTATCCCCAGCAAAGCCAGAAAGTGAGACTGTATGAAGGTCTGGGCTGGGCTGAGGCAGCTGTTGCAGATAAAGGATGTTGTGTGTTGGGCATTGATAAGGTTGAGGCCTGTCTGCATCCTTCCCTGTGGAGAATAACTGATTTCCTATCATTTTATGATTTGGGGCATCCACATGCGTACGTGTGTGTGTGTGGTTAATCCTGGTAACTATTATCTTTTCTCAGATATTCTACTTTCTCATGCTTAGCTTTCTTTTTTTCCTATCCCTATGGGGTTGGATTATCGTCCAGGCGCGTCTCTAACGAGGTTATTGAGGTAGAAGGACACAGAAAATACCTCTTTGCAGTAAGGGAGAGGAGGATGACTGAGGATTGCCTCTGAAATGGTGATTACTGCCAAGGGTGTCCACACTTAAGTGCTGGAACCTCCTGTATTAGTCCATTTTCACACTGTTATAAAGAACTGCCCGAGTTTGGGTAATTATAAAGGAAAGAGGTTTAATTAACTCACAGTTCAGCATGGCTGGGGAGGCCTCAGGAAACTTACAATCATGGTGGACGGTGAAGGGGAAGCAGAAGGTGAAGCCTTGCTGCATCCTCTTCACAAGGTGGCAGGAAAAAGAATGAACGCAGGAGGAACAACCACACACTTATAAAGCCATCAGATCTCATGAGAACTCACTATCGTGAGAACACATGGGAGAAACCGCCCCCGTGATTCAATTACCTCCACCTGGTCTCTCCCTTGACACGTGGGGATTATAGGGATTACAAATCAAGATGAGAGTTTGGCTGGAGGCACAGCCAAACCATATCACCCTCAGAACTTCAGCTTGGTATTTTAAGGGTGTGATACACACATTAATCACGATAGCCACCATCTATATTGGCACTTATAGTATGCCGTGCAATTTGCTTAATTTATAATCCTCACAAAAACCCTATCAAGTAGTATTGTCATTTCCAGTTTACAGATGACAAAACTGAGGCTTAGTAAGATTCAGCTACCTACCTAGGTGACAGAAATAGTAAGAGGTGGTGTCAAAATTCAGTCCCAGGCAATGTGACTGGAAGGTTTGAGTTCTTAATCAGCTGAAGCAGCTTCCATTGTAGGTTTCTGGCATCATCTACTTATATCTTATTTTTCCAAATGTACAAATCCTTCTTAAGGTGCAGCATGCCAAAGAGGGTCAACAATATTGAAAATGATGACAATAAGAACTTGCAGCTCCTATATGACTCTATACTCTTCTCTACACACCTTCATACTCCTCATTTCTATTTCCCAACAATGGTGCCACATGCTACTCTTAGGTCTCCATGCCTCTATATGTTTTTAAACATACAAACGCATAGTTTATTTATTCTTTATGCTGGTAAATAAAAAAGTAATTATTAATGAGCATTATAATTCATATGAAATGTAATTGGAATGCTTTCAGAATTCAGATGTTCCTAATCTTCAGGAGTTAGACATAAAAAGAGGCTAAGGGTTAGTCTCTCTACAATCAAAAGAAATGCCTTAAGCATTTTAGGACAAAGGATCCTCCCCTGTGACTGAACACATGGTCAGGCTCATGACCCGGCTCTACTGTTTATTAGTCAGACAAGCGACTTCAGCTCGCTAGGCACAACTTCATCTGTACAGAAGTTAGACAAGCCTACTTGAAGACCCCATTGACATTTCAAGATTTTTTCAACCCAATTCCCTTCCTGCTGAGATCTTGAAGTTTGTTTTTTGTTGTTGTTGTAGAGACAAGGTTTCACCATGTTGCCCAGGCTGCTCTTGAATTCCTGGACTCAAGTGATCTACCTGCCTTGGCCTCCCAAAGGGCTGGGATTACAGGCATAAGCCACCGGGCCCAGCAAAAATAAATCTTGAACTTTTTATAATCACTTTTTGAGATTTCTATGAGTGTTTCTAGTGGTTTTCTGGCAGGAGTAGCTGTGAGGTTTGGGAAGAATTATAAGAGCACCCTGTAGGTGGGGTAAACCAAAGGACCATGAGATTGTCCCTTCTTTCTTTGCTGTAGTTTTCACAGGGCTGGTTGTTGCCAAGTGAACAGGGGCTAGAGGTTGCTGTTTGTAGAGTCTCTGTTTCAGCCAGATCAACAAAGCATAGTTCCTATGGGCTTTTCAATCTGCACATCTTTGGCACACATAACCCTGCACTGGACAAAACATGGGGCTCTCAATCAGGAATGGATTCCCAAGTCCCAGCAGATGGCCACAGAAATAGTGCTTACTGATCTGGTTTTGGTGAATTCTATTAAACAGCCCCACCAACCTAACTTGTGTGTTGAGGTTCCTTTCAGAGTAGCAGTCACTTGAGGTAAAGAAGCTATCACTGGCACTTAGGTACACAAGTTTCAAAGTGAGGATTTCAATATGACTTCACAGGTTTTATAAAAGAAATATCTGCATTTTTGTGTTTTTCTCCTCTTCTAAGAGTGCTTGCAGCAGGGCTTGGAAAATGGGCAGTGGAAGAGAAATGTTCTTAGGATGTACGTGATAAAATGATTAGGAAAAAGACAAGAGACTGTGGAGAAAATTAGAGACAAAAATTTCATAACGGGTGAAAATGATGCAAGAAAGTTACCACTTGAAGGAACTTCGAGGGAAAGGAAAGGATAGTCTAGGGGTCTGACACTCAGTAAAAGTGGCAGTCCTGAAGGTGTTTTAGAAAGGTCAAACGACATACACACACAGCCCCAGATGAAGCCACATTGTAAAGCTTCATCTTTAAAGATGAAGGCTCTTTAAAAAGAGCCATATGAAATTCATTATTTTATCTATTCCTATCTGATGTATCCTAGCCTTAACAGTAGGATTTAAGGAAGGAATTTCAGCCAGATCCAGTATGAGGAGAAGGCATTCTTCTCCCAAACATCTGTTTAATTTTTCTTACAAATACTGTGAAACTTATAATGAATTGTGATTTCCTCTTTCCTTTGACTGCTAGGAATCTCAGAACAAAATTTAGTCACTGTATAGACTACATAGTATACATTTTTGTATGTTTTATTTTCTCATATTCTTATTTTTCTTTTCTTTAATATCCTCAATTATTCATAGTTATTCTTAAAAGCATCTACAAAATCTTTTGTTGGAAGAAATAGATATATACATAGATGCCGAGAGAGAGAGAGAGGGAGATTAAGAACTTAAATGGCTCTGAGAGGCTTTCTGTGCAGAGGTGATTATTTGCAGATGGTCTTCTCTCTATATATAGATTGCCACTAATGTTAGCAACCTGTTAAGTGAAAAATCTTTGAAATAATCTCTGAGAAACTGGAATTACTGAGCAATTTAAAAACCTGCAGATGCCTTGTGTGTGTAGGGTTAATTTTAACACACCTTACAGAGCAGTGTTTCTCGAAGTGAGATCACTAACCCTCGACTTAGAATCACCCAGAGGTTGGCAGAGATAAAAATACTGATTTCTAGGTATCACCCAGACCTAACTAAGTCAGTAGATTTGATTTAAAAATATCTTAATACCCACCCTAGTACCCCACCCAAGAATTAAAAAAACCACTGTTACAAAAACTAGGAAATAAAAGATCACAGCTCTCCTTCTGAAATTTAATGTGTTGAATTCTTAGAAATGGCAGGATAGCTCTAGGTTTTTGTTTTTTTTTTAAAGGGGTAACAGATGGTAAGAAGTTAAATTATGAGCAGTAATTTTAGAACAAAGCAGCAAAATGAGAAAGGTAAATGTGAATTTGGAATTGGTAAGGTTTGAAGATAAAGAAGTGTGGCTTAATGATAAAAGTGGCAGGTTTTGATGAGGTGTCCATCTGAAACTAAGCTGAAGTAGGAAACAACTCATCAACAGGAAAAAAGAAGAGATGAGCATTCCTCACTTTTAACGTGTAAAACTTACTGCCATCGGCTTTTATCCTTCAAGGAGCTTTTCCTGGAGCTGTTTCCTTCACTGGGGCTGTCCTCCTCGTCTGTCTCCAGACTTCGATTGCAGCTCCGGATGACCTGAAAGATGCTGTTGACAGTGGACTCCTTCTCCGAATTCTTTAAGCCATTTTGTCCCACTCGTTGTAAGAAATTATCTTGTCCACTGTAATCTGCTACAAACTACAAAAAAAAATCGAGAATTTGCTATTGCAACTTAATATGCCTGGATAACATACTTGGCTAGGGAAATGAAATCATAAAGTAATAAATAATGGCATTTGTGCCTATTTTATGGGAAAGAAAACAAGAGCCTCCAGGAAAAACATTTTTTCATTTCACCACATGAAATATCAAAACTCACCCTTGTTTCCACTGAGACAACTTTAATCCCTCTGGGAATCGACACTCCACTTCAAATTTAAAACAAAAAAAATATTATTTCAGGGCTCCCTAAGGAGAAGATTAGCCAATTTGCAGAGGAAGAGCATGGTTATTTTATCCTTATAGTGAGAACTGAGAAAAACCATGAGTAAAGTATGCTATTCTATGGAACCAGAAAAAATGACTGGGCCCAAGCAAAACACTGAGAAGAGGTGATGTTTTGCTTTATTGCTCATGTGTTCTATAATAACACAGTGGCTTCTTCCTGGTTTTTAAGCTCTTTAAGCCTTATTGTTCATACAGTTGATTAGGAAGCTTCTCTCATCAGAGGTGAGAGCTGTGTCTGGGATAAGAGATGTGGAGTTCCCTCTTCTTAAGACATGAGGAAGCTAGGGGGTGTGGCCCGGGAGTCTTCCTTTAAGCTTTCTCCTCCATTTCTTGCCCTTTTATCCTAGCTCATAACCCAGAGAGATGCCGGTGGTGTTGCCTGTACCTGTCAGGAGCTCTTAAGTCTTTCTGATATCAGGTGATGCCTTTGCTCCCAGGTGACAAAGAAGAGGCTGAAGGTTGAGGAGAGTCTTCCCACTCCATGGAGAAGGCATGTACATGACTCTGTGTGTGTGTGTGTGTGTGTGTGTGTGTGTGTGTGTGAAAGGTCAGTAGTAGGTTCTGTCATCATGGCAGGAATGATCCTAGATTTGGGTTTGGTCCCCGGTAAGGGACTTCTCAAAATCTCCATAAAGTTCTTTCCATTTTAGTCACTTCTTTCATTTTTAAACACCTTGGAGGGAGCCTCCTTATCTTTTCCCTCCAGTTTCTCAACTCCCCTTCTCTCCAATGCCCAATGCCTTGGGTCAAAGCTCACACTGTCCCTTCTGCTCTGGGAATCAGGAACAGGAGGCAATGGATCTGGGAGAAACAAGGCTCTGAGGATCAGGAGCCTGGAGCTTGTCTCTACATGCGTCTCCAGGCTCCCCAGCATTTTCCCACAAAGGATGAACAGAAAGCAGTGTTGACTTCCCCTCTTTTTTCTTCCACTGATGTGGAAAACTTAATACTCTCAATTGACTGTCTTCATCCCCTGCATCCAGACATTCCCACCCAATAAGAAAAACCTGTCAATCTTTAAAAACCATCAGAAAACAACACCCTTTTTGACTTGTACTTACATATTAAACCTAATACATTAAAACTAACTTCACAATACTATGTCCCACACAGCGCTAGTTGGCATTCTTTTCTACAGAACTTCCAAGGATCTATGTGCTACCCAGAAATAATATAACAACTATTAACCCTGTGTTCAATCAGTGATCATTTCTTTGGTGAGCACAGACAGGGCCTGATGAGACAGCCAGCAACAGTGGCTCTTCAGGCCACGATGATTCTGAAAGGCCTTACCTCTAAAGTTTCTTCTTGGGAATTGTACCGCGGGCAAAGCTTCATGAGACCGGAGGCGCCGTCAAGCACTTCACAGAGCTCCTTCAGAAACACCCCACAGAATGGAACCACCTTACAGCCAGGGATGTGCAGGGCACGTGTCACCACCTTTCTGTACTCACAAGAGGACTCATGCTGGGCCATAGCATCCTTCAGGCTCCTCATGGTCTCAATATCAGACTGGTCCATGAACTGCCACATTTTTAAAACTTTTCTTGACCTATTGCAAGTAAATGACATTTTTCAGACTGAAGGAGAAATAATATAGT